>NC_000003.12:48191818-48494848 GCF_000001405.40 Homo sapiens | reverse complement strand
AAGTAGGAGGGTCCCCCAAAAATTAAAAATAGAGCTACCATGTGCATATGATCCAGCCATCCCATCACTGCGTATATATCCAAAGGATATGAAATCCATACCCCAAAGAGATACCTGCTCTCCCTTGTTCATTGCAGCATTATCACAATAGCCAAAGTATGCAATCAATCTACCTGTCCATCAGGATAAATGGATAAAGAAAATGTGGTATATGTACACAGCGAAATACTATTCAGCCTTAAAAAGAAGGAAATTGGCTGGGTGCAGTGGCTCACGCCTGTAATCCCAGCACTTTGGGAGGCCAAGGGGGGGTGGATCACGAGGTCAGGAGATCGAGACCATCCTGGCCAACATGGTGAAACCACGTTTCTACTAAAAATACAAAAATTAGCTGGTGGTGGTGCACGCCTGTAATCCCAGCTACTCTGGAGGCTGAGGCAGGAGAATCCCTTGAACTCGGGAGGCGGAGGTTGCAGTGAGCTGAGATCATGCCACTGCACTCTAGCCTGGCAACAGAGTGAAACTCCATCTCAAAAAAAAAAAAAAAAAGGAAATCCAGAAATCCTGTCATTTATGATGACATGGATGTACCTGGAGAACATTATGTTAAGTGAAATAAGCTAGGCGCAGAAAGACAAATACAGCACCATCTCACTTATATGTGGAGTGTCAAAGTCAAACTCATAGAAACAGAATAAAATGGTGGTAACCGGAGACTAGGAGGTGGCAGGATTAGGGAGATGTTGGTCAAAGGACACAAAATTTCACTTAGGAGGAGTAAGTTCAAGAGATCTATTGTACATCATAATGGTGACTATAGTTTATAATAATATGTTGTATACTTGAAAATTGCTAAGGAAGTAGATTTTGAGTGTTCTCACCACAAAAAAAGGTAAGTACGTGAAGTAATGCATATGCTAATTACCTCAATTTAGCCATTCAATATATACATATTTCAAAACATCATTTTTGTACGCTATAAATATATACAATTTTTGTCAGTTAAAAAAGAAATCGGATGGGTGCAGTGGCTGATGCCTGTAATCCCAGCACTTTGGGAGGCTGAGGCGGGTGGATCACATGAGGTCAGGAGTTCAAGACCAGTCTGGGCAACATGGTGAAACCCCATCTCTACTAAAAAATAGAAAAATTAGCCGGGTGTGGTGGCACACACCTGTAATCCCAGCTACTCAGGAGGCTGAGGCAGGGAGAATCGCTTGAACCCGGTGGGCAGAGGTTGCAGTGAGCCGAGATTGTGCCACTGCACTTCAGCCGGGATGACAGAGCCGCCTCTGTCTCAAAAAAAAAAAAAAAAAAAAAAAAAAGAATAGATCATGGCCATTTCTAAGGAATTTATTTATTTATTTAATTTATTAATTTATTCATTTATTTTCCAAGATAGGGTCTCACTCTGTCACCCAGGCTGTAGTGCAGTGGCACAGTCTCAGCTCACTGCAGCGGCACAGTCTCAGCTCACTGCAGCCTCTACCTCCTGGGCTCAAGCCATCCTCTGACCTCAGCCTACCGAGCAGCTGGGATTACAGGCATGCGCCATGGTGCATGGCTAATTTTTGTTTATTTTTGTAGAGAAGGGGTCTTACTATGTTGCCCAGGCTGGTCCTGACCTCCTGGGCTCAAGTGATCAGCCCACCTTGGCCTCCCAAAGTGCTAGGATTACAGGTGTAAGCCACTGCACCCAGCCGAAAGTTTAATTTTAGCAATTTTGGTGGTTGTGTTGTAATACCCCATTGTGCCGTTTTCAAGATTTCAGTACATTTTATGGCCCAGCATATCCTTAGTGAAACATGAGGAAAGTTTCATGTGTTTTAGTCCATTCAGACTGCTTTTAGGAAATACTGTAGATTGTGTGGCTTAAACAACAAACATTTCTCACAGTCCTAGAGGCAGGAGGTTTAAGATCAGGGTGCTGGCATGATCCTGGTGAGGGCCTTCTTCCTGGTTATGTCCTCACGTGGCCTTTCCCTGTTTGTGGAGGCTGAAAACAACTCCATCTTGGATGCTAATCTGCCCATGTTGACTTCTGATTAACCCCAGTTCTGGGAATGCCTCTAATGCCTTTCACATACTTACCATAAATCCTGCCCTTAGACCAATTCCCTGTGGTTTATAAGCCCAGGATCTGAGGTTAAGAAGTCCCTATTAAATGTTTCTGAGAAACTGGATTTGTCAGCCTCTTTCTTCAGCTTCTCAGCTTCCTTGGGCGAAGGCTTGTACAGACCTGCTCACCTCCGAACATTGGTGCATGCATGCAGAGAGAAATCGAATTTCTCTTCCTCTTTTTATAAGGACACTAATCCCATCCTGGCAGCTTCACCCTCATGATCTCATCTAAACCTAATTACCTCTTTTTTTTCTTATGAGACGGAGTCTCGCTCTTTCACCCAGGCGGGACTGCAGTGGCCCGATCTCGGCTCACTGCAAGCTCCGCCTCCCGGGTTCACGCCATTCTCCTGCCTCAGCCTCTTGAGTAGCTGGGACTACAGGCGCCCGCCACCGCGCCCGGCTAATTTTTTGTATTTTTAGTAGAGACAGGGTTTCACCGTGTTTGCCAGGATGGTCTTGATCTCCTGACCTCGTGATCCGCCCGCCTCGGCCTCCCAAAGTGCTGGGATTACAGGCGTGAGCCACCGCGCCTGGCCTTTTTTTTTTTTTTTTTTTTTTTTTTTTTTTTTTTTTTGAGATGGAGTCTTGCTCTGTTCCCGGCTGGAGTGGAGTGGCACAATCTCAGCTCACTGCAACCTCCACACCCTGAGCAGTCTTAACTCATTCCAGCATCAACTACTCTTAACTCTAAAGTGCAAAGCCTTGTTCACATATTATCAAAATCAGATATGAATGAGACCATAGGTACATTTCATCCTGAGGCAAAATTTATCTCCAGTTGTGAAACCTGTGAAGCCAGAAATGCATTTGTGGGACAGGCAAAGGATAGCCACCCCTATTACAAAAGGGAGAGAAATCAGTAGGAAGTGTAGCCAGGGCAACATGGTGAGACCCCATCTCTACTAAAAAAATCCCCAGGCATGATGGTGCGCGTCTGTGGTCCCAACTATTAGGAGGCTGAGGTGGGAGAATTGCTTGAGCTTGGTGGGGGCAGAGGTTGCAGTGAGCTGAGATCGTGCCACTCTACTCCAGCCTGGGACAGAGTGAGACCCTTGTTTCAAACAAAACAAAACAAAAACAAACAAACGAAAACAGCAGGAAGTGATAGGTGCTGTCAACGAAAAGCCAAACTCTAAAATATTTGAAGAGATTTATTCTGAGCCGAATATGAGTGACCATCGCCCGTGAAACAGCCCTCAGGAGGTCTTGAGAACATGTGCCCAAGGTGGTCCGGGCACCGCTTGGTTTCATACATTTTAGAGAGGCATGAGACATCAATCAAATACATTAAAGAAATACATTGGTTAGGCCGGGCGCGGTGCCTCACACCTGTAATCCCAGCACTTTGGGAGGCCGAGGCGGGCGGATCACGAGGTCAGGAGATCGAGACCATCCTGGCTAACACGGTGAAACCCCGTCTCTACTAAAAATACAAAAAATTAGCTGGGCATGGTGACGGGCGCTTGTAGCCCCAGCTACTCGGGAGGCTGAGGCAGGAGAATGGCGTGAACCTGGGAGGCAGAGCTTGCAGTGAGCAGAGATCACGCCACTGCACTCCAGCCTGGGCGACAGAGCGAGACTCCATCTCAAAAAAAAAGAAGAAATACATTGGTTTGGTCCAGAAAGGTGGGACGACTCAAAGGGCGGGGGGTTGGGAGGGTGGGGAGCTTCTAGCCTATAAGTGAATTTAAACGTTTTCTGTTTGACAATTGGTTGAGTTTGTCTAAAGACAAAATTGATTGATAGAAAAGGAATGTTCAGATTAAGATAAAGATTGTGGAGCCCAAAGTTCTTCTGAAGTCTTCTAGTGGCTGCCCTTAGAGACAATAGATGACAAATGTTTCCTATTCAGATTTTAGTTACTCTCTTTAGGATTGGGAGGGTCTGGAAGGAAAAGATCTAGCTATGTTAATAGAGATTCTTTACAGATGCACATTTTCTCCCATAGAGAACAGCTTTGCAAGGTCATTTCAAAATATGGCAAAGAAACATGTTTTGGGGTAAAATGTTTTGATTTTTTTTCCTTGTCTCTTAATGTTATGCCAGAGTCAGGTTGGAAAGTAAATCATGATATATAGGGTTAAATAAAACCCATTTGATGAGAATTTATGATTTGTAGGGCATGACTCCCCAGGCCCCTTAGATAGGAATTTGGGCGAGATAAAAAAAATCAGAGTTTAGTTCTCAGTGCCAGGCAATTCTAAATTCTAGCAAGACAAACTCCAGTAGACTTTAAGCCTTGGGAATAATCCTCTTTGGCTGGACACTCTGCCCTCTGGACCCACTGTGATGGGGGCTGCACCCCCATGGCTCTGCTGGGTGGTGGTCCTGGCCTTCAAAACTGAGGTGGCCGGCCAGGTGCAGTGGCTCATACCTGTAATCCTACCACTTCGGGAAGCCGAGGTGGGCGGATCACCTGAGGTCAGGAGTTTGAGACCAGCCTGACCAACATAGAGAAACCCCATCTGTATTAATAATGCAAAAATAGCTGGGTATGGTGGCGCATGCCTGTAATCCCAGCTACTTGGGAGGCTGAGGCAGGAGAATCGCTTGAACCCAGGAGGTGGAGGTTGTAGTGAACCGAGATTGCGCCATTGCACTCCAGCCAGCCTGGGTGGCAAGAGCAAAACTCCGTCTCAGAAAAAAAGCAACAACAACAAAAAAAACGGAGGTGGCGGCAACCTGGTTCCGGCCTGTGCACTCTGGGCCTGTGGTGGGAGTGGCAGCCTTGATGATTGAATTGTCTTTGAGGTCCTTTTCTTGTCTTTAAGAACACTGCACCTTGAAAATAGCGCTGCCAAGCATGATGGCTGACGCCTTTAATCCCAGTACTTTGAGAGGCTGAGATGGGAGGATTGCTTGAGCCCAGGAGTTCAAGACCAGCCTGGGCAATATAGTGAGACCTCGTCTCCATGATTTTTTTTTTTTAGTTAGCTGGGCATGGTAGCATGCACTTGTAGCCCCAGCTACTCAGGAGGCTGAGGTGGGAGGATTGCTTGAGCCTAGGAGATCAAGGTTGCAGTGAGCTGTGATCACACTACTGCACTCCAGCTTGGGTGGCAGAGTGAGACCCTGTCTCAAAAAAAAAAAAAAAAAAAAAAAAGGCCAGGCGCAGTGGCTCAAGCCTGTAATCCCAGCACTTTGGGAGGCCGAGGCGGGCGGATCACAAGGTCAGGAGATCGAGACCATCCTGGCTAACATGGTGAAACCCCGTCTCTGCTGAACAAAATAGAAAAAGTTAGCCAGGCATGGTGGCGGGCGCCTGTAGTGCCAGCTACTCAGGAGACTGAGGCAGGAATGGCGTGAACCCGGGAGGCAGAGCTTGCAGTGAGCTGAGATCATGCCACTGCACTCCAGCTTGGGTGACAGAGTGAGACTCTGGCTAAAAAATAAAAAAATAAAAAAATAGCTGTAGCAGGGGTGTCCAATCTTTTGCCTTCTCTGGGCCACTTTGGAAGAAGAAAATTGTCTTGGGCCACACATAAAACACACTAATGATAGCTGATGAGCAAAAAAAAAAAAAAAAAAATCTCATAATGTTTTAAGAAAGTTTAAGAATTTGTGTTGGGCCACATTCAAAGCCATCCTGGCCTGAATGTGGGCCGCTGGTCACAGGTTGGACAAGCTTGCTCTATGGCCCAGTCCTGTAGGATCTTAGATGTCCGACAGCCTTCCTTCACTTCATCCCCTTTCTCCCCTCTGGCAGGTGCTAGGGTGACTGATTAGGTCTGTGATTCATACCCATTCTAATCTCCTTACCTCGCAGTTTTTGGACTACTCTCTTAGTATTTACAGTATGGATAGGCTGAGAATTGTCCAGATTTTTAAATTCTAGTTCTTTTTTTGCTTAACAATTCATTTCTCTTTTTTCACTTTTTTTTTTTTTTTTTTGAGACGGAGTTTCGCTCTTGTTGCTCAGGCTGGAGTGCAATGGCATGAGCTCAGCTCACCGCAACCTCCACCTCCCGGGTTCAAGTGATTCTGCTGCCTCAGCCTCCCTAGTAGCTGGGATTACAGGCATGTGCCACCACGCACGGCTAATTTTGTGTTTTTAGTAGAGACGGGGTTTCTCCATGTTGGCCAGGCTGGTCTCGAACTCCCGACATCAGGTGATCTGCCCGCCTTGGCCTCCCAAAGTGCTGGGATTACAGGCGTGAGCCACCGCGCCCGGCCTTTTCACATTTTACTATAAGCAGTTGGCTGGGTGCGGTGGCTCACGCCTGTAATCCCAGCACTTTGGGAGGCCAAGGTAGGCGGATCATGAGGTCAGGAGATCAAGACCATCCTGGCTAACATGGTGAAACCCCATCTCTACTAAAAATACAAAAAGTTAGCCGGGCATGGTGGTGGGCACCTGTAGTCCCAGCTACTCGGGAGGCTAAGGGAGGAGAATGGCGTGAACCAGGGAGGCGGAGCTTGCATTGAGTCGAGATTGGGCTACAAGCAAGACTCTGTCTCACAAAAAAAAAAAAAAAAAAAAAAAGCAGTCAAGAGGATCCAAGCTGCTCCTTCAACACTAAGTATCCCATATATTTCAAGTTTTCCTCTGAATTGCTCAATCTTTTGTTTAATCTCTTTAAGCTCTTTTTTCCTTTAATCTCACTGTGTAATCTTTAAACAGTGTATGTGTTGTTATTCTAATGTCAGTGTCTGATAATTTCAGTATTTTAAGGCAAATTTTTCTCCTTAGCTTCACTGGTTTTCCTTCAAATGTATTAGGGTATAATTGTTTATAATGCTTTTAAATTTTGTTTTGTTTAACATCTAAAGAAATATCCCCCATGGGTACTTCTTTTGTTTTGTTTTGTTTTGGTTTGGTTTGGTTTTTTGAGACGGAGTCTCACTCTGTTGCCCAGGCTGGAGTGCAGTGGCATGATCTTGGCTCACTGCAACCTCTGCCTCCCAGGTTCAAGCGATTCTCCTACCTCAGCCTCCCAAGCAACTTGGGTTACAGGCATGTGCCACCATGCCCAGATAATTTTTTTGGTATTTTTAGTAGACAGGGTTTTGCTATGTTGGCCAGGCTGGCCTTGAACTCCTTACCTCAGGTGATTCACCCACCTTGGCCTCCCAAAGTGCTGGGATTACAGATGTGAGCCACTGCGCCCAGCTGGTATTTCTTTTTTTGTGTGTGTGAGACATACAAGGTCAGTATAGTAAAAAAATCTATTAAACTTCTAATTAAAAATATAATTTCAAAAGACGTTTCCAATAGCATCAAAAACATCAAATACCTAGGAAAGACAAAATTTCTACACAGAAAACTATGAACCATAAACTGTAAAACATACAAACTGTGTATTTATAAAACATATAAACATACAAACTATAAACATTAAAACGTATAAACTGTATGTTCATAAAGCATATAAACTATGTAACTATATAAACTATAAAATACATAAAACATTATTACAAAAAATCATAGCCCTAAATAAATGGAGGCATAGACAGGGCTCATGAATTGGAAGACCATATTTTAAAGATATTGATTCCCCTCAAATTGGTATATGGAATTTGTTAAATTTCAGTTTTAGAAAACTCTTGGCAGGCGCATCTGTGTGGGAGTGTGTGGGAGTGTGTGTGTGTGTGTGCGTGTGCGTGTGTGTGTGTGCGCCTATGGACATTATTATATTTTTTTAATACTGATGGGATCTCCCTATGTTGCCCAGGCTGGTCTTGAACTGCTGGGCTTAAGCAATCCTTCCAACTTGGCCTCCCAGAGTGCTAGGATTATAGGCATGAGCCGCCACACCTGGCCACCTGTGGGTTTTTCTTTTCTTTTCTTTCTTTTTTTTTTTTTTGAGATGGAGTCTTGTCTCTGTCACCCAGGCTGGCGTGCAGTGGCTCAGTCTCGGCTCACTGTAACCTCCACCTCCCGGGTTCAAGTGATTCTCCTGTCTCAGCCTCCCGAGTACAGGCATTGCAGGGATTACAGGCATGCGCCACCATGCCTGGCAAATTTTTATTTTATTTTATTTTATTTTTATTTTTAGTAGAGACAGGGTTTCACCATGTTGATCAAGCTGGTCTCAAACTCCTGACCTCAGGTGATCCACCCGCCTCCGCCTCCCAAAGTGCTGGGATTATAGGCGTGAGCTTATAATCTATTATAATATATATATAATCTATATATATAATATATAATATATAAAATCTATAATCTATATAATATATAATATATATTTATAATTATATTATATATATTGTATATTATATAATTATAAATATATATAATATGTAATATATATAATATAATTATAAATATATAATATATAATATTATAAATATATAAAATATATAATATATAATATATATTATATATTATACATTATATAACATATTATATATTATATAATATATAATATATAATACATTATCATTATATATTATATAACATAATGTATTATATATTATATAATATATAATATATAATACATTATATGTTATATAACATAATGTATTATATATAATATATAATATATGTAATCTATAATCTATTTTCTATTGTCAGTTTTTTCTGCTGTTTTCTATTCATACTGTCTGGTCTCCTAGTGTTTCTGAAAATTTTTGATTGTGTGCCTAACATCACATTTGCAAAATTGATTATAGAAATTTGGAGCCAGGACTTTCTCCAGGGAGGATTTAGGTTGCTTCTGGCAGTAACTCTAGCGTTCTCAGATCACCTGGTCTAGTTGTAGAGACTGAAATTATTAGAGGCTGAGCCGTCTACTCAGTCTCTCCCTTCCTCTTAAGGTACAGCTTTTCGGGTCCCAGCCTAAGTGAATGGGGGTCATCAGGGCCACCTCACCTGGTAGGCTCTGGATCTAAGCCCTGTCACCTTGGTCTCCTGAAGCTTCCAGAAGTGCTGCTCAGCCTCTCAGCTGCCCTTCTGAAAGTGGCTAATGCTCCAAGGAGAAAAAGGACCTCAGCTGTCAGGCTCATCTCTGGATCTTTGTCCCCAGCCTCACCACCACTCATATCAGCTTCACATTCTTTCCATTGCTCTCTGAAGCTTTCACACTGATTTCTTTTAAATGTATATAATATTATATGTAGATTTTATATATAAATATAATATA
Organism: Homo sapiens; assembly: GCF_000001405.40. Taxonomy (NCBI): domain Eukaryota; kingdom Metazoa; phylum Chordata; class Mammalia; order Primates; family Hominidae; genus Homo; species Homo sapiens. The sequence goes on along the minus strand of NC_000003.12, from coordinate 48,485,642 downwards.
TACTTATATATAATATCTATATATTATATATAAATACATATTCTTATATTATCTTATATTAAATATAGAATATATATTATATATAATATATTATATATATAATATATATATTTAATATATATATAAAAATATATATTTTTTGAGATGGAGTTTTGCTCTTGTTGCCCATGGTGGGCAACAAGTGCAATGGCACGATCTTGGCTCACTGCAACCTCCACCTCCCAGGTTCAAGCGATTCTCCTGCCTCAGCCTCCCTAGTAGCTGGGATTACAGGCATGCACCACCACGCTTGGCTAATTTTGTATTTTTAGTAGAGACGGGGTTTCTCCATGTTGGTCAGGCTGGTCTTGAACTCCTGACCTCAGGTGATCCGCCCGCCTTGGCCTCCCAAAGTGCTGGGATTACAGGCGTGAGCCACCGTGCCCGGTCTCACACTGGTTTCTTTTCTTTATTTCTTTTCGTTTTTTTGAGACTGAGTCTTGCTCTGTCCCCCAGGCTGAAGTGTAGTGGCATGATCACGGCTCACTGCAGCCTCTACCTCCCTCAAGTGATCCTCCTGCCTCAGCCTGTTGAGTAGCTGGGACCACATGCCCAGCCAACTTTTGTATTTTTTGTAGAGAAGGGGTCTCACCATGTTGCTCAGTCTGGTTTTGACTCCTGTGCTCAAGCGATTCTCTAGCCTCGGCCTCCCAAAGTACTACATGCCTGTAGGCACGAGCCATTGCACCTGGCCTCAGATTTCTTTTTTTGAGATGGAGTTTTGCTCTCATTGCCCAGGCTGGAGTGCAGTGGCGCCATCTCGGCTCACTGCAACCTCTGCCTTCTGGGTTCAAGCGATTCTCCTGCCTCAGCCTCCTGAGTAGCTGGGGCTACAGGCACCTGCCACCACGCCTGGCTAATTTTTTGTATTTTTAGTAGGGATGGGGTTTCACCATTTTGGCCAGGCCAGTCTCAAACTCCTGACCTCAGGTGATCTGCCTGCCTTGGCCTCCCAAAGTGCTGGGATTACAGGCATGAGCCACTGTGCCTGGCCTTCTTTATTTTTTGGTTTTGAGACAGTGTCTCGCTCTGTCGCCCAGGCTGGAGTAGCACAATCTCAGCTCACTGCAACCTCCGCCTCCTGGGTTCAAGCAATTCTCCTGTCTCCGCCTCCTGAGTAGCTGGAATTACAGGCAGGTGCCACCACGCCCCGCTAATTTTTGTATTTTTAGTAGAGACAGGGTTTCACCATGTTGGCCAGGCTGGTCTCAAACTCCTGATCTTAGGTGATCCGCCTGCCTCGGCTTCCCAAAGTGTAGGGATTACAGGCATGAGCCACCGCACCCAGCCCACATATTTCTTAAAAAATATTTTCTCCTCAGCTTTACTGGTTTTCCTCCAAGTGTATTAGGGTATAATTGTTTATAACGCTTTTACATTTTATTTTGTTTTACATCTAATTTTGGAAAGTTTCAAATAAGTACAAAAGCAGAGAGAACAATATAACTCAATGCATCCATCACCCACTTCCCGTTACCAATACTCTGACACCATTGTGCTATATATGTCCCACCACTTTTCTTTTTCTGAATTATTTTAAAGCAAATCCCAGACATCATAAAAAGTTCTTCTTAAATATTAGTATTTGGCTGGGTGCAGTGGCTCACACCTGTAATCCCAGCACTTTGGGAGGCTGAGGCAGGAGGATCACTTGAGTCCAGGAGTTTCAGACCAACCTGGGCAATATAGTGAGACCTTATGTCTACAAAAAATTCAAAAAATTAGCTAGGTGGGGTCAGCCCCCCGCCCGGCCAGCCGCCCTGTCCGGGAGGGAGGTGGGGGGGTCAGCCCCCCGCCCGGCCAGCCGCCCCGTCCGGGAGGGAGGTGGTGGGGTCAGCCCCCCGCCCGGCCAGCCGCCCCGTCCGGGAGGGAGGTGGGGGGGTCAGCCCCCCACCCGGCCAGCCGCCCCGTCCGGGAGGTGAGGGGCGCCTCTGCCCGGCCACCCCTACTGGGAAGTGAGGAGCCCCTCTGCCCGGCCACCACCCCGTCTGGGAGGTGTACCGAACAGCTCATTGAGAACGGGCCAAGGTGACAATGGCGGTTTTGTGGGATAGAAAAGGGGGAAAGGTGGGGAAAAGATTGAGAAATCAGATGGTTGCTGTGTCTGTGTAGAAAGAAGTAGACATGGGAGACCTTTCATTTTGTTCTATACTGAGAAAAATTCTTCTGCCTTGGGATCCTGTTGATCTATGACCTTACCCCCAACCCTGTGCTCTCTGAAACATGTGCTGTGTCCACTCAGGGTTAAATGGATTAAGGGCGGTGCAAGATGTGCTTTGTTAAACAGATGCTTGAAGGCAGCATGCTCCTTAAGAGTCATCACCACTCCCTAATCTCAAGTACCCAGGGACACAAACACTGCTGAAGGCCGCAGGGTCCTCTGCCTAGGAAAACTAGAGACCTTTGTTCACTTGTTTATCTGCTGACCTTCCCTCCACTATTGTCCTATGACTCTGCCAAATCCCCCTCTGCGAGAAACACCCAAGAATGATCAATAAAAAAAAAAAAAAAATTAGCTAGGTGGGATGGCATGTGCCTGTAGTCCCAGCTACTTGGGAGGCCGAGGTGGGAGGATCACTTGAGCCCGGGAGGTCATAGCTGCAGTGAGCTGTGATCACACCACTGCATTCCAGCCTGGGTGACAGATGAGACCCTGTGTCAAAGAGAAAAAGGCCGGGCACGGTGGCTCACACCTGTAATCCTAGAATTTTGGGAGGCCAAGATGGGTGGATCACAAGGTCAGGAGTTCGAGTCCAGCCTGACTAACATGGTGAAACCCCATCTCTACTAAAAATACAAAAATTAGCCGGGTGTGTGGCACATGCCTGTAATCCCAGCTACTCAGGAGGCTGAGGCAGGAGAATCGCTTGAACCTGGGAGGCAGAGGTTGCAGTGAGCCGAGATTGCACCACTGCACTCCAGCCTGGGCGACAAGAGACGAGACTCTGTCTCAAAAAAAAAAAAGTGAGTTTTCATTGCTAAAAATGAGGTCCTTGAAGGCAAATATAACTATTTCCCTTCCAATATAAGGGCAATATAACCACTATCATATTTGGCACAATTAACAGTAATTCACTGATAGCTTTAAATACTGTGTTCAGTTGCCTCCACTAGTTTCCAAAATGCCTTTTCACAGATGGTTTGTCCAAATCGGAATCCAAATAATGTTATTATGTTATTTTATTTATTTATTGTTTTCGAGACAGGGTCTCAGTCTGTCGCCCAGGCTGGAGTGCAGTGGCGTGATCACAGCTCACTGCAGCCTGGAACTCCTGGGCTCAAGTGATCCTCCCACCTAAGCCTCCTGAGTAGCTGGGACCACAGGTGTGTGCTATTGCACTTGGCTGCCCTCCTTTTTCGTGGTTAGTCTTGTCAGAAGTCTATTAGCTTTGGTTTGCTAATCTTCTCTATTATTCTCTATGGCTATTCTGGTTTATTTTTGCACTTACCTTTATTAATTTCTTCCTTGTTTTTTGGGTTTTCCATTACTTTTTTTTTTTTTTTTGAGACAGAGTCTTTTTTTTTTCTTTTTTGTGAGACAGAGTCTCACTCTGTCCCCCAGGCTGGAGTGCAGTGGCATGATCTCGGCTCACTGCAACCTCTGCCTCCCGGGTTCACACCATTCTCCTGCCTCAGCCTCCCGAGTAGCTGTGACTACAGGTGCCCGCCACCACGCCTGGCTAATTTTTTTTGTATTTTTAGTAGAGACAGGGTTTCACTGTGTTAGCCAGGATGGTCTCGATCTCCTGACCTTGTGATCCACCCGCCTCGGCCTCCCAAAGTGCTGGGATTATAGGCGTGAGCCACTGCACCCGGCCGAGACAGTCTTGCTCTTTTCACCCAGGCTGGAGTGCAATGGCATGATCTTGGCTCACAGCAACCTCCACCTCCCAGGTTCAAACAATTCTCCTGCCTCAGCCTCCCGAGTAGCGGATTACAGGCGGCCACCACCACACCAGGCTAATTTTTGTAGTTTTAGTAGAGATGGGGTTTCGCCACGTTGGCCAGGCTGGTCTCGAACTCCTGATCTCATGATCCGCCCTCCTCAGCCTCCCAAAGTGCTGTTATTACAGGCGTGAGCCACCAACCTGGCCACATTTTCCATTACTTTTAAAGAAATCATCTTGAGTTTATTTTATTTTATTTTATTTTATTTTATTTTTTTGAGACAGAGTCTCGGTCCATTGCCAAGGCTGGAGTGCAGTGGCACGATCTTGGCTCACTGCAACCTCCACCTCCCGGGTTCAAGCAGTTCTCTGCCTCAGCCTCCCGAGTAGCTGGGATTACAGGCGCCTGCCACCACACCCAGCTAATTTTTTGTATTTTTAGTAGAGACAGGGTTTCACCATCTTGGCCAGGCTGGTCTTGTACTCCTGACCTCATGATCCACCCACCTTGGCCTCCCAAAATGCTGGGATTACAGGCGTGAGCCACCACGCCCAGCTCATCTTGAGTTTAATATCATCTTATTTATTTATTTATTTATTTATTTATTCTTATTATTTTTCAAGATGGAGTCTCGCTCTTGTCGCCCAGGCTGGATTGCAATGGTGTGATCTCGGCTCACTGCCGCCTGCACCACCTGGGTCGAAGCAATTCTCCTCCCTCAGACTCCAGAGTAGCTGGGATTACAGGTGCCCGCCACCACGCCTGGCTAATTTTTGTATTTTTAATAGAGACGGGGTTTTACCATATTGGCCAGGCTGGTCTCGAACTCCTGACCTCAGTTGATCTGCCTGCCTCGATCTCTCAAAGCACTGGGATTACAGGCATGAGTCACTTCCCCTGGCCCATATCATTTATTTTTAACCATTCCTGTTTTCTGATAAATTATTATTATTTTTGACATTTGAGTCTTGCTCTGTCACTTAGGCTTGAGTGCAGTGACGTGATCTGAGCTTACTGCAACCTCCGCCTCCTGGGTTCAAGCGATTCTCCTGCCTCAGCCTCCCGAGTAACTGGGATTACAGGTGCATGCCACTGAGCCCGGCTAATTTTTGTATTTTTAGTAGAGATGGGGTTTCACCATCCTGGACAGGCTAGTCTCAAACTCCTGACCTTGAGATCCACCCTCCTCGGCCCCCCCATTTCTTGATAAATTCTATTAAAGATACAAATCTCCCTCTAAGAACTATTTTATCTGTGTTTCACGAATTTTGATGTATTTTCATCATTTAGTTCTACATACTTGTTAGTTTCCTTTATTACTTCTTCGTGATCATGATATCTTCTCCCCTGCCAGGTAAGTATCCTTTATGAGTTCTTATTTAACACAATACAAATCAAGAGTTTTGGTTTTATTTTGCTTTTTTTTTTTTGTACCTTCTTAGTTTCCCAAGGTAGGAGTTTTTTGTTGTTGTTGTTGTTGTTGTTTTAGTACTTTTTAAAAAAACTCTGTGGAGGCCAGGCGTGGTGGCTCACGCCTGTAATCCCAGCACTTTGGGAGGCCAAGGCAGGTGGATCACGAGGTCAGGAGATCGAGACCATCCTGGCTAACACGGTGAAACCTTGTCTCTACTAAAAATACAAAAAATTAGCCGGGCGTAGTTGTGGGCGCCTGTAGACCCAGCTACTCGGGAGGCTGAGGCAGGAGAACGGTGTGAAGCCGGGAGGCGGAGCTTGCAGTGAGCCGAGATCGCGCCACCGCACTCCAGCCTGGGCGAGAGAGCAAGACTCTGTCTCAAAAAAAAAAAAAAAACTTTGTGGAAATGTAGGCCAGGTGTGGTGGCTAACGCCTGTAATCCCAGCACTTTGGGAGGCCAAGGCGGGCAGATCACGAGGTCAGGAGTTCGAGACCAGCCTGGCCAATATGGTGAAACACTGTCTCTACTAAAAATACAAAAATTAGCTGCGCATGGTGGCGGGTGCCTGTAATCCCAGCTACCCAGGAGGGTGAGGCAGGAGAATCGCTTGAACCTGGGAGGCGGAGGTTGCAGTGAGCCAAGATCGTGCCTCTGCACTCCAGCCTAGGTGACAGAGGAAGACTCCATCTCAAAAACAAAAAAAAATTATAATAAACTTTGTGGCAATGTGGTTACTGATTTGTAACTTCATCCTGTTGTGGTCAGAGAAGATCCTTTGTATGGTATCTGTCTTCTAAAATCTGCTGAGACTTGTTTTGTGGCCTAACATATGTTCTCTCCTGGAGACAGTCTGGTGGACACCTGAGAGGATGTGTGGCTTTGTGCTATGAGATCCCGGTGTGGGCAGAGTCCACCTCTGGAAGGCCATTGAAGCCACCGGTTCATAGTAGCTTCTGTGCACGTTTTGTGGTGCCCTAAGGTAGTGTTTGTGCTGGCGCTCGGTGGGGCTTCATTGTGCTAATCACAAGGTTTCCTGTTTGCAGCGTGCCTGCCAGTGTAGAGCCGGTGGAGCAGCTGGGCTCGGCGCTGAGGTTTCGCCCTGGCTACAACGACCCCATGTCAGGGTAAGTAAAGCCTGCTGGCTGGGTGCATCTTCCTGGCAAAGGTGACAAGAGGGCTCAGGGGGGCCAGTGTGCATCTGGGGGACTGGGATGATTCGGTCATTGGGGTGGAGCCCAAGAAACTGTCACCATATCTGACCACTAGGACACTTGCTCCTTATGCTGTGAAGGTGTCTTCATTAGTGTGCTGGGGTGGTGGGGACGTGGGTGACTGTGGTCGGGGGTTGACAATTGAAGGGCCAGGGGTCCGGGGTACATTGACCTAGATGCTGGGTTGAGTCAGCAGATGACTGATGGGTCCCGATGGGGGCAGGAGTGACAGAGAAGGGGCTGTAGTGGGCATGCGATGATGGTAGATGGGGGCGGGTATATTGTGATTGGGCATTGGTGACAATGGTGATGGTGATGGGGTGATGGTGGTGCTGGCAAGCACATGGTATTGGGGTGATAACGGTGGGGAGAGGTCCTGGGACAACCAATGATGCCACAGTTCCTGTGTGAAGCTTTGTGGGTCATGGTTACTGTGTCAGGACTCTCCTCTCAGGGAACCAAGGAGCAACCCCAGCCCCCAAACCCCAGTCCCCTTGGCTGGGCTCCGGCCTGTGTTATTGCCACCGTAACAGGAGTTGTGACATCTTCCTGGAGGTGGAATGGGTGTGCAGCCACTAGGGCGGGCTTTCCTGCCTGGGTCTGTTCCACTTGCTGTCTCCCCTCTTCCCTGGTGGATCTAGAAGCCGCTTAAAGAAAAGGTCTGCCCAGGAGGGCAGGGTTTCCCCTTTGGAGGAAGAGACCTTGGGCTCTGGGCCTGAGTGGGGGGCTTGGGTTCTTGTTTTGCCCCATCCCATCCTGTAGGCCCAGGCAGGTGTGGGGCCTCACTGGCTACAGCAGAATCAGGGCAGGGCTCCTGTGCGTGGAGGAGGGGAAGAAGTGCAGCTGTGCCCCTCCTCAACACCTCAGGGCTGGTTGGAGCCTGAGATCTCTACAGGCCTTCCCCTCCACGTCCAGGAGCCCAGGAGCGGCTGTCCTGCCCTGAGGCCCAGGATTGTGGGCTTTCAGATGGCCCCGTGGGAGATGCCTATGCCCAGCCTGTGTGGGCCTGGAGGCAGTCAAGGAGTGGGCCTCGTCCTGAGGACAGTGGGCATCACAGAGGGTTCTGGGAGCGCTGGGGACCGAATGGAGTTTTAGGAAGACCACACTGGCTGCTCTGTGGAAGATGGAAAGAGCAGATGGGGTGGGTGTGGGAGGTGGGAAGTCGTTTCTGTAGGAGGTGGCCTCAGGCGGCTTCCTGGCCAGAGGCGCTGGAGGCCAGAGAGAGCCAGAGAGAGCCAGAGCTTGGTGGCAAGAGGTGAGGATGGAGACTTACATTCAGCAGCTCCCACAAGGCAGGGTGTGGAGGGAGTGGGAAGGAGCAGGGGCTGGACACTGGAGGAGGGCAGGCTTGTGGTGAAGTGCGCTGTGGAATGGAGATTTCACACCACGGAGTCCATGGCACCCTGGGCAAGAGCGAGGCAGTGGAGCAGATTGAAGAGCAGTTGGAAATTGTATGCTGGTCGCAGGCAACTCCTTGGAGAGTTTTAGCCGTGAATGGATGAGGAGTAAGACAGGCATTGAAGCTGGGCACAGTGCCACACTTCTGTAGTCCCAGCTACTTGGGAGGCTGAGGCAGGAGGATCGCTGTAGGCCGGGAGTTCAGGGCTACAGTGAGGTATGATCCTGCCTGGGAATAATCCCTGCACTCCAGCCTGGGCGACCCCGTGTTTTTTGTTTTTTGTTTTTAAAAGGGAGGCCGGGCGTGGTGGCTAATGCTTATAATCCCAGCACTTTGGGAGGCTGAGGTGGACAGATCACCTGAGGCCAGGAGTTCAAGACCAGCCTGGCCAACATGGTGAAACCCTGTCTCTACTAAAAATAACAAAAATTAGCTGGGCGTGTTGGCGGGTGCCTGTAATTCCAGCTACTCTGTAGGCTGAGGCAGGAGAATCACTTGAACCCAGGAGGCAGAGGTTGCAACAACAAAAAAAAGGAGTTGGAGAATCCATGTGAAGGGTTGTTCTGTTTCTTTTTTTTTTTTTTTTCTCAATGTTATAGATTTGAGCTGGGACAACAAGGAGGAGACAGTGCGGAACAAGCTCCCAGAGGGGCATAGGAGGAGGAGTGGCTTCCTGGGGTTGTGGCAGCAGGGAGGTGACTGGGGCCAGCTCAGAGGCACCTCTGACTCCCCAAGGTGTGCATGTGGGACCTGTTCTGTTAGCCCAGCTGCCGCCGTGGTGTGCATAGCACTGGGCCTCGTGTGCCGTGTGCTTGGCGTGCCCTGCTGCCTCCTGCCCCAGGCTATTTTGCCCATGCATCGAGAAGAGCAGGTGACTGGAGTGATGCTCCCCCTCCCGCGCCTCATGTCATCTCTTGTCCTCTGCTTTGTTCTGAGCCCCAGCTCATGCCTAGGACCTGCTTTATAAAGGTGCAGGAGCCAAAGAAGTGGGTGCTGGGAGGAGGGGAGGGGGACAGGGTCATCAATGACTCCTCTCTTTTGAACTCTCTCAGGTGGCTGCCTGTCTGGGTCCCAAGGAGACATCCTCTGCTGGGCATCCATGTGCTGCCTACTTGGCCAAGGGCACTGTTTGTCCACTGGAGAGTTGGCTCCATGTTGAGGGCCTGGCCCCTGCTGTCGAGGCCATGGCCAGGAGCTCAGGAGAAGCCAGGCAGGGGAAAGACCCCAGGCCAGGAGCCCCACCCCAGCTCTGCCCCACTCTCTGCCACTGACCCCTCCTCCTCTCCTTATTTTGGGACCCTTGCCTCTGGCTATCTCCCTCTGGGCTACTTTTTTTTTTTTTTTTTTTTGAGATGGAGTTTCTCTCCTGTTGCCCAGGCTGGAGTGCAGTGGCACAATCTCTGCTCACTGCAACCTCCGCCTCCTGGGTTCAAGCAATTCTCCTGCCTCAGCTTCCTGAGTAGCTGGGATTACAGGTGCCGGCCACCATGCCCGGCTAATTTTTGTATTTTTAGTAGAGATGGGGTTTCACCATGTTGGCCAGACTGGTCTCGAGCTCCTGACCTTGTGATCTGCCCGCCTCAGCCTCCCAAAATGCTGGGATTACAGGCTGAGCCACTGTGCCCGACCTGGGCTACTTTTTGAGTTCCCTAGGCATGAGGCAGCAGGCTGGAGCCTGGATCCAGATGGGCCCACATCTGCCTGGCCCAGAACCCCTGCCGCAGGAGGATGCCACCCATGGCAGGGGTTATAGTGTGGCCCTATTTGTGGGCTCAGGGTTGGCCCAGGTCTTCTGCCCCCTAGACTTTGGCAAGTGAATCTCTGTTTAATGGTGAGTGGCTCCAGCCATTCTTGCCTTATTCACTCCCCAGATAGTCTCCTGGTTGTTTTGGATCCTACTGTCATGTCCTCTTCCCAGCTCCTTGCACTCACAGGACTGTCGGGCAAGACTGTTGGGTTTCTAAGTACCGAATGGCAGAAGCTCTGGCTGCAGACCCCAAGGAGGCCACCACTGACCCTCTGCTGTGACTCCACTGCCACAGTGCAGGGGAAAGGGAGAGAGGCCCATTAGGCGAGGTGTGGCCACAGCCCCGGTGCTACCTCCCAGCCCTCAAAGCGTCCTTTCTGTGGTTCTCAGGCCCTCAAGCCTGTCTGGGGCCTTGCTGACACCAGGGTGGGGGTGCGGGTATCCCAGGTCCAGAGCCAGCCTGTTCACTGTCTAAGGTTTGGAGTCTTCCATTTCTTGGAGGCCGCCGAGTTCTCCCCAGACCCTACAATCCTGCCCAAACTCCCTGCCGGGGTGGCTGCCCCTCTGCCTTCTGCTCCCTCCTGCTTGGGCCGACTCTGCCTTTTGAGCTTGGCCCCAGCCTTGGGAGACCCCATTCCTTCCTCTCGGAGGCGTAGTTCCATTGGTACTGTAGCCACGTGTGGCCTTGTACCCTAGCCCCGCTCTGCAACCACCCCTTGAATGTTGCTTGGTTTTCTAAGGTCACCGTGCCTGGGTGGGGTCTCTGAGTGAATTTATTCATTTACCTGTCCAATATTTATTGATTAATTCACAACATTATGCAAAAATTTTTTTTTTATTGAGCACTCACTATATGCTAGGCACTGGAAATATAGTGGTGGCCGAAAGCTGTATTGGATGATAATGGTACAAAGCAGGGGCAAGACGTAGTTGATCAAATGCTCACACACAACAGAGTGTGTGTTTATGAACTGAAGTAGAAAGGAATTTAATTCCGTGCGGGCATGTGCTGAGGGGCCTGGCCTCTTCTGCATGGTGGGGAGGGTGCTCCTGGGGAAGTGACCTGAGGCCTGAGGGGTGAGCAGGAATGAGTTAGGTGTGGCTGAGATGAAAGGAGGAAAGGGCTGAGCTGGCAGGAGTATCTGCATGTGCAAAGGCCTTGAGCAGGACACAGCATGGTGCTTTCAAAGCTGAAAGGAGGGGGATGGGACTCAGCACAGAGGTTGAAGGAGAGGGGGCAGTTCCAGACCACACATGGCTTTGTGGGCCTAATAGGGAGTTTTATTTTATTTAAAATTTTAATTAAAGGCCAGGCACGGTGGCTCAGGCCTGTAATCCCAGCACTTTGGGAGGCCAAGGTGGGCAGATCACCTGAGGTCGGGAGTTCGAGACCAGCCTGGCCAACGTGGTGAAACCCCATCTCTACTAAAAATACACAAATTAGCCAGGTGTGGTGGCACGCACCTGTAGTCCCAGCTTCTCGGGAGGCTGAGGCACGAGAATCACTTGAACCCGGGGAGGCGGAGGCTGCAGTGGGCTGAGATTGCACCATTGCACTCCAGCCTGGGTGACAGAGAAAGACTCTGTCTCAAAAAAAAAAAAATTAAATTAAAAAATAAAATTTTAATTAAAGATTAAAAATTAGCCTGGGCAACACAGTGAGACCCTGTCTCTACAAAAAATAAAAAAATAGCCGAGTGTGGTGGTGCATGCCTGTGGTTCCAGCTACTTGGGGGACTGAGGTGGGAGGATCACTTGAGCCTGGGAGTTTGAGGCTGCAGTGAGCTGTGATCGTGCCACTGCACTCCAGCCTGGGCAACAGAGTGAGACCCTGCCTCAAAAAAATAATAATAATAAAATTTCCTTTATTGTAAATTTCACTGTCTGGTGAGACAAATCCCAGATTTTTCTTTTCTTCCTCTTCTTTTTTTTTTTTTTTTTGAGACAGATTCTCACTCAGTCTCCCAGGCTGGAGAAAGCCTCCTGAGTAGCTGGGATTACAGGTGCGTGCCACCAAGCCTGGCTAATTTTTGTATTTTTTGGTAGGTAAAGAAGGAGTTTTGCCATGTTGCCCAGGCTGGTCTCGAACTCCTGGGCTCAAGCTTCCCAAAAGCCTCGGCCTCCCAAAGTGCTGGGATTGCAGGTGTGAGCCACTGCACATGGCCTCTTTTCTTCTTTTATTGTCAACTATAATACATACACAGGAAAGCACAGACACACTCAGTTTAACATGTAATTATAAAGCAAATTCCTTTGTAATCGCAAGAGCTACAGGAGCCATAGCTGGCGTTTGAGCAGGTGGTGACATGATGGACCTTGCATGGTGGCCCCAGTAGGGTGGCCGGGAGAACATGGGGAGACAGATTGGAGAGAGTGCTGGTGGGAGAGGAGGAGCTAAAGGGACAGGCTGGACTTTGCTCCTTGCATGTGTGTCAGCCAGGGCCCCAGGGTCGCCCTCTGGGCCTAGATGGATGCAGAAGCTCCTCCTGGAGGCTGGTGGAACAGGGCCGGTGGGTTAGGTGGAAGTGGGGGTGGGGGTGCTGCTGAGCTAGAGTGTGGTTGGGGCCCACTGAGGCTGGGGTGGCTCTTAGACCCCCTAGTGGCCAGGCTGCATTCTGAGGTCAGGCCCTGTAGGCTTGGCTCAGGGAGGCAGCTCTGGGAGGCAAATGGGGCACCTCTGCTTCCCCTCCTCCCCGGCCCCCGCCCCTTGGCTCCTTGGCTGCTAGCCGGCTGCTGGGCGGGGCCATCCTGTGTCTTTAAGAGGGTGGAACGGGGCTTCGCGTCTGTGCTTCCTGTGGCTGACGTCATCTGGAGGAGATTTGCTTTCTTTTTCTCCAAAAGGGGAGGAAATTGAAACTGAGTGGCCCACGATGGGAAGAGGGGAAAGCCCAGGGGTACAGGAGGCCTCTGGGTGAAGGCAGAGGCTAACATGGGGTGAGCTTGGGCGCCATGCTGCGTGTGTGTTTGAGAGACAAACACTGAGAGATCTCTGGAGGGATGATAACGGCCTTGCGGTCGCATGTCATTGATGGCGTGTGAATGTGTGTGCGTTTCTCCATTCCTGCCTCTGGTTGGGCCGGAAGACACCTGTAGTCTGCTGGTCCTGTTTTAGGGCCTTGTCCTGGACGGCCTGGGGCTGATGGCTCCTGCTTTGAGAGTCCTGAGGGGTGCTTTTGAGCCTGGAGTCTTTAGCTCTGTCCCTGGGCTGTGCTGTGGGGCCCTGCTGAAGTTGTGCAGTCCCAGGGCGGGGTAGGGTGGGACCCACACCCTCCTTGGGCCTCTGTTGGGCAGAGGCTGCTGGGGGATGCCCTACAGCTAACAAAGCTCCTAGAGTTTTTGGATGTGTTTGATGCAGTTACCAAGCATTTGCCTTTTGTTGGAATAAAGCTTGGGTTGGGCATGGTGGCTGACACCTTTTAAAAAAAACTTATTATTTTTTATTTTTTTGGAGACAGAGTCTCGCTCTGTCACCCAGGCAGGAGTGCAGTGGCGCGATCTCTGCTCACTGCAACCTCCGCCTCATGGGTTCACGTGATTCTTCTGCCTCAGCCTCCCCAGTAGCTGGGACCACAGGCACGTGCCACCACGCCCGGCTAATTCTTTTTTTTTTTGTATTTTAGTAGAGATGGGGTTTCACTATGTTGCCCAGGCTGGTCTCAAATTCCTGACCTCAGGCGATCCGCCTGCCTCGGCCTCCCAAAGTGTTAGGATTACAGGCATGAACCACTGCGCCTGGCCTATTTATTTTATTTTTTAATTTTTTGAGACGGAGTCTCCCACTGTTGCTCAGGCTGGAGTGCAGTGGCACAATCTTAGCTCACTGCAACCTCCCTCCTTGGTTCAAGCGATTCTCCTGCCTCAGCCTCCTGAGTAGCTGGGACTACAGTTTTGCGCCACTACGCCCTGCTAATTTTTGTATTTTTAGTAGAGACAGGGTTTTACCATGTTAGCCAGGGTAGTCTAGAACTCCTGACCTCAAGCGATCCGCCCACTTCGGCCTCTAGAAGTGTTGCCACCGCGCCTGGCCAGTTTTTTATTTTTATTTTTTATTTATTTACTTTTTTGAGATGGAGTTTCGCTTTTGTTGCCTAGGCTGGAGTGCAATGGTGTGATCTTGGCTCACTGCAATCTCTGCCTCCTTGGGTTCAAGAGATTCTCCTGCCTTAGCCTCCCAAGTAGCTGGGATTGCAAGCACCCACCATCATGTCCGGCTAATTTTTTTTATACTTTCTCGAATTCCAGACCTCAGGTGATCCACCTGCCTCGGCCTCCCAAAGTACTGGGATTACAGGTGTGAGCCACCGCACCCAACCGTTTTTTATTTTTTAAAATCTTTTATCATCCAGTACAAAATGTAAGGCTGACTTTTTTTTTTTTTTTTTTTTTTTTGAGACAGAGTCTCACTCTGTCCCCCAGGCTGGAGTGCAGTGGTGCGATCTTGGCTCACTACAACCTCCACCTCCTGGGTTCAAGCGATTCTCCTGCCTCAGCCTCCTGAGTAGTTGGGACTACCGGCTAATTTTTAGTAGAGACGGGGTTTCACCATGTTGACCAAGCTGGTCTCAAACTGCTAACCTTGTGATCCGCCCATCTCGGCCTCCCAAAGTGCTGGGATTACAGGCATGAGCCACCGCACCCTGGCCACGAGACAGTTTTAATCTCAGCACTTTGAGAGGCCGAGGAGGGAAGATTGCTTGAGGCCAGGAGTTGGAAACCAGTTAGGTAACATAGTGAGACCCCTGTCTCTGCAAAAATAAATGTGGTAGTGCATGCCTGTGGTTCCAGCTACTGGGGAGGCTGAGGTGGGAGAATCACTTGAGCCTGGGAGGTGGAGGCTGCAGTGAACTGTGATCATATCACTGCACTCCAGCCTGGGCAACAGAGTGAGACCCTGTCTCAAAAAATAAATTAAAAAAGAAAAAGAATGAAGCTTGGCCTCTGCAAACACGGCAGGGTGGCTAGTAAGGGGCTCTGTCTGCATTTGGAAGTCAGGTTTTTTTTTTTTTCTTTCATTTTTGAGACAGAGTTTTGCTCCTGTCCCCAGGCTGGAGTGCAATGGCGTGATCTTGGCTGAATGCAACCTCTGCCTCTCGGGTTCAAGCGATTCTCCTGCCTCAGCCTCCCAAGTAGCTGGGATTACAGGCACCCGCCACCGTGCCCGACTAATTTTTGTATTTTTAGTAGAGACAGGGTTTCACCATGTTGGCCAGGCTGGTCTCGAACACCTCACCTCAGGTGATCCGCCCTCCTCGGCCTCCCAAAGTGCTGAGATTGCAGGCATGAGCCACTGCCCCCTCCTAGAAGTCAATTTTGGTGAGCTTCCCAGCCCAGGGCCTGCTTTCTCAAAGGGCAGGCCCTCTGGCCTCCTGCCTCCAGGCCTCTGTGTCCTCCCCTTGGCTCTTGGCCCTCTCACCTGTGGAAGTGGCCATGCAGGTCAGAGGTGGGGGACCCAGGGGTGTGTGTGACCCCTGGCACGGTGCTTGGCATACAGCAAGCTTGCAGGCAGAGGCAACTGTCCTTATCACTCAGGGGCCAGCCTCCCTGCCCTGGGGCTGTTGTGGAGTGCAGGGGAACAATGGGGGCCTCCTGTTCTGGCCACACTGGCCTCTGCCCTCCTGGGGCTTCTCTCAGTCTTCACCCTGTGCTTTGTGAGCCATGTTATCTTCACTGTCTGCCTCCTACACTGGACTGTGGGCTCCCAGAGGCCAGGGCTGGCTGTCTTGCCCACTGTTAAGTTTTTTGACTCAAATCACAGTGCCTGGCTTGTGGCATGTGCCCTATACCCATCTGCTGATCAGTTGGTTGTGAGGTGGACAAGATAGATGTATGTGTGTGGCATGGGACTTGAAGAGCTTCCTCCCATGCCTCTGAGGGTGGGACAAGCGGGGGAGACCCAGGGAGAGACAGTTACAGGGACTCACATATACCCCAGTTTACACAAGAGGAAACAGATTGAAACAGGTGCAGGCCACCCGACAAGGAAGTAGCTATAACTGTATTGCCCAGACCCCTTCTGGCAAGAGGGGCATGCCTTGGGAAGGTGTGGATGCTGGTCTGGGGAGGGGCGAGGTGCCCCGGGTCACGTCTAGCTCTTTGGCAGGTTCGGAGCGACCTTGGCCGTTGGCCTGACCATCTTTGTGCTGTCTGTCGTCACTATCATCATCTGCTTCACCTGCTCCTGCTGCTGCCTTTACAAGACGTGCCGCCGACCACGTCGTAAGCGTGCCCACCCTGCCCCACTGTGACCCCCTGGGGTGGTAAGGGAAGCTGACCAGGCCCTGCTTTGGCTAAGCTGGAGGGATGGGTGGCAAGCCTGGCTCTCAAGACCTGGGGAGATGGAGGAGGGTCCTGACTGGAATTCTCTTTGCAGCGGTTGTCACCACCACCACATCCACCACTGTGGTGCATGCCCCTTATCCTCAGCCTCCAAGTGTGCCGCCCAGCTACCCTGGACCAAGCTACCAGGGCTACCACACCATGCCGCCTCAGCCAGGGATGCCAGCAGCACCCTACCCAATGCAGTACCCACCACCTTACCCAGCCCAGCCCATGGGCCCACCGGCCTACCACGAGACCCTGGCTGGTGAGTGCCCCTGCCAACTCTAGCCCTGCCCGACTTCCCGAGTCTCTGCCAGCATCCCTCGGGCACCCATCCCAAACTACATCACTCAACAGGCCTCTGCCCCTTTCTGCTTGCCTGCCACTCACACGGCAGCCCACCATGCTCACAGCCAACCAGGGTCCTCTCTGCTTTCAGGAGGAGCAGCCGCGCCCTACCCCGCCAGCCAGCCTCCTTACAACCCGGCCTACATGGATGCCCCGAAGGCGGCCCTCTGAGCATTCCCTGGCCTCTCTGGCTGCCACTTGGTTATGTTGTGTGTGTGCGTGAGTGGTGTGCAGGCGCGGTTCCTTACGCCCCATGTGTGCTGTGTGTGTCCAGGCACGGTTCCTTACGCCCCATGTGTGCTGTGTGTGTCCTGCCTGTATATGTGGCTTCCTCTGATGCTGACAAGGTGGGGAACAATCCTTGCCAGAGTGGGCTGGGACCAGACTTTGTTCTCTTCCTCACCTGAAATTATGCTTCCTAAAATCTCAAGCCAAACTCAAAGAATGGGGTGGTGGGGGGCACCCTGTGAGGTGGCCCCTGAGAGGTGGGGGCCTCTCCAGGGCACATCTGGAGTTCTTCTCCAGCTTACCCTAGGGTGACCAAGTAGGGCCTGTCACACCAGGGTGGCGCAGCTTTCTGTGTGATGCAGATGTGTCCTGGTTTCGGCAGCGTAGCCAGCTGCTGCTTGAGGCCATGGCTCGTCCCCGGAGTTGGGGGTACCCGTTGCAGAGCCAGGGACATGATGCAGGCGAAGCTTGGGATCTGGCCAAGTTGGACTTTGATCCTTTGGGCAGATGTCCCATTGCTCCCTGGAGCCTGTCATGCCTGTTGGGGATCAGGCAGCCTCCTGATGCCAGAACACCTCAGGCAGAGCCCTACTCAGCTGTACCTGTCTGCCTGGACTGTCCCCTGTCCCCGCATCTCCCCTGGGACCAGCTGGAGGGCCACATGCACACACAGCCTAGCTGCCCCCAGGGAGCTCTGCTGCCCTTGCTGGCCCTGCCCTTCCCACAGGTGAGCAGGGCTCCTGTCCACCAGCACACTCAGTTCTCTTCCCTGCAGTGTTTTCATTTTATTTTAGCCAAACATTTTGCCTGTTTTCTGTTTCAAACATGATAGTTGATATGAGACTGAAACCCCTGGGTTGTGGAGGGAAATTGGCTCAGAGATGGACAACCTGGCAACTGTGAGTCCCTGCTTCCCGACACCAGCCTCATGGAATATGCAACAACTCCTGTACCCCAGTCCACGGTGTTCTGGCAGCAGGGACACCTGGGCCAATGGGCCATCTGGACCAAAGGTGGGGTGTGGGGCCCTGGATGGCAGCTCTGGCCCAGACATGAATACCTCGTGTTCCTCCTCCCTCTATTACTGTTTCACCAGAGCTGTCTTAGCTCAAATCTGTTGTGTTTCTGAGTCTAGGGTCTGTACACTTGTTTATAATAAATGCAATCGTTTGGAGCTGCTGCCCCCTTTCTTCCTGGCCTCGGCTGCTGGAATTGGAATCAGGCTGTACTCTTTCCATCCATTTGGGCTTCTCTGTGTTTTCCCTACTTTTACTGGGCTCAGATAGTTGACCATCCTGCTAGGGAAAGTGAGGGACAAACACTGTGCCCTCCTCCCCAGGTCCCTGGGTGTGGGCAGAGGTCTGTGCTGCCAAGAAGGGTAGGAGCCAATTGACCACTCAGTGCTATGGGGCAGCGGGGGTCTTTATTCGTCAGATTTTCCTTCTTGGCCTACTCCCCAGGTGTGGCCAGGGATAGTCCATACAGTGTGGCTACTGCCAAGGTCAGGATGGCCAGCAGACCCAGTGGGGCCAGCAGCCCCTCCCTGGATAGGGCTCCAGGGTCCTTCACTGGAGGAAGATCCTTGGTACCCCTGCTCTCTCCAAGGCTGGGACTAGTGTTCCTGGTTGTGGCCAGGTGTGCAGTGGTTGTGACAGCAGATGGTCTTGGCTTGGTCCTAGCAGAGGCTGTGACCCCATACATGGGCCTGATGGTGCCGAAAGGCCTGGCGTGAGCATCCACCCACCGCAGCAGGGCCTGTGGTCTCCACTGACAGATGCTGAGCAGGGCCAGGACATCACCCTCAGCCGTGTGCGAGTCTGGAGGGGACTGCCCATACAGGCGAGTGTAGATGCTGCCTAGGCTATAGCTCTTCCTTGGGCCGTGTTCTGAGGGGCTGCTTGCTCGCTCCAGGGCCTTCAGCGCAGTGATGCTATCCACACAGAAGGCACCATCCAGAGCACTGGTGAGGCCCAGCATAGCCAGCTCTGCTTGGAGCAGGGGGAAGTCGTAGCGGTCACCATTGTGTGCCACCAGGCACCAGGGCTGTGGCTGGCGCCGCAGGAAGGCTAGGAGCAGGTTGGCCAGGTTGTCATCAAAACATTGACGCCCATGCGCTGCCAGCACAGCTGTGCTCAGACCTGTGATCTCGCTGGCTGCAGGGCTGCAGGCCTTCCCCGGAGCCACACACAGGGAGAGCTTGTCTACCACACGCGGTGGTGGAGGAACTGTGGGAGGTGGCCCCTGAGAGGTGGGGGGGCTCTCCAGGGCACATCTGTGGACAGCCAGCAGGCACAGCTCCGTGACCTTGGGCTGGGAGAAGGGCAAGCCAGTGGCCTCCATGTCGAAAAAGATGAGGGTCTGCATGGGCCCCGGGGGCAGGGCCTGCGAGCCCATGGTTGGGTACGTACCTGCTGCTGAGCCTGGAGAGGAGCATGGGGTGGGTGTGTGAGTGCCCAGTGTTAAGATCCGAAGGGGAGGGAGTGGGGTAGGGGGTGGGCAGAAGCACATCTCAGGCCTTCCCTGCACAATCCTGCCCTGTCTGCGAGCTCCAGGGCCCATTTTCAGGCAGGAAGTTGGAGAGGGTGAGGTGGTTTCCTTAGTGGGACCAGCACATTCGACTGTCTGAGAGGGTCTCCCTCTTCACATGACTCGGCCCCTCCCCTAGTGCCCCCTTAGTCTGGGGTGGGGGAACCCATGGCCCTCCTGCCCTGCGCCATCCCATTGTGGGGGCCACACTCACCGTAGCAGGCAGGCAGGCAGGCAGTAGTGACTCGGCTGCACACTCTCCCGCGGCTCTCGCTGGCAGCAGTGGCGGGAAGTGAAACTTGGCGTGGGCCCGCCTACAGGCCCACGTGAGCCAGGCCCGCCCTGCTCGTCAGCCTGCCTGGTCTGTCCCTCTCACCACCATCCGTTCCCCCCCACACCCACTCCCCTGCTCCCGGGGGACCCCAGAGGCCTTCCAAGATCCACAGCTGTGGCCTGCTGGTGGCACAATGCACCGGGGCCATCATACCAGTGACAGGCAGCTGGAAGGACCAGGGCAGTGGTGCCAGACCAGCTCCCGGTCTTACACACTGCTGGGAGCCCCTGCTGCGGCCCTTTCATGCCCACCTGTGGGTCCCAGTTTCCCAGGCTTTCCTGGTTTAGGCCTGGGCCAAGAGCCACCTCCTTCCCTGCCACACAATGGTTTCTTCCCATGGCCCCAGCCCAAAGCAATGACTCAGGACAATTCCACAGGCAGGGCAGGGCTCCTTCCTCAAGGCAGATCAGTTACCATGGGGACGGGCTCAGCAACAGCCAGGGACAGGAAGAAGGATCCCAGCCACTCAGGGTCCGGGTCCTGCTCCACCCCTCCCACTCCGCCAAACAGATCAGACTCAGGAAACAAGGCCAGCCAGTTCTCTGGGCAGTTCCTGCTGGTCACTGCTTTAATCAGTTGATGTGGTAAGGAAAGGAGTGGTGCTGGTGCCACCATGTGGCTGGACACTCAGGGCCTCAGCCACACTCCACCTCGGGGTCTTCCACATCGGTTTCCGCGGCACAGAGGTCATCCAGGGCTGCCTCTGAGACAAAAAGGAGAGGTTCCTGGTGAGGGCCCAAAGGTGCCAGGGCCTAGGGCAGGTCCCACCTCTCCTCCCCCAACGTCCGCAGGAACTAACCAGTCCCTTCCACACCCAGGCCCTGCTCCCTCAGCTACTGCAAACAAAGTGATACAAAGGCAATTCAGACACGGCTATTTCTGGAAAAACCGTGGCTCTGCCAGGCACACTCAACAGATAGATGCAAAAGGCATCCCAATATGCTTGGAGAAGAACTGAGGCAGGAAGATAAAAGAAAATGGCCCCAGTGCTGGAACAGGCTGCAGTGGGCGGGGGCCTGCTGAGGGGACACCCAGGAATCTGACTTGTTGGGGAACCTCTGGAAGAAGCCATGGGGGCTGGGCAGGATGGCCTCTGGCAGGCTTACCTTCACAGTCCGTCACATCAGGAAGCCCTCGGATGAGCATGCTGACCCCCGGCATCACCTGGTCAAACTGATGCAGGACCTCCACGCAGTGCATCATGAAGAGCTTGTCCTTCTGCGATAGGCCGTGCAGCAGCAGCACCGTGTCCCGCAGACAGCGCACTGTCCGCCTCTGCTGGTCGGTCCTTGGGGGTCCCCCTGCCCTCCGCACTGTCAGCCACTGTCTGTGCAACATCACCGTGAGCGCTCTGACCACCTGAGAGAGGGGGGGTGCAGACTGAGGCCTGGTGCCACCATGGCCTGCACCCTAACAATCCGCTCAGCCTAGCCACCTCACGTGAGGGGGTTTGCAGTGGGGCCTACAGTCCTTGCACGGGGCCCCCTTACCACCAGAGCTGCCAGCTGTTGGCCCCTACCCACTCACCTCCACATTACACTGGCAGTTGGAGCCAGTGACTGGGGGCAAGGGGCTCTGCACACCAAGCTTAGCCAGGAGCCACACCACCTAGAACAAGAACAGATTGGTTCCATCCTGGGCAGAAGGAGACCAGTCCCTGCGAGGGTTTTCTTAAGCTTCTATAAGAGTTCACTTGCTTCAGCAACTGTTTGTCTGCACAAATGGGGTCCAAGAAGTGGTGTGGGACCTTCCCAGGGAAGACCCAGGACAAGCACTCATGTGTCACCAGCAACCCACCTGCCTCCAGCCCCCTATTCTGCCCCCACGTCCCAAAGCCAAGACAGGATCAGTCATCAGGCAACTCTGCCAAGTCCTGTCTGCATTGCATCTGTGTGGTGCACAGCCCCCAAACTGAGTTTACCTCTTTAGTTGCTTTATCAACTCTTGTTACTAAAATGAATTAAAGCTCCGTTTCTCCTCAGCGGAAAGAAAGGAGATTCTGTTGGTTCTTAGGATGGGGTGGGGACAGTGTCCAGAAGGGGCTCTGGAGTTTTTACCTCTTGTTCCAGCTGGAGCCATTGTGTCTCCAAGGCCACTCTGTCAGGCCGTGATGTGATGTACATGTACAGCAGCAGCAGGAGGCAGCCTTCTGAAAAGGACAGCGCACCTCTCACTCAGGGTGCCCTTTCTCATAAAGAGCGTGGGCTACATACTGCAGAAGCCCTCTGAGGCCCTTGACCCTGTTCCCACCCCAACCCTTCCCTTGATCTGCAGGAGCAGTCTAGACGCCCGCCCCACCCTGCTTTACCTGAGTGGGAACAGAGCTGAGGTGCCAGCTGGTCGTGGTCCGCCAGCAGGGAGAGGAGCTCAACAGCCAGCAGCACGCTAGGCAGGGGTGTCTCTGGGCTGAGGCACTTTGGCAGCACTTGGAACACACACTGGAACCTAAAAGACAGGGACCCAGAGAGACGTGACACTCCCCAACCCCAGCTCCATAACCTACCTTCACACTCCACTAGAGGTAACAGAAAATTGAGCAAGTCAGTATGAACAGGTGAGTTGGTTCAGCCAGACTTGGGTTTCAGTGCTGGCCTGACCCCTACTTACTTGCTATGAAACTTGTTTCATGTGAACAAGTGGGCACTTCCACTGCAAGACTGCTGCAGCTGAGAGGACAGGCCCTTATCTGGTGTAGCATCGCCCAGGAAGTGGGATGACCTCCTGGATCTGGGATGCCTGGCTTCCACATGCTCCCAAACAGGGATGCAGGTCCTAACTTAGGTGGGAGAGAAATGTTCTGTGCCCACAGAAGGACTGACCAGGCCTCCAGAGGTGACAAACATGGCCTTGGCTATGGCTGGATCTTATGAGACCTCTCACAGGGCAAGGAAAGCCATTTTCTCTACTTGCCAGAAAACACATCTGCTGCCAGTGGGAGAATGTGCCTACTGTGGGGTGTGCAGGAGGGAGGGGTTCTGGGCATACTGCCCCAGGTCTCAGGGGCAAAAGGAAAGCTATTACCCCAATAAACCAAGCCCCAAGGCAACTGCTGCTGTTTGCTCAACCCACATAGCCTGGGGGAGCACGATGGACTGGCCTGGTGGGTGGGGAGGAGGGCAATTCTGAAACACTCTATGGGGTCTGGCCAGGTGTGTACCCCTTCAGACATCTGCAGTTTCTAAGCACAGAAGGTCAAGATATCCCTCAGTGTGTCCTTAGGAAGCAAGGTCTCACTATGTGGGGTGAACTCACTTTAGGGCAAATCCTGCACAGCAGACAAAAAGTTCAATGCTTTTTAGTTGCCAGGGTGTGCAGCCCTTTGTGGGAAGCTGGAATTTTAACATGGTTATTACCTGGTTTCATTATTGGGCTGTAAGATGTCCAATATCTGCCACTTGCAGAAGGTACTGCAAGGAAAATCCACTTTTATGTACACCACAGTGGTTTCCAAGTTATTTTTTGATAGCGTTAAGAACTTTTTTTTTTTGAAACTGAGTCTCGCTCTGTCACCCAGGCTGGAGTGCAGTGGCGCAAACTCAGCTCACTGCAACCTCCGCCTCCAGGGTTCAAGCGATTCTCCTGCCTCAGCCTCCCGAGTAGCTGGGACTACAGGTGCCTGCCACCACGCCCAGCTACTTTTTTGTATTTTTAGTAGAGACGGGGTTTCACCATGTTAGCCAGGATGGTCTCGATCTCCTGACCTCGTGATCCACCCACCTCGGCTTCCTAAAGTGCTGGGATTACAGGCGTGAGCCACCATGCCCAGCCCCTAAGAACCTCTTTAAATGAAATTTTATGAAGAGCCCCAGTACATGAAATAGATAAATGCCCAGCTGTGGCTGTGTTTTGAATGTCCCTGTGGACAAGCTCAACAGGAGTGGAATAATGGTGTGTCTACCACCAGTAAAAACATGGTTTCTGGGATTCTTTGAGATAGGGTCTCACTCTGTCACCTAGGCTGGAGTGCAGTGGCATGGTCATAGCTCACTGCCACCATGCCTGGCTAATTAAAAAAAAAAAAATTGTAGAGCTGGGAGTCTTGCTTTGTTGCCCACGCTGGTCTCAAACTCCTGGGCTCAAGTGATCCTCCCACCTTGGCCTCCCAAAGTGCTGAGATTACAGGCAGGAGCCACTGTGCCCAGCCTGGGATTCATTCATTTAACAATTATTAAACAAATAACCAAGGCTGGGCCCGGTGGCTCACGCCTGTAATCCTTGCACTTTGGCAGGCCAAGGCAGGTGGATCACCTGAGGTCCGGCATTTGAGACAAGCCTGGCCAACATGGTGAAACCCTGTCTCTACTAAAAATATAAAAAATTAGCCAGGTGTGGTGGCAGGTGCCTGTAATCTCAGCGTCTCAGGAGGCTGAGGCAGGAGAACTGCTTGAACCTGGGAAGTGGAGGTTGCAGTGAGCCGAGATCGCACCACTGCACTCCAGCTTGGACAACAAGAGCAAAACTTCGTCTCAAAACAAAAACAAAAACAAACAAATAAACAACAACAAAAAAAAACAGCCACTATGAGCTGGGCCCCTGCTGGGCACTTGAGTCCTGAGTCTGCCTGATCCCACTGCCCACACTACACTGCAGTGCTGTGTCCAGCTGAGTACCACCTTTAGCATGGGCCAGACCAACCAAAAATATTCAGATGGAAACAGATCTAGGAAACAGCAGTGCTGAGCTCAGAGATGAGATGATTTAAGATATATTCAGCCAGTGGAATCATTCCAACATAGAAACTGACCCTTTGGTAGAGTGCTGAGGGAGACTGGATTACTGGATGAGGGGGTGGGCTGGTTGTGTTCACAGTTCTCCCCAATCTTGCGGCTCTGGAATCCCAAGGGAGGAATTTATGATCACAGTGTTCATTCGCTAGGTTCACTATAATATACTACCCACAAACCTTAAGAAGAACAGGCCACCCCAGATGCATGCTAAAGATGGGCACAATGACAGGCAGAGACTCCCAGCAAGGTCAGCCCGTGGGCTGCAGACCCTCTCCACATCCTCTGCTTCCTTAGGGAAACCACTAAACTTCAACGTGCTTGTGATGTGTGGTCTTCACCTTACCCACATCTCAGGTTCAGAGGCCCCTTGTCTTAACCCTTGTCCTGGGGCAGGGCCCTCCTCCACAGAGGTTAGCAGCCTCCTTTAATCATGTGTGCCTTTTGCTTACCTGTTGTTCAGAGGCAGAATTAAATCAAATAAACCACTTCCTTGGTTCTCCCATTTGGCCCCACTTCCCATCACTTCAGAACTCCCTGAACCAAGCCTTAGAACTAACTAGTGTAGATAAGTCAAGATGTGAGCAAAGTACAAGTGCCATGGGTTAGACCTTAAGAGGTCAGGTGAGACCCACAAAGAATCATGACTCCTATGCAGCTTAATACCTGGGCAAGAAATCACAGGAAGTGTTTTCGGCTAATTTCACCAAAACCTTAAGGCACTGGGTCAGGACACTGGCTTGAAGGTGACCTGTTGCTGCAGAAGAGAAAGCCAACAGGTGAAGAAGCATCTTCAACAGTGGGTGCTGTCCTTGGTCATCAGCAACCCCCCTTAGGGCTGAGGTCATATCTCCATCACTAAGCCTGTGAACCAGGCTCCTGTTTCCTTCCCCAGCAGCAGAATCTGCCCCCACTCCTGACAGTAATAGGGAGACGACTGCTCCGCTGTGGCACACCAGGTGCTGAAGAATGCTAAGTGCAGTCACAGAGAAGCCTTCCAGGATGCACACTGAGTCCTCAGGGTTGGTCTCTACCCCAGAGCTCACGCAGGAGGAATGTGTCGGTGAGTCCCCAGGTGCTCCGCTTCTCTTAGCAGCTGCCAAGTCCTGCAGGGCCTGGCAGTGTAAGCCGATGAAGAACTGTACAAGGGGGAGGAAATGCACGGCTCCAGGAAGCTGGCAGAGTGGGAAGGCCCTTCTGCCTCCCTCTGCTGGGTCTCCATCACGTGAGCACTCATTCCGGGCAACCAGATTCAGTCCAGTGAATGCCAGGTTCTGTGCTTCTCTCAGGGCTGAGAGGGAAAATGACCCATCATAAGAACCTGTGGTCCTGAGGCCTGACATTCCAGCCAAGGTACTGGCAACAAACACAAAGAAAAATAGATTAAGTGTGGGATGGAGATAAGGTCAAGAGCCCCAAACAGCCTGCCTGCCAAATTCTCCAGGCTGCCTGCCCTTCCCACAGACTTCTCAGGCTGGCCAGGGCCAGAAAGGAATTTGCTTCCAGGAAGCTCCTTCCCAAACAAGCTTTCCAGGAGTCTTATGCTTACCTGCCAAACCCTGGTGGCTGCAGGGGGGTGCCAGCAGGAGACTCAGAACTACTACTCAGGAGGTGGCAAAGGCTTAGGGATGACCCTGGGATCAAAGGCTGCTTCAGGAGCAGGTTTATCAAAATGGAACCTGCAGAAGACAAGATGACTCTAGAAGGTTCTGACATGGGAGATCTTTTCGGTGGCTTTCAGAAGGAAACAGTAAGGATTCTTTGGATGCCAACTGTCCTCTAGGCTGCCACTAAGCCCCAGGAAGATGCCTGTGGGTGCGGAAGGCTCTGGGACATACCTGCCCTTGGCCCTTTCCACTTTATAAAGTCTTCTGCTTAAGCCACATACTTTGACTTCCCTGGACTCTCTGAAGGACTGCCCGGGGCACCGGTTCTCAGAGGCCTGGGCAATTCTTCTGCATATTACTCAGAGCCATGCAGGCCCCTGCAGGAGAAGCAGGGATTCTGGTACCTTGAGTGTTTGATCTCTGTCTCCAGCTGTCAACAAAGCTTTTCTGGGCCTCTTCTTGTTTTATGGAGTCACCTCTCAGACTGTGGGGCTTACTATCTGAAATGTGATAAAATGTAAATCAAAACTTGAGCCCAGAAGCATGGGCATATTAGAAACTTTTACATGCAATGAGTTTAAAACACACGCTGTTCTACTTCTTCGAACTTGGAACAAACAAGAGCCAAAGCGGCTCAAGAGCCCTGCATCTTTTACCTTCCTTATGTAAAACAGGAACTCATACAAGGAAAGGAAAAGAAAATCAAGCTGTTTGCCTCACTCAAAATGAGGCAATTAGATAAAACAGTGACCACTAACATTGACATGGTGCTTGTTACGTGCTAGACAGTGTTTTAAGAGCTCTATACGCATCAGCCCATTTGTTCCTCAGTGACCCTACAAGGATTTATCATTAGGTCTGTTTTACATATAGGGAAACTGAGGCACAGAGACTAAAGGACTTGCCCAAATCATATAAGCCAGTTAACAGCATTACTGGGACTCACATCCAGGCTACTGGGCTCTACTGCCTGCTTGTAACACTACTGTACACTGCCCCTTTAGCTGCTAGATGCCAAAAATGTAAGTGGGCTACAGTTTCTCAGAAGTGTTATGATGGCCAAGGATTTGAAAGGTTGATGGTAAGAAGAGGGTCAATGTATCCGATTTATAAGATACACTGACATAGCAGTCTGAAAACCTACTGATGTTAGATTGTCTCTCTCTAAAAAACAGCAGATCCCCTCAATCTGGACTGAGTTATAAAAACTCAAAAGCTGGACTACAAAAGGAAAACAGAGGCTGGGCACGGTGGCTCATGCCTGTAATCCCAGCATTTTGGGAGGCTGAAGTGGGTGGATCACGAGGTCATGAGATTGAGACCATCCAGGCCAACATGGTGAAACCTGTCTCTACTAAAAATACAAAAATTAGCTGGGTGTGGTGGCGCATGCCTGTAGTCCCAGCTACTCGGGAGGCTGAGGCAGGAGAATCGCTTGAACATGGGAGGCAGAGGTTACAGTGAGCCGAGATCACGCCACTGCACTCCAGCCTGGTGACAGAGTGAGACTCCGCCTCAAAGAAAAAAAAAAAAAACAAGAAAAGAAAAACAGATTCCTGCATACTAGCTAGGTTTTTGGCATGGTCAATTGATGCTGTGATGGTTTAAAAATATGCCCACAAGCATGATGGCAGGTGCCTGTAATCCCAGCTATTCGGGAGTCTGAGGCAGGAGAATCACTTGAACCCGGGAGGCGGAAGTTGCAGTGAGCTGAGATCGTGCCATTGCACTCCAGCCTGGGTGACAGGGTGAGACTCCGCCTCAAAAAAAAAAAAAAAAAGGCCCACAAATGCTTTGACACAACTCCCCTTCAAAAGGTATAAGCTTGGGAGGAGGGGGGAGGGATAGCATTAGGAGATATACCTAATGCTAAATGACGAGTTAATGGGTGCAACACACCAACATGGCACATGTATACATACGTAACACACCTGCACGTTGTGCACATGTACCCTAAAATTTAAAGTATAATAATAAAATAAAAATAAAAAATAAAAATTAAAAAAAAGGTATAAGCTTGGTTTCTCCCCTTGAATGACGCCCAGACTCAGTGATTTGCTTCTAACAAATACAATGTGGCAGAGGGGATGCTGTGTGACTTCTGAGGCTAGGCCATAAATGGATAGCTTCTGCCTGGCTCGCTCTCTCTGGATTTGCTAGCTTTAGAGGAAGCCACCCACCAGGTTAAGAGGATACCCCATATCCATGTGCAGAGGCCCATGTGGCAAGAAATTACACTGCCAGCCATGTGAGTGAGCCACCTTGAAATAGATCCTCCAGCTTAAGACAAGCTTTCAGTGATTCCAGTCCCTGCAGAGATTGTCCCCTCTGTGCCTTGTCAGAATTGCTGATCACAGAAATTGGGAGAAAATAAATAATAATTGTTTTAAGCCACATATTTGGGTAGCTTGTTATACATCAATAGATGACTAATGGACTTACCCTCTCTGCCCACCAGAGGCTTGTATCCTGACTCCGTCTGGCAGGGGTGGGGAAGGGACATGTTAGCACTAAAAGACTCCTTTGTAGGAAAAGATGTTTTTCCAAATTGTGGAGAACATGCTTCTGGCTTTATAACCACAGAAGGGTTTTTCCTAGGACTGGAAAAAGTTAACTATGAAAGCAAAGTAATGATTCTACTAAAACCATTCAAAATATCTGGTTACAAAATTTCTAACAAACTTTAAACTTTTCATGTCTAGGTGTTTTAACCAAAGGTTTTATCTATTATATGTCTACCATTCTTTGTCAGAGGAGCAGTGCAAAATTCCAGGCATTTGTTTTTCTTTTTAAAAATATTTTAAAATTTTAATTTCTCTATAGAGATGGGGATTCACTAAGTTACCCAGGCTGGTCTGGAACTGCTGAGCTCAAGTGATCCACCCACTCTGGCCTCCCAAAATGCTGGGATTACAGGCATGATCCACTGTTACTGGCTAATTCCAGGGATTTTGATCCAAATTATTGAAAATTCTTTTACTCATTTTTATATTTTTCTAATCATCCAAAAATATAATATTAGCCATAATTCCTTTACTATTCTTTATTATCACTATTTACAATTCCACCAAAACATTTTTTTTTGAGACAGAGTCTTGTTCCATTGCCCAGGCTGGAGTACAGTAGCATGATCATAGCTCACTGCAGCCTTGACCTCCTGGGCTCAAGCAATCCACCCATCTGTAATCCCAGCCTCCTGAGTAGCTGGGATTACAGGCACACATCAACATGGCCAGCTAATTTTTTTTTTTTTTTTTTGGTGAGACAGGGTCTCACTCTGTTGCCCATGCTGGAGCCCAGTGGCACAATTACGGCTCACTGCAGCCTCCACCTCTTGGGCTTAGTGATCTTCCCACCTCATCCTTCTGAGTAGCACAGGGACTACAGATGTGCAACCACCACATCTGGCTAACTTTTTATTCTTTCTAGAGATAGAGTTATTTCTAGAGATAGAGTTTCACCATGTTGCCTAGGCTAGTCCTGAACTCGTGGGCTCAAATGATCTGCCCACCTCAGCTTCCCAAAATGCTGGGATTACAGGCGTGAGCCACTGGGGCCAGTAATTTTATTTTTTTTTTAAGTAGCAATGGGGTTTTGCTATGTTGCCCAGGCTGGTCTCGAACTGCTAGCCTTAAGCAATCTTCCTGCCTTAGCCTCCTGTGTAGCTGGGATTGCCTCTGTAGCTACCATGCCTGGTGCAAAACATCTTTTCAATGTGGAACAAACTATTTTTTTTTCTGGAATGGAGTCTTGTTCTGTTGCCCAGGCTGGAGTGCAGTGGTGTGATCCTGGCTCACTGCAACCTCTGCCTCCAGGTTTGAGTGATTCTCCTGCCTCAGCCTCCCAAATAGCTGGGATTACAGGCGCATGCCACCATGCCCAGCTAATTTTTATATTTTCAGTAGAGACAGGGTTTCATCATGTTGGCCAGGTTGGTCTTGAACTACTGACCTCAAGTGATCTGCCCGCCTCATCCTCCCAAAGTGTTGGGATTACAGGTGTGAGCCACTGCACCCAGCCAATGTGGAACAAACGATTTTTTAATAGTCACAAGACTTCCAGGCTGGGCACAGTGGCTCACCCTTGTAATCCCAACAATTTGGGAGGCTGAGGTGGGTGGATCACCTGAAGTCAGGAGTTCGAGAGCAGCTTGGCCAACATGGTGAAATCCCATCTCTACTTAAAAAAAAAATACAAAAAAACTAGCCTGGTGTGGTGGTATGTGCCTGTAATCCCAGCTACTTGGGAGGCTGAGACAGGAGAATCACTTGAACCCGGGAGGTGGAGGTTGCAGTGAGCTGAGATCATGTGACTACACTCCAGCCTGGACAACAGAGTGAGACTCTGTCTCAAAAAAAAAAGACTTCCAATAGAATGCAAAGACTTTAAATAGAAAAAGGGCTATCAAAATAAATATCATAATTTTGATAAACCTACTAGGTATGTTGAAAACTGAGCAACTTAGTGCCAATGTCTTTATGGTAGAGAAGCAGTATTAACTCTCTGATCTGATCATATAATGCTGAGGTCTTTCTGTTACTGATGTGTGAAGAGGATCCCCTCAGTTCTCTTGTCTTATGTGGACAATGCAAGGCATGGAGAGTTCAGTTTCACACACTGCCCATTATGAACAAAGGCGGTAGAAAGTTCAAAACCAGAAGATGCCCTGACTGACACTGTTCAAATTTCCAGGCTGCGCCAGGCACAGTGGCTCATGCTTGTAATCCCAGTAGTTTGGGAGGCCCAGGCTGGCAAATCATTTGAGTCCAGGAGTTTGAGACGAGCCTGGCCAACATGGTGAAACTCCGTCTCTACTAAAAATACAAAAATTAGCTGGGCGTGGTGGTGTGTGCCTGTAGTCCCAGCTACTCAGGAGGCTGAAGGAGGAGAATTGCTTGAACCCAGGAGGCGGAGGTTGCAGTGAGCCGAGATTGTACCACTGTACTCCAGCCTGGGTGACAGAGCGAGACTCTGTCTCAAAAAAAAAAGAAAAAAAAAACAAGTTGAGCACATCTGACCACAAAGGATGGGGCTGTTGGACAAGGGTCCCCAGAAAGCAAATGAGAAAAAAATATTCCAAGTAGCTGGAACTAAAATACACCCATGCTTGCAACAAAATCAGTTAAACAAATTACATAAAAGTAGAGACTAGCCCACCCCCAAAATTTGGAGATCATTTTTCCAGGTCTTTCTAGTCCTGAAGAATTATGTTTATAAAGTGCCATACAGAGGCAGCATTTCTAGAGTATAGGCCTTTATGCTGTGATGTCTCAAACCATGCAAGCTTCATCTAAACCACCTCTGAATCCTTCAGGAAAAGAGGATCTCTGCCCAGGTGGAGGGGTCTAAATGGCCTTCATTTAGGACCAGCCTGACACTGTTATGCAGATTTTTTACTAAATAATGCAAAACTGAACTATCCCTCCAGCACCATCATTACCTGACATGGGAAACAGAGGGAGCAGCCAGTTTATTTGCTCGTTCACTGGTCTGGAGCTTTGTCCTTAATTCATTCATCTCTGCATCTTTAAACTGGAGTTCAGACTGCAATGATTGGAGCTGGAAGGCAAAAGAAACATGCTTGTAGTGGTCCCATCATATACACAAAAATATCTCTGGGCTTCAAAATCACAAGCCAGTAAAAGACAAACAATGAAAAATACATATGAAAGTCTGCTGTGACATAAATGTCCTAAAATATTAAACATTAGCTTTCTTTCTGAAAGACAATATGGTACTCTAAAAAGATACTGGACTCTATTGTAAGGGTAGTTTGTGAGGGTTTAAATACCAGCCCTGGCCGGGTGTGGTGGTTCAGGCCTGTAATCCTAAGCACTTTGGGAGGTTGAGGCGGGAGGATCATTTGAGCCCAGGAGTTCGAGACCAGCCTGGGCAAAATAGCAAGATCTTGCCTCTACAAAAAATTTAAAAAATAAAAAAAAGAATTAAATACCAGCCCACCATTTATTTAATGTCTTTGAATCCTAACTTATTTGTAACATAAAACACCTGTCTTCATGATAGTTGGGAGGATTAAGTAGAATGATGAGTGTAAAATACCCAGCATAGAGCTTGGTAAGGTGCCCTATGTCAGCAGTAACATATTGACCTTTATTAACGAACGCACTGGTGCACAATTCCAGGTCTTCCTCAAAGTTTGGGCAGAGTAGTTGGAATAGTTTACCAAGACACTGTGCAGTATAGAGAGACCTGCTGCTCTGGCCTGCAGTTGCTACAGCCAACAGTAACTGCCATCATTCCCCAAGCACACTCTGCGCCAGGCCCAGCACCAGACACAGTAAGTGCAAGAATGTGTGAGTCTCCCAACAACCTTTCTGGTTATGTCTTGGAACAGATAAGGGAAATGAGCCAGGGAGCTTAAGTTATTACCTTGAGGTCACTGCTTATGTGTGATGAAGCCTGGATTCAAATTCAGGTTTGTCTGACCGCAAATTCCTTGCTCTTCATCACTTATACAGAAAGTTAACTATTGCGGTTAATGATGGGCACAGGTAAGTGCTTAAAGTTTGCTAAGTTTGCTGAATGAAACAATGAGAATAAGATCCCATGTCCTTGAGATTGAAGCATGAGGAGGTGCTGAGGGAAAGTTGTAGTAGGTACTGGATACCTACTGTTTTTCCTTCCAGAATAGCATTTTCCTTTCCCTGAGAAACAGGCTGGGCATTGTGGCTCACGCCTGTAATCTCAGCACTTTGGAAGGCCAAGGTGGGAGGACTGCATGAGCCCAGGAGCTTGAGAACGGCTTGGAGAATACAGCAAAACCCTGTCTGTACCAAAATTTAAAAATTAGCTTTGCCTGGTGGTGTGTGCCTATAGTTCCAGCTACCTGGGAGGCTGAGATGGGAGGATTGCTTGAGCCTGGGAGGTCAAGGCTGCAGTGAGCTGTGATTGCACCACTGCACTCCAGCCTGGGCAAGAGAGTGAAACCCTGGACCCTGTCTCAAAAAAAAAAAAAAAAAAAAAAAAATTCAATAATTTCCCTACCTCTGACTATTTTATTAGAATGGGAGCTGTCATTTTTTTGCTTTTGGTTGCTTTTGGTTATAGCAATTGGCCAGGGACAGACAACTGACTCAAGTTAAACCAATCAGAGCCTTTCTCAGAATTTTAAAACTTGAGATGAGGGAGCCTAAGTCTTTTTTTGAAACAGGGTCTCGCTCTATTGCCCAGGCTGGAGTACAATGGCATGATCATGGCTTACTGCAGCCTCAACCTCCTGGGCTCAAGCAATTCTCCCACCTCAGCCTCCTGAGTAGCTGGGACTACAGGTGCACACCACCATGCCTGGATAATTTTGTTCATTTTTTCTTTTTCTTTTTTGTGGAGATGAGGTCTCACTAGTTGCCCAGGCTGGTCTCGAACTCCTGGCTCAAGTAATCCTCTCACCTCAGCCTCCCAAAGTGCTGGATTATAGGTGTGAGCCACTGCATGTGGCCCTAAGTCTTAATTCTGCTCTGTATTTATAAAATATGAGCCCAGGAGCTTCTGGAGAACACACCCTCTACCATAAGTATAGAGCCTGTTTATAGCATAGAGAATAAAAATGTCCTGGCAAGATTTAAGTCATTTAAGGTCCCAGCATACCCCGGTTCTTCCCAGACTTGGATATGGAAGCCAATACGTTTCCTTTTAGCCTAAGCCAGGTCAGTTGAGTTTCTGATCTAGCAAAAGAGCCTTAATGTAAACCTGTTTCTAGAAATGCTAAGCTAGTTATTTACTCCTGCCAAGACCAACTACCACAGCAAAATAGAGTTTCATCTAAATCCCTTTCCAAAATATATCCAGACCCTGGAAGAAGAGTGGATGGCAATGAGATGATAGCAGAAAGTATTTAAGACAAACAAGTGTTGAAATCTCCCTGGAAGATTTACAGGCAACCCTGGTCAAAGGAACTCAGTGGGCAGGCAAAGCTGGTGCAAAACAAATGCTCTGGGTCACCTTTTTGGAGAATTCCTTTTCCTTGTCACTGAGTGCTTGGGTTTTCTCTTGCTCAAGAAGAAAATGTGATCTTCTCTGTTCCTCTAGAACGGATTCCGTCTGATGTAGTGAGTCTCGCAAAATTTTAATTTCTCCATTCTTAATGAGAACTTCTTCTTCCATTACTTTCATCTGTAAATCCCAAATTAATCTCGTGAAAACTTTGTAAGAGAAAACTACTTAGGTACTTTGTTTTAACATGTAGTTGGGGAGATGGAGAAAGCACAGGAAAAACAGACAAATGAGTACTCAAAATATATCCACAGCAACCAGATGTCACCATGGTCTGCTAGGCCTGTTCATGGGACAGCTGATATTCATCAAGATAGCTTAAGCATACACTTGCCACTCATGCATGCAGATTCTTTTTGCCAGGGAGGGGGATGGGGTTGCTTAGGCTGGAATGCTGTGGCACAATCATAGCTCAATGTAACCTTGAACTCCTGGGCTCAAGTGATCCTCTCGCCTCAACCTCTTGAGTAGCTAGGACTACAAAGCATGTGCCACTAGCCTGGCCAATTTTCACTTTTATCTGTAGAGACAGGGTCTCATTGTATTGCCCAGGCTGGTCTTGAACTCTTGGGTTCAAGCGATTCTCTCACCTTGGCCTCCCAAAGTGCTGGGATTACAGGCATGAGCCACCTTGCCTGACCAGATTCCTTTTTTTTTTTGAGACGGAGTCTTGCTATTGTCGCCTAGGCTGGAGTGCAATGGCACGATCTCGGCTCACTGCAACCTTCACCTCCCAGGTTCCAGCAATTCTCCTGCCTCAGCCTCCCGAGTAGCTGAGATTACAGGTGCCCGCCACCATGCCTAGCTAATTTTTGTATTTTTAGTAGAGACGGGTTTTCACCATGTTGGCCAGGCTGGTCTTGAACTCCTGACCTCAGGTGATCCACTGGCCTCGGCCTACCAAAGTGCTGGGATTACAGGTGTGAGCCACCGCGCCTGGCCGGATTCTTTAGGCTCTAAGAGGCATTAACGATCTGGGTCGCTGGGTGTGGTAGCTCATGCCTGTAATCCCAACACTTTGGGAGGCTGAGGCCAGGAGTTTGAGACCAGCCTGGCCAACATGGTGAAACTCCGTCTCTACTAAAAATACAAGAATTAGCTGGGCGTCGTGGTGCACACCTGTAGTCCCAGCTACTCTGGAAGCTAAGGCATGTGAATCGCTTAAAACCAGGAGGCAGAGGTTGAAGTGAGCCAAGATTGTGTCACTGTACTCCAGCCTGGATGACAGACTCCATCTCCAAAAAAAAAAAAAAAAAAAATCTGGGTCACATACCTTGCACAACTAAAATTCCACATATTCCTGGTTTTCTTAGGGACCTACAGATGGTGATATGAAGTGTCTGCTTTCTTGCAAAGCTGCTAATGAAAATAGCAACCATTATGAAGTTGTATTATTCACATGAAGATACATGCTATAAATTCATCTTAGTACCCTAACAGTTTGTATCTCTTTTTGGATCTGGTATACAGTGTTTTTCTTCTTGCCTTTGGCATTAGGAATCTCACAATTTAGTTTCTTTCAGCCTAAACTTTCTGGTTTTCTTTCCCTAGTCTTTTCCCATGTCATAGGGATGAATCTAGACACTTGTTTTACAACTTTTGTATATTTTACTGTACAATGCTTTTAAACACGTAAGTGAATGAATTAGCTACAAAAACCACAAGTTAAGTCACTTACCTTTTCTTTAAGTTCTTTGTATTGTGCCTGAAGTACCTCTAATTCGAAATTATCTTTAATTGGAACAGTTTCTCTGTTTTTCCCTGAAGGATTTTTTGACATGCCATCTAATAATCTGTGGACCTTATGATCACCTGTAAAAAATAGTTCCATATACATTTCAGGACCCAATATTTTCCCACTTTTGCCAGAAAATGCTGAAAATACCCACTTTTTTTTTTTTTTTCTTTTTTGAGATAGGGTCTTGCTCTGTTACCCAGGTTGGAGTGCAGTGGTGTGATCACTGCTTACTGCCACCTTGACCTCCTGGGTTCAAGTGATCCTCCTGCCTTAGCCTCCTGTGTAGCTGGGACTACAGGTGTGTGCCACCATGCCTGGCTTTTTTTTTTTTTTTTTTTTTGGATTTTAGTAGAGATGGCGTTTCACCATGTTAGCCAGGCTGGTCTTGATTTCCTGTCCTCGCGATCCACCCGCCTCAGCCTCCCAAAGTGTTGGGATTACAGGCGTCAGCCACTGTGCCTGGATGCCTGGCTAATTTTAAAATTCTTTGTAGAGATTGGGTCTCCTTATGTTGCCCAGGTTGGTCTTGAACTCCTGGGCTTAAGCAATCCTCCTGCCTTTGCCTCCCAAAGTGCTGGGAAGAATTACTCTTGAGAGCAAAGCAGGGAAAGATCTAGTAAGCAATATAGATGTTTTTCAACCTAAGAACATGGTTCAAACTCATAAATGATCCTTCTTTTTTTTTTTTTTTTTTTTTGAGACAGAGTCTCGCTCTGTTGCCCAGGCTGGAGAGCAGTGGCGTGATCTCGGCTCACTGCAACCTCCACCTCCCAGGTTCAAGCGATTCTTGTGCCTCACCCTCCTAGGTAGCTGGAATTACAGGCGTGTGCTACCACGCCCGGCTAATTTTTATATTTTTAGTAGAGACGGGGTTTCACCATATTGGCCAGCCTGGTCTCAAACTCCTCGCCTCAAGTGATCAGCCCACCTTGGCCTCCCAAAGTGCTGGGATTACAGGCGTGAGCCACCACACCCGGCTGAAACTCATAAATGATCCTTCTAAAACAACAGATCCTATTATTCTTTCCCTATCCTTCATCCAATTCCAAGAGTCTCATCTAAAGCCTGAGGAGATCTCATTGGCCAGAACTCAATGATCTACTTATTATTCAGTAATAGTTACTGACCACATGCAATATGCCAGGCATGTTAGGCTCTACAGGTACAATAGTGAGCAAAATTGATACTTCCTTACACTCACAGAGCTTAAAAGACATTCAACAAATAATCACACAGATAAATGTAAAATTACAACTGTGATTAAGAACTGCAGAAGAGAACAAATATAGGAAAGCCTATAATATGACAGCAATCTGACTTAAGTGGGATGATTGGAACATTTCCCTAGGGAAGACTTGAAGGAGCTGAGAGCTGAAGGACAAGTAGGAATTAACCAGATGAGTGGAAATGAATGAATGAAAAGTATACTCAATGTACAAAGAAAGAACAATGTATAAAGTTCCTGTATTGTAAAGAAGCAGAGAGAATTCAAAGAATGTTAGTGCAGCCAGGACCCAGAGAGTGAGAAAGGGCCAAACCAGGCTGGGCCTTTCAGGCCATGTTAAGGATTCTGGTCTTCACACTAGAAGAAATAAGAAATTATTAAAGGGCTTTCATTAGGGGTGTTCATGGCTGGGTGCGGATGGCTCATACCTGTAATCTCAGCACTTTGGGAGACCAAGGCGGGTGGATCACCTGAGGTCAGCAGTTTGAGACCAGCCTGGCCAACATGGCGAAACCCCGTCTCTACTAAAAATACAAAAATTAGCCAGGCATGGTGGCGGGCACAAGTAATCCCAGCTACTTGGGAGGCTGAGGCTACTCGGGAGGTTGAGGCAAGAGAATCTCTTGAACCTGGGAGGTAGAGGCTGTGGTGAGCCAAGATGGCATCACTGCACTTCAGCCTGGGTGACAGAGTGAGACTCCGTCAAAAAAAAAAAAAAAAAAAAGGGTGTTCACGTATATCTGTGTAAGACACAGCCAGATTTGAGTTTTGAAAAGATCACTCAGAATGTGATGTGAAGCCTCACTTGTAGGGAGTCAAGACTGGAAATGGGAAACCAATTTAGCAGACCATTGTTCAAGAGAGGACTCATGGTAACACAGATCAGGCAGCTGGTAGAAGCAATGTGAATAGGATAGACTCCAGAGAAGGATTAAGAAGGTAAGCTTGACATGCTTTCCAAATAAATTAGATGTAGAGTCAAGGAAAGGGGAAGAGTCGCTTTGTGCCACTGGATGGAGAGTCGTGCTAGTTACTTCCTTGTGGAACATCTGGTCATCATTCTCTGAATGTCTGCTTTGCCGGCACCATGCTAGAAGTGCTGGAGGAGGACTGGGTTTCCAGGAAATGATCGTGTTGAGTTTAAGGTGCCTTGAGACACCCAAGTACAGATGCAAGGTGCACTCAAAACATTTCTCTTTCTGGGAGTCCTCAAGACTTCACTCACTCCTCAACTAGAATGTAAGCTCCATGAAGGACAGTTTTTGTATTTTGTTCATTGTAAGGTCAGCTGCAGTTCCTCACGTTTGGGCACCTAGCACAGTTTACTGGTTGTATAAAAGAATAAATTTATTTCATCTCTTGCCTGTGTCTGGCTCCTCCCATGCTCACACTGCCCAAGGGAGACAGTGGGCTTCATAAGATCTAAAGCCGCTCAAACTTGTCACAAGAATGGGTCCCCATGCATGGGTAGTGATGGTTCTGATGGTGGTGGTAGGTGTGTTCCAAGGATCTCTGCTTAGAACCAAGAACCAAGTGGCCTAAACTTTAGAAAATAACGTAAAATGTCAACTTAGCCTTCTGTGTTTCAAATCGGCTGTTTGACCTGGCTAATGCATTTCCCCCTAAAATCAAAGGACCTTCTGGAAGACAACCGCTGCTTAAATCAGGGTGTTCCCATATTTTAAAAAGGCGAAAAGGCAGTGCTGGCCGCGAGGTTCCGAAGCCACAGCCATCAAGGGGATCTGGCGCGGTTGACAACTCCCTCCGAGCAAAAGGCCGCGAGGAGCACTCACTGGACACGTCCCGAGCCGCGGCCGGACATTGGCTCAGGGCCTGTGACGCGAGGGTGTCAAGCTCCTCCAGGTCGTCGGCAGTGAAGTCCCCATGCGCGCCGAACGGGTCGTCAGGGTCCGGGGCAGCGGCTGCGGAGAAGCCCCGGGCCCGCTTGCTCGGGGGGTGCCCGGTGCCCGGCGGCGGGCCGGGGCGAGGCGCCGGGGGCTCGCTCCGCCTCTTGCTGCCTGGCGCGGAGGTCCCCGCCATGCTTTCCGCTCACCCCAAGTATCCGACAGCGCCGAGCTAGACTTGCCTGCCGCCAGGCCGGAGAACTGGACCAACCGTCCGCGCGCCGCCGCTTGCCTCCGCCGCGAGTGCCCCGCCCCTGGCCCAGGGGCCAATCAGCTGGCAGGCGGAGGGCGCGGAGGAATGACGAACGTCCGAGCGCGCCGCCACACCCGGCCCCGCCCGGTGTTTAGAGGTCCACGGGCGGGATTCGGCAGGTTTGCTGCAAGGACTCAGTGCGGCGCGACCCGTTACCGGAGAGGCGGGCCGGAGGCGCACCAGCTCCGCCGCGCTGGTGGCTTTGCGCTCCCTCCCTGGCATTCCGTGGAGGAGGGCCGCGCAGGAGCAGCCTGCCCTAGCATTCACGCGTGTTGCGTTTGAGTCGAGCCAGGCATCATTCAGGGATGTGGTCTCCGTGACCTCGCTTTCCTTCTGCCGCCAGACCCACCTCCCACAAACCCCTAGGCTTTCTTGAGGAGAGTGGAATTTGTTGGGTGAGGAGTATGAATAGAGCTGTCGTGTGCAGACATCTTCGGGTTTAGTGAATGTTTCACATGTGTACATTTGAGGTAGGCCCAGGGAGGAGGAAAGTCCAAGGAGGAATGATGTTTGGAGCTGTTCTTGTGTGGGAGGGGGTGGGAGCTGCTCAGGCTGTTAACATCCATTCCTCTGAGTGCTGGACTGTTTTTTTTTCCTAAGCTCTGGTTGTATAGAATAGGGCTCAGGAGGTCAAGGAAGTCCCCCTGTAAATGGCACCTGCGCTGTCCTACAAGTTGAGTCAAGTTAGCAGGATAGAGGGGTAGGAGGCTGGCACATAAGACTAACACGAGAATTCTACATTGAAAGGGAGGCCACACAAAGGCCAGGTAAGAGTTACCGGTGGCGAACAGAGGTAAAGCTTCACAAAGGAGCAGCAATTTGAGGTGGGCTTGCGTGCCTGACAGATTTTATTGGGCAGCTGTGGTGTGCAGAAGTTAGCCGCAATAGAGAATTTGGCAATGGAGAGTAACAGGAGCAAGACTCTTTCAGCCTTACCTGCTCAGTGCCAAACTTCACCTGTGAGTGTCCTAGGAATATTTGTGAAAGCATTAAATGAAAAGAGTAAATGAAAAAGAGAGTGCTATCAGGGCCTATAATGTCTAAGGAGTTTAAAATTTTTTGGAGCAACTGGTAGTCTCCGTCAGATAGCTTCCCAAGTGTTGCATGCTTAATTGCTGCAGGACTCTGGTCCTGGAAAGAGACAGGACTGTTCATTTGTTAAAGAGGGATAGGTTCCACCAAGTAACTTGCTTTCAGGAACAGTGTGAATCACTGGTGCTCAGGTTTGTTTTAGCAGCATACGGCTGGGTGCCAGCTAGCAAGGCCCCACAGGGAATGCCTGAAGCCTACTGAAGGGTGCTACTGGCTGTGCAACTTTCTGGAGAGGACCAACACAGGCTTCCCCCTGCCCCCTCTCCCGCGTTAATATCTAGTACATTAATCATGAAAGTTTTCAATATTCTAAAACCTAGTTTTGATTTAGCAGTCTCATAATGGTTCCAGAGCGCTCTTCGACAATATTCTCAGAGAAAGCTGAGCATTATTAACATAATTGTATTAAGGGCCTGGGAGGGAAATCCAAATACTTGTGCTTCTGAATTAATTTTTTTTTTTTAAATACAGGGTCTTGTTCTGTCTCCCAGGCTGGAGTGCAGTGGTGTGATCTTGGCTCACTGCAGCCTCGAACTCCTGGGCTCAAGTGATCCTCCCACCTCAGCCTCCCAAATGGCTGGGACTACAGAAGTGCACCACCACACCCAGCTAAGCATTTTAAAACATATTCAGCACACATTATGGATGGTCTCTGTCTTTGCATTTATTGAGGGGCAAGCGGTAGGTATGCCTGGGACTCCAGTCCTGGGCAGCAGGAGGTAGAGTGAGCCCCCATTTTGCCTCACCCCCAACCCCTTGCCTGGCACTGGCACCCCCTCCATCCACCAGCAAGTGGGCTGGGGCTTCCCGCAGCTGCTGCCCTGGACCTGTTTGGTGCGCATGGGGACTTCACTGCTAGCAACTTGAAGGATCATGTAATTTGCCCTGCCCTGCCTCTTCCACAGTAGAGAAGTTCCTTGACAACAGGAACTGTTCCGTTACATACCCCAGTGCCTGCATATAGCAGACGCCTTACATGAACAGATGAACAAGTCTCATCAAAATATACGGCAATTTGGATGTGACAACATAAAGATGGGTTTTCTTTTAAAAGCACAAATTCTGGTCAGGCACAGTGGCTCATGCCTGTAATCCCAGCACTTTGGGAGGCTGAAGCAGGCAGATCACTTGAGGTCAGGAGTTTGAGACCAGCCTGGCCAACATGGTGAAACCCCTCTCTACTAAAAATACAAAAAATTAGCTAGGCATGGTGGCGGGTGCCTGTAACCACAGCTACTTGGGAGGCCAAAGCAGGAGAATAGTTTGAACCCGGGAGGTGGAGGTTGCATTGAGCAGAGATCATGCCACTGCACTCCAGCCTGGGTGAGAGTGAGACTCCACCCCCTCCCCCACCAAAAAAAAGTGCAAATTCTTCCACTAAACTCATGTAAGGTATTCTGTCAGGTATACAACCACACAAGAACGCCATCCTTTCAAATGAGTTGGTTTAATTTCAGGTGATACAAAGTTTAGGGTAGAACAAGGACCAAAGAACAGACTCTGGCAAGATTCTGAGCTGGTTTTACTTTAAATTCACAGTTATGGTAGGAACGACTTAGTGAAAACAACTAAAGAGATGATGAGCCACTGTAAGATTTTTCTTTTTTTACAAAAGTTTATTCTTAAATGTACAACAGCTCCAAGACAACACTTAATTCCAGCTATACGTGGCAAAAGATGTTATGGCAGGGAATAGAGAGGTTTAAATACAGATGAAATAAAGGGTCACCATCTCCTCAGGCACAAGGAACAGCTTACTTTTTGCCAGATTTCTTAATTCCACCTGTGGCTGCAAAAGAAAAATAGTCACAATTAGGGAAAAATATAGTTCTTACGGTAGAAGCCCCACGGGCCTGCTGTGGACCTTAGTAAAGCCTGGCTTTTGTATTGGGCATTCACTTTAACACAAGCATGGATAGCAGCTTCACTGATACTGTCTGTTCTAGGTAAAGGTAAAATGAGGATGAGATGGAGTACAAGCAGTGGCTGGCTGTGCACTGGTCTAGATCTACACTTCTGTATACTTCACAGATTGGCTTATTTAATCCTCATGCCATATCAACCCATTTTACAGAAAAAGAAGTCCTTTTTTTTTTTTTTTCTGAGATGGAATCTTGCTCTGTCGCCCAGGCTGCAGTGCAGTGGCACGATCTCAGCTCACTGCAACCTCTGCCTCCCAGGTTGAAGCAATTCTCCTGTCTCAGCCTTCCGAGCAGCTGGGACCACAAGCCCTGGCTAATTTTTGTATTTTTAGTGGAGACGGGGCTCACCATATTGGTCAGGCTGGTCTCGAACTCCTGACCTCAGGTGATCTGCCTGCCTCAGATTCCCAAAATGATGGGATTACAGGTGTGAGCCACCGACCCCAGCATTTTTTTTTTTTTTTTTTTTTTTTGGAGATGGAGTCTTGCTTTGTCACCTAGGCTGGACTGCGGTGGTGCAATTTTGGCTCACTGCAGCCTCCGCCTCCCAGGTTCAAGTGATTCTTCATGCATGAGCCTTCCGAGTAGCTGGGACTAAAGGCGCATGCCACCATACCCGGCTAATTTTTGTATTTTTAGTAGAGATGGGGTTTGACCATGTTGGCCAGGCAGGTCTCGAACTCCAGACCTCAAGTGGTCCACCCACCTCAGCCTCCCAAAGTGCTGGGATTACAGTCTTGAGCCACCATGCCCAGCCAAAAAAGAAGTCTTATTGTTAGGTGTTGTTCAAGTATGTGACAAGCCAGGATCCCAACCTGAGTCATCTGACTTCAAAGTCCACATTCTTAACTGCCATGTTACACTACCTTCCATATTATGATCCTGGCACCTGGTATACTCTGTCAATTTACAAATGACCATATATGTGGAACGCAGTAGGCGATTTAAGAAACAGCATAGGATTGGGCCAGGCGCGGTGGCTCACGCCTGTAATCCCAGCACTTTGGGAGGTGGAGGCGGGTGGATCACGAGGTCAGGAGATCGAGACCATCCTGGCCAACATGGTGAAACCCCGTCTCTACTAAAAATACAAAAATTAGCCGGGCATGGTGGTGTGCGCCTGTAATCCCAGCTACTCAGGAGGCTGAGGCAGGAGAATCACTTGAACCTGGGAGGCGGAGGCTGCAGTGAGCTGAGATCATGCCACTGCACTCCAGCCTGGGCGACAGAGTGAGACTATTTAAAAAAAAAAAAAAAAAAAAGTGTAGGGTTACATATGCCTAATACAGGAAAGAAGATCCAAAGGGGCCTGACAAAATAAACCTTAAAATAAAAATCAGATGATGCTCAATGAGAAACAACTAGCATAGAGTTACACTAAAGACTGTTCTTTCCCCTATACACAATCACAGATTAAAAGAGGGTGCAAGATACCTTTTTTTTTTTTTTTTTTTGAGATAGGGTCTCATTCTATCTCCCAGGCTGGAATACAGTGGCGCAATCCCAGCTCACTACAGCCTGAACTCCCGTGCTCAAATAATCCTCTTACCTTGAACTCCTGGGCTTAAGCGAGGCTGCCTCAGCCTTTTAAATAGCTGGGATTACAGGAAACGGGCCGCCACCACCACCACGCCCAGCTAATTTTAAATTTTTTCTGTAGACAGGGTCTCCCTTTGATGCTGTGAACTCCTAGCCTTAAATAATCCTCCTGCTTAGGCCTCCCAAAGCACTTGGATTATGGTCAGCCCATTCTGTGCCTGGCCCCTTACACCATTCTGAAAAGGAATCTCAAGAGCTAGAAATCTCAGTGCTGGGTAGGTAAACAATAATGGATCAAACCCACTGGGAGAGAGGTCTTGGGAAGCCCTAGATGACACTCCCACCATCCTTGTCTCCATCATGCCTAGCATGGCTCACAGTGCTCAAATGGGGGCATAAACAACTGTGGAGGAAATAATCACTAGTTGGATCAATGTAAAATAATGCTTATGATGCACATAAAGTACTAGAACTGCTGGGCCTGAAAAATATTTTGAAATGTAATGAATTTCTCCTACATAAAAGATGTAAAAAAGGTGGAGGATTCAGTTAGAAAAGCATATGGAGCAACAGCACACTGAAGAGCCTGGACTTTATCTTTTAGTCTAGGCATACCCAGAAGTAAAAAGACTCAGAAAGCAAAAAAGCATATATTAGAGATAATATAAGCAGTACGAAAAAAAAAAAAAAGTTGGCCAGGTGCTGTGGCTCACGCTTGTAATCCGAGCACTCTGGGAGGCAGAGGCGGGTGAATCACTTGAAGTCAGGAGTTCGAGAC
Organism: Homo sapiens; assembly: GCF_000001405.40. Lineage (NCBI taxonomy): Eukaryota > Metazoa > Chordata > Mammalia > Primates > Hominidae > Homo > Homo sapiens. The sequence continues at coordinate 48,441,397 of NC_000003.12, read as the reverse complement.
CAGCTTGGCCAACATGGTGAAACTCCGTCTCTACTATAAATACAAAAAAAAACTGGCCAGGTGCGGTGGCTCACGCCTGCAATCCCAGCACTTTGGGAGGCTGAGGCGGGTGGATCACGAGGTCAGGAGTTCAAGACCAGCCTGGCTAAGATGGTGAAACCCCATCTCTACTAAAAATACAAAAATTAGCCGCACTCCGTCTCAAAAAAAAAAAATTAGCCAGGCGTGGTGCCAGGCGCCTGTAATCCCAGCTACTTGGGAGGCTGAGGCAGGAGAATTGCTTGAACCCGGAAGGTGGAGGTTGCAGTGAGCCGGGATCACGCCACTGCACTCCAGCCTGGGAGACAGAGTGAGACTCTGTCTCAAACAAAACAAAACAAAACAAAAAAACTTCTAAGTCAAGTAAGGTTCAAACACTAGAAGGCAGTGAAATACGAATTTGGGGCAAAAGATTGCGGACGACGTCAGACTTTGAGAAACTTAACTGTGAATCTGCGTCTGAGGTAAATACATTTCACTGTTTCCGTTTCTGCAGCTCTTCCTAAGGAATGGAAGCCCAGACTGCCTGGGAGGCAGGAGACCTCGTTTCCAGCTCCCGGCCCTTACTGCCGCTGCAAATCCTAGACTGGCTAGAGACCATTCGCTGCAGCGGACGTCGGAAAACGAGACCTCGCAGTTCAGGAGGCAGGAAAAAGACATGCCCGCGCCCTCATCCCAATAGGTGCTCATAGCGTTTGGCCAGCTTGAGCTCCATTCGGCCCCCACTTACCCAAGGGCCCCTTCCCCGCGGCCTTCGCTTTTAGCTCCTCGAGTTTCTTCTGCTCCTCTTTTTGTTTCTGCTTGAAAGCCTTATCTTCCTGGGGAGAGGCAGAGCGTGTTCAACTCAGGCCTGTCTCCCAGCGCCCCCGCACCCGCCAGTGCCTCCGCGCCCGCCCTCACCTCGTCCATCTCCTTGGCCTGCTTCTTGGGCTGTTTCAGTGGCTTCTTCTTGCCACCTGTGGGCGACACGAGCACGTTCGGCCTGCCCCTGCCGCCCGGTCCCCACCCCGCCGTCCCCGCAGTCCTCACGGTTCCGGAACACTTACCTTCGCGGCCGGACATGGCGCCTGCCGCCGCTTCCCCAGACCCTGCCACCGGAAACGGAGCGTCTGCCCCACCCTTTGTCGTAGACAGCGAGGCGGCCCCGCTGATTGGCTCCTAGTCAGGAAGTTGAACTCTCGCTACCGGATGCGGCGCTCCAGGGGCGGGTACTAACAGGTCAGAGGTCAACTGAGTGGCAGACGATTGGTCGGGCCACGCCAGGTACGAGGAGCTAGGGTTGTCCTGCCAGGGTAGAATCGGAACCGTAGGAGGGGTACTTAACCGGACGGCCTACCAGGCCTGTGGCCGTGCGCGGGAAGAGCACTGCAGGTAGACAGCAGGGCATGTGCATGTGCAAAGAGCTTCAAGCTCGTCGCTTTCCTGGAACCAAGGAAAGCACAGCTTGGGTGGAGGGAGATTAGGCGGGGAGATGGCAGAAGTGGACGGGAGTTATATCACGTGGTCCTATAGCTTTGGAAAACCCTGTAAGGAGTTTTATAATATAGTCAGGGGTGCAGCAGTTTGCGAATTCTGTTTGTTCATCTATGAAAATGGTCAAAAAAATTTATTTTGGTGATGGCCATACAACTCTGTTAATATAGTAAAACTACTGAATTGTACACATTGGGTGAATTATATGGTATGCAAGTTATATATCAATAAAGCTTTTTTTTCTTTTCCCCCCGAGATGGAGTCTTGCTCTTGTCTCTCAGGCTGGAGTGCAATGGCACGATCTTGGCTCACTGCAACCTCTGCTTCCTGGGTTCAAGCGATTCTCATGCCTCAGCCTCCCCAGTAGCTGGGATTACAAGTGCCCGCCACCATGTCCGGAAAATTTTTGTATTTTTAGTAGAGACGGGGTTTCGCCATGTTGGCCAGGCTGGTCTCGAACTCCTGACCTCGTGATCCCCCCGCCTCAGCCTCCCAAAGTGTTGGGATTACAGGCGTGAGCCACCGCACCCAGCCAAAGTTGTTATTTTTTTAAATAACAGTGCTGAGCGCTGGGATGCTACAGTGTCCAGAGATTAGGCAGATGAGTACATTTTTTGCTGGGTACGTACTATATGTAGGTACCAAGCTGAAATTCTAGTGAGTGAGACAGACTATAACCAAAGCAAATAAATGGGATACATGTTGCAGGTCATGTGATATATGCATGGAAAAAATAAAGCAGAGAAAGTGGGTCAGGAGTGCTAGGGTGGGAGTGGGATGGCCATATCTGATAGGGTGCATGGGGAAGACCTCCCAAGGGGCTACTATTTGAGCAGGACTTGAAGAAGGTGAGGGAGCGAGCAGCACAGATAGCAGCTGTCGTGAAGGCCCTGAGCTGGGGACAACTTGGTGCGTTCCAGCAACTTCAAGAAGGTCCATGTGCTTGGAGTGGAGTGAGGAAAGGGAGACTAGTGGGAGATGAGGTCAGAGAGGAATGAGAGCCAGTGGGTAGGTTCCCTGTAGGCCATGGAAAAGACAGGCTTTTACCTTGAGAGAAGTGGGGAACCATTGTAGAGGTTGAGCAGAGAGACAATGGTTCCACCTGTGTTTGGAAAGGAACACTGACTGCTCGACTGACAATAAATTGTAGGGGCTGGAATAGAAGCAGGGTGACATCTGTCAGGAGGCTCTTGGGATAATCCAGGCTAGAGATGTGATGTGGGTCACTGGGACCATTTGGTAGCAGTGGCAGAGGTGAGAGGAGGAGGGATCCTGGATTTGGAAAGCCAGGGGCATTTGCTGATAGATGGATGTGAGGTGGGAGAGAAATGAGGAATCAGGGGTGATGCGAGGTTGTTGATCTGAATATTTGAACTTGGTATTGCTGTCATCCATGATGGAGAAGGCTATGGGAAAAAAAGGTTTGGGAGGGGAAGATGAGATCCCCATTAGATTTTCAGGCAGAGATATAGGTTGGGAAGTTTGATAAATGAGCCTAGAACCCTGGGGAGAGAGGTCTGCGCTGGAGGAGTCAAGAGTATAGTTCTGTTTTTTTTTTAAAAAAACAACTTTATTGATATATAACTTGCATACCATGTAATTCATGCAATGTGTACAATTCAGTGGTTTTATTATATTCACAAAGTTGTATGGCCATCACCAAAATAAATTTTTTTGACCATTTTCATAGATGATTTTTAAAACCACAGGACTGGATAAGAGAGGAGTCTGAGTGCCGAGTGCCGGGGTGCTACAGTTTCCAGAGGTTAGGCAGATGAGTGGGGACTGGAAACCGAGTGAAAAATGGCATGTGAAGGAGGAGCAGGTGAAGGCCAGATCAGAGGGAGCTGGACGGAATCAGAGAAGAGGAACAGAAACAGTGAATTCAGGCAGTCTGTCAAGGAGTTTGGTTATAAAGGAAACCAAAGAAATGGGGCAGTTGCTGGTGGGGGGGTGTCAGATCAATTACTGAGTAATGTCTCAGGAGGAGAGAGGATTTGGGACCTGGGGCACAGGTTGGTTTTCCCTAGAAGCATGGGTTTTTTATCCTGAGGATCAAGAGAGGAGGTGGAAATGGGGCAGTTACTGATGGTTGGGAAGGTATGGTGGGAGTTTGTGGAAGTTCTCTTCCAACTTTTTATTATTTTCTTGATGGAAAATGAAGCAAGCAGACCATCAGCTGGAAGTGAAGATGAGGAACAGATGATAGAGGCTTGAGGAAGGGGCAGTTGGTAGGAGACAGCCATCTACATAGAGCGGGAGAATGGATCTGAAGGGGCAGGATTCCGAACTTGACCCTCAGGGCCCTGCTTCACCTATCCAGCCTCTCCATCCACTCTTCTCTGCTTTTGCTTTCCAGTTGCACTGACTGCCTTTCAGGTTTTGGGCGACCTCAAGCACTTTCCACCTTTTCTCTTTGCCAGGAACATTCTTCTCCTTGCTGGTTGGGGGGCCTGTGAAACATCTAAGTGGTGACATCCTGGGGGCTGAGAAACAGGGCCCAGGGTTGGGGGCTGGTGGGATGGTGGAGAGGCTGAGGGGAGGGACTGGAGTGGAGAAACAACTCCAGTTGCCACATGGGAATTATTGCCACATTCCCTTATGAAGTCTGTTGTCACCCAGCTTATGTTCTAGTGAGAGAATAGGCAACACATAAGGAAATATATCCATCAGGAGAAAAATAAAGCAGAGAAGGTAGCTGGGGAGGGAGTGGTCAAGGAAGCCTTACTGAGAGGTGATATTTGGGCAAAGATGAAGATGTCGGGGTGAGCCGAGTAGACTCGTGGAGGAAGAGTCATCCAGCTGGACAAGGTGGCAGGGCACAGACCAGCACGGTGGCTGGAGCAGAGTATGGCAGTAGAAGGAAGAGGATGAGGGCTGAGAGGTCTCAGGATTTCTTGGCCACCGCCAGGTGAAATGGGAGCTGTTGGGGGATTTTGATCAGAGGGATGTAATCTGATTTTTGTGTTACAGGGCCTTGGGCTGCCATGTGCAGAACATGGGGGTGGGGGACGGCAGGGGAGAAAGCCGAGATTGCATAGGAGACAGTAGCTGTCATCTCTGCCAGGAATGGGTGACTTTGCTGGGGTCTAAAAATGGGCAGCTAGTAGAGGAGGTGCTGGGAAAGGAGGCTGAGAAGGTTGGAGGAAGCCAAGAGGGGCAGTGATGTTGGGAAGAGAGGGTGTTGAAAGTGGTGCCAGCCATGGCGGACACTGCATGCTTTGTCTGATGAAGGATACACCTGCAGGGGTGTTATAGGATCTCAGCCTGTGTGTCATGGGTGCTGGCCTTGAGGCCTGGGAGTCTGACTGGGCTGCTGGGGCCTGGATGGTATGCACCCTCATGGGCATGGAACCCAGCCTTATGAAGGGGGCCCAGGGGTTTGGGTGTGGCACCAGCTTGGGATCACTGTCACAGTGAAGTTCCCTTCTGCGGCTCTCAGCTCAGGCCCACTTTGCCCAGAAGACATGTTTCTACCCAACCAGCTGTGTTTTCAAAGCCGCTGAGCTTCTCCAAAGACAGTTCTTAGCACAGCATGATGGAGAGGAGGCTAGGGTGCTGTGGGGAGCCTCTGTCTCATATCACCTTCCATCAGGAAGCCCCTTTCTATTCTGTATCTGGAGCTCCTTCAGTTCCTTCCTGTCTGCAGCTCCCTCTGCTTTTCTCTCTGTGGCGTGGTCTGTTGGCCACCAGGTGTCGCTCTCACAGCCAGGATCAGTGCTTAGGGACTTTGAGGTGTGGTTTGGCCAGAGGAGGGTGCTGTTGGCTCAGCTTTTTCTGGGAAAATGGGTCACCTGGCCACCTCTTTGGGGTCCTCAGAGTCACTGGCACTCTTGGGCTCAGGTGAGGCCTGATTCTGGATAACAGGAGACTCCCTGCTGTCCAGGTAATGAGAAGCAGGCCCAAACATCAAAGCAAGATGGAAAAGGGAAAGATGAGAGAAACCTAACCTGTTGAGCAATGGCAGGTTGGAGAGGAAAGAGAAAGCTTATGGAAGTCGTGAAGTGTGAGACTGAGAGTTGGTAGCCTGGAAAGTCTGGGGGCGGAGTTGTATGGCGTGAACCTAAGAAAAGTCCTCTGTGGCAAAAACAGTTTTGTTTTGTTTTTTTTTGCCCCTGGAATTATCTTAGAGGAGAGCTGAGAGTTTTCTGTCTTGGGTCACAAATGGCCTGTGTCCTTAGGTCCTTGCACAGAATTGAAACTCTGCTTCCCTTGTGCTGAGGCAGTCCTTGGAGAGTCTGGGGAGTTGGTTTTGAGGCTGTTTTACAGAAATGATCCTGGATCTTAGTCTTCCTGAATTCCCCTGAGTTCCACAACATTGCAGGGAGTATTTATGCGTCTTTGTGGGGCTTTGTCAGCATGTGTACAAGTCTGGTTTAAAAACTGTCTTTGACATCAGAAACCTGGGCACCAGGATTCTCATTCAAGTCACAGCAGAGAGACCTGGAGGATGTAGGGAAGTGGGTAGCAGGGAAGGGTCCGCTTTGTGTGGCATGGTGGCGGGCACTGGAAGGTATGGCATCCTAGAGGCTCGTCCCCAACTGTGTTCCATTGTCCAAGAGCACCCAGAGGAGAGCCTGACCATCCTCTTGCCACAGGGGCCACAGTCTCTGGGCCCAACAGGGTGGTGCTCAGTTTAGATGATTTGAGTGGGGATTAGTCTGTTCAGAACTGTCCCTAGGCCTCAAAACTGACTTATGTCCAGCCTTTCTCAGCTGTGAGCTGACCTGTCTGGCGTCCCCCTCACAGATCTCAGGATGATGGGGCGCAGCCCTGGGTTTGCCATGCAGCACATCGTGGGTGTGCCCCACGTACTGGTTCGGAGGGGCCTCCTTGGAAGGGACCTCTTCATGACCAGGACTCTCTGCAGCCCAGGCCCAAGCCAGCCCGGAGAGAAAAGACCTGAGGAGGTGGCCCTGGGGCTGCACCACCGCCTCCCAGCACTGGGAAGAGCCCTGGGGCACAGCATTCAGCAACGAGCGACCTCCACAGCCAAGACTTGGTGGGACAGATATGAAGAGTTTGTTGGACTCAACGAGGTTCGAGAGGCCCAGGGAAAGGTGACAGAGGTGAGGAGGGGAGCTGGGGTGGCTGGCCCCGCCCTCTGACTTGGGAAATGTGCCAAACCAGTCACGTGGTGCTGGGTAGCCACATCCAGACTTGTGTTTAGCCTCATTTCTCACGTGGAAACCTGGGCTTGATGCTTCTGGGGTGAAGGTCTCCATGTAACTGTGCCACCTACTTTCCCCGAAAACAGTTACTGTGTACCAGTAAGTCCCTGGCCACTAACATCCACTCTGTGAGGCCAGCAAATACTTCCTTTGTGGACCATTTGGGGATTGATGGTGAGAGTTACGTGGGGCTTGCTGCGGTACTGTTACTGTGTGTAATTACAACATCTTTTGTGAAGATAGAGGGCACTAGGAAATGTCACAGTGTGAGGTGGAAAGAGCTGGTGGTGGTTGTCAAGTCCTTTGTGGTGGCAGAAATGCATTCTGTCATCTCTGTTCCCACTCCTGCTTAGGCATGTAGTAGTGTAGCGTGGTGGGAAGAACCTGGGGTTCAGCTGGGACTTTGAGACAAACAGTGCCATCTCTTTCCTTGGAGATTGTGAGCTTGGCTGAGCTGGTGTTTCTGGGTTTATAAACTGGAGGCCACAGCAGTGCCTTTCATGGCATTGTTATAAGGCATAAATAAGGCAACACACGGGAAACAGCCTACCAACACAGGTTTGATGGACACAAATTGTGTGCATTGTTAGCTGTTTTCAAGTTTTTTCAGGGGCATGTTATTTCTGCTTGAATGGCTAAATCTCGTGATTCTGATGGGTGTGGCCCAAGGCTGCACTTTGAGCACCACTGGGTGAGCCAGGATTAGTGTCTAAGGAATTCCGTTTCCACCCTTTGCAGCTCACACCCCAGTGACCTCTTCTGGGAATGCCTTGCTGGGAATGCAGCTGAGCCTGTGTGGGTGTGGAGAGAAGGTGCAGATGGCCTCCGGTTTTCTCTTTGCAGGCTGAGAAAGTGTTCATGGTGGCTCGAGGGCTTGTCCGAGAGGCTCGGGAGGACTTGGAAGTTCACCAGGCCAAGCTGAAGGAGGTGAGGGACCGCTTGGACCGTGTCTCCAGGGAGGACAGTCAGTACTTGGAACTGGCTACTCTCGAGCACAGGATGCTGCAGGTAGGCACCTCAGGAGGCAGCCCTTTCGCACCTGGACAGTGACCCTAGCCTGGCAGATCATGGAGGGGCCGGGTGGGAACCCTGACTGGTCTGTAGTCAGAGGCCTGGTACAGAGGTGAGCCAGAAGCTCCTATGGATGGACAGAACCCCAAGCTTCCAGAGTCTATCCATATACTTTCTTCTGGAGTACTGGGGCCAACTCTTCAGGGCAGCGTAGCCTGGGACTCAGAATGCTGAGGAAGGAGAACTATGGAGGGGCTGGCCTAGGGAGTGCTGGACACTTCCCTTTGTGTAGACATAAGTGCACCTCTGGTCAAACCCAGAACTGCTCAGGTGGGACGATCATGCAACTCACTTTGATCACTCCCAATTCCTTTGCCCTTCTGACCCAGCCAGGTTGGTGCTACCTTCATTCATTCAGCATGGGTCTATGGAACATGTACTCTGCCAGGCACAAGGTAGTGAGCCATCTGCTGGTGGCTATAGCTGCAGGGCCACCTTGTGCCCATGTAATCCAATAACATGGCTTTGCTTCTGCAGGAGGAGAAGAGGCTTCGCACAGCCTATCTGCGTGCAGAAGACTCTGAGCGAGAGAAGTTCTCCCTCTTCTCTGCAGCTGTGCGGGAAAGTCATGAGAAGGAGCGCACAAGGGCTGAGAGGACCAAGAACTGGTCCCTCATTGGCTCAGTCCTGGGGGCCCTGATTGGTGTGGCTGGCTCCACCTATGTGAACCGTGTGCGACTACAGGAGCTGAAGGCTTTACTCCTGGAGGCGCAGAAGGGGCCTGTGAGTCTCCAAGAGGCCATTCGAGAACAGGCGTCTAGCTACTCCCGCCAGCAGAGGGACCTCCACAATCTCATGGTGGACCTGAGGGGCCTGGTACATGCTGCTGGGCCAGGGCAGGACTCTGGGTCACAGGCAGGTAGTCCCCCGACCAGAGACAGAGATGTAGATGTCCTTTCAGCTGCCTTGAAAGAGCAGCTTAGTCATTCCAGGCAAGTCCATTCATGTCTAGAAGGCTTACGAGAGCAGCTTGATGGCCTAGAAAAGACTTGTAGCCAAATGGCTGGGGTGGTTCAGCTTGTAAAGTCTGCAGCACACCCAGGCCTGGTGGAACCAGCAGACGGGGCTATGCCCAGCTTCTTGCTGGAGCAGGGGAGCATGATCTTGGCACTGTCAGACACGGAGCAGAGACTAGAAGCCCAAGTCAACAGGAACACCATCTATAGCACCCTGGTCACCTGTGTGACATTTGTGGCCACACTGCCTGTGCTCTACATGCTATTCAAAGCCAGCTAACCCCTGGCCCCTCCTCCAGAGGGTCTGAGGCAATAGCTGTGAATGTGGATTTAAGTAGAGAATCGTAGCAATGAAGCGAGCCTTTGGGGGCATGTACAACCTCAATCTGAAGGAGCAGTATCTGTGTGGCTCACCAGCAGGCATGCTTCGCTTTGTAGACAAGGTTCATTTACATTAATTATCAAAACTTTGTGCTAATGTCCAATTAAAATATCCTGAGTTTTATTATTTAAAACAATCAGACTGAGTTTTTTTCATTAAGAATCAAGATCCAAGACTTGAAGGTTGGGCCTGGAGTTGGGGTAGTCACCCCCTTTAGTTCCTCTCTCATCTCCTCTCTGTCCTCTTTTCTGAACTGTTATGGATGCACTCCTGAGGCCTAGATTTTCATTTTGGATTTCCTCCAGTTACCTGACTGTCCGGTGTCAGATGGCCTGGGAGTTCCAGTGAGTGGAACCTAGCCTGCTGCCTACTCATTTCGTGACCATGGTTGCTTCCCATCTCCTGGATCACTTTCTCTACCATGTGGGGGAGAACTTCCTGGTTCTAGTACTGGAGGAGTGATCAGAGGAGAGCAGGGAAGGGAGATTGGGAGAATGGTTGATAAATGTTGCTGGGGACATAAGTATAGGGATTGGTGGCCAGTCTGGATCCCTGGTACAGAGATTGCTTTGGGCAGCAGTGGTGTGCCACGGGGGCTGGGTGCACACCCCCACACAGCCCGGGGATATCTTCCACAGGCATAGGCAGAGCTCAGGACACCGGGAGTGTGCATGGAGAGGCAGTGATAGGGAGGGGGGGGTCTCCCACAGGTGGGAGGTGCAGTGGGGCATATGTATGATCTCTTTTCAGAGGGGAACAGTGACCCTTGACCTTGACTAAATGGCCATGGGTGGCCTTGTGTGCCCTGAGTAAACAGGAGCTTTGGGCTGGTATTCAGTCCTGGTGTTGGAGTATTGGAAGTCAGGCACATTCCAGAGAACCCACTCCCCTTTGAGAGCGCAGGGTAGCTATATGCAGGGGGGCCGCAGGTGGGGACTCGTTCACTGGTGCCTGTGCAGAGCTCTCAGAGCCTGTGGAGTCAGGAGTGTTTCCCATAAGGCATACTTTCTTCTTGGAGCCTGTGTTCAGTCTTGGGCAGTGAGCATGGCCCAAATGCCCCCCACCCCAGGTTCTCAGCACCTGGTCCCTCAGTCAATCTATCCTTGGCGAGTAATGGCTCCCCAGAATGGCATGGGATGGAAAGACCCCTGTGCTTAGAGTGTTCACATTCCTTGTAGGGCAGGAGGTAGCGTATCTGTGTACAGATGAAAGGGGTTGTGGGGTTTGGAAGTCCCAGTTTCCTCTGGGGTGAGATAGGTCCTGAAGTGTGTGCTTGGATGAATGGATTTGGGGAGGGAGGGATTCTGTGCATGTGGAGGGGGCTGCTACAAGCTACATAGGCAGGAAAGCCAAAGTGGGTGAGGGACTGGGGCAGACTGTCCTGGCTGGGGTGGTGATGGGTGTGGGGGAGTTGTGCAGAATGATGTCACAGGCCCGGGGTGCCAGGTTGGCAGTCTGAGGTCAGAGGCTAAGGGTGAGGGATCCAGGGAGGGATTGCTATGCTGGTGCAGACAAGGTGCTAAGCACCTGGACTCAGGTGCTGGAAGTGGGAGTGGAGGAAAAGGGGTGACCTGACAGGAGACCCTTGATAGCTGGTGGGAGGTGGGAAGAGGGTGTCTCTAGCTCTAGGGCAGTAGCCAGTGTGGATGACCTGAACCTCCTGATTGAGGCTCCCCTAGCCTGTGGAGGCCTTGGAGGCTTTCAGATGATGCCTGTGACGTTTTTGCCTCCCAGGAAGCTGTGCCAATGGCTTTGAGCCAAAGTCCTCCAAAAGTCCTAATAGGATGGGCCAGGTTCTGGTCCTGAGTTAGCCGTGGGCATGCCAGGGTGTGAAGGGCCCTGCACAGGGTACAAATGGTCCCCAGGAGAGAACCTTTCTGCCAGCGTTTCCTCCCGCAGAAGGCCCAGGTGTTTGCCAGTGAGGGAGCCCAGACTTGCCCAACGCTTCTCAGCTTGGGGTGGGTCCAGGTCTGGGTCCTGGGCTGGGAAGAAAGGAAGGAAGTGAGCCCTTGCTTGTGCGCCTCTGCAGCCCAGGTTCCCTGCCTTCACAGCCCCGCTAGAGGTGGGATCACCCCCACTTACTGGTGAGCAAATAGGCTGGGGGGGGTTGGTGTCAGGTTACATGGTTTAGTTGATGGCGCAAGCCCAGGTCCAAAGCCCATGCTCTTCTCAAACAGCCAGAGGTGGGGGCCGGAAGGAGGGATTGGCTGTTGGGGAGTAGTGGGAGCAGGGGCGGTGAGCAGGGGCGGTGGGCAGGGCCAGGTGCGCAGGGGAGAAACAAGGCGCCTTGGAGTTCAGGTAAAGAAAGTTGGGGAGGATGACCACCGGAGCCGGGTAAGGAAGGGAAAGGGAGCTCCGGGCGCGGGGCGAGGCCGGGCGCTGGCAGAAGAACGGGTCGGGCTGGTGAGGGACTCGGGTGCTACCCGGCTCTGGACGGGCGGGAAGAGGCCGGGACGCTGTTCCACCAGCACCTGCGGGTGCGGAGCGCGACCCCCCGCCTCGGCTCCTGGCAACCAGGAAAGTTCCCAGTTCCGGTTCCAAGGAGGCGAGCAGGTGAGGCCGACGGGGCGGGGCGGCTCTGGCTCCCGGGGTTCACTCCTCACCCCTCCGGGCGACCCGCGTTGCCATGGCGACCGCCGCGGTGCAGCCCGCCCCCGCCCTCCCCCGTGCGGGAGGGGTCGGGTCCCCAGCCCTCGGCCGATGCGGAGCCCGCGGGGCTGGAATGCGGGGTCCCGGGCGGTTCGGGGCCGCGCGCCCGGCTCTCCGGGCTGCTTCCGGCCTGGCCCGGGCGGCGGGCGGGGGGAGGGCAGCCCGGCAGGCGAGGGGGAAGGAGCGGAGACGAGCCCGGCCGACGCGGCTTTGTCTCCTTTGTTCCCGGCGGTGGCAGCGCCGCGCGGGAGGGGCGGGCAGCGGGCGCAGTTTTCCGCCCCTCGGTCTCCGGGTAACAGCTGCGGCTCCGCCAGACCCGGGGAGAGGCCGCTGCGCGCGGAGCCCGAGCCCGGAGCGGCCGACGCCCGCCTCGGCGCGCACATCCCGCGGGGCCCGGCCGGGTGGTGAGTGCGGGGCTCGGGGCCAGGGCGGCGAGGAACGGGGCTCCCGAGGTGGAACGGGCCGGGGCCCCGATCCCGCCGGGCAGGGGCGGCCTGGGTGAGTGGTGGGCGGCTTTGGTTTTGAGAGTTGGGACCACACTTCTCCGCGCGAAGGGAAACTCTGGCGACTCCGCCTGGAACGCGATTGGGAGACTGAGGAGGTGGAGCTGCTCCTCCGCGCCCCCTCCTCGCCGTCGCCGCCGGGGACCGGCCGGCCCCTTCCCCGCCCTCCCAGGGCCAGTGATGGGGTCCTCGCCTCGGGGTCTGGGGGTTGGGGAGGGTCAAGGACGAGCCGAGTGGGGAGGTCGGGGCTTCCCCTCAGTAGTAACAGCCCTTTCTGGCTGCTCCCGGTGGGACTGACAAAGGCGGACCTCGAGCCTCCTGACCCCCGGGCGGGTGGGGGGGACCCTCCTCTCCACACACAGACATATTAAGTGGGTGATCGATGAGCGCCTTGGGTCATCGCAGGTGCCTGGTAAATGGTGGATCTCCCCACCCCTCCTCAACACACAGAAAACAGGGCGGGCAGCGGGCACCACTGCACTGTCAATGAATAACTCACCTCTGTAGTGAACCCTGGGAGCTGAGCAGGAGGGTGAAACGGGAAGGCCGGTTTCCCACTAACTGGCAGGCAAGGCAAATGTGGGCTGTCCTATGGCCCCTCTGCAGGTGCGGAATGGCGGGGTTTGTGAGCCCCTTTTGTTGTCGAGGACAGCTCCACGGGGGTCCGGGAGGTGCTTGCTCTACAGACAGAAGTTGGGCAGTCTTGCGCCCCCTGAAAAGGTTCAGAGTAGGGTGGCCCCAGAAGAGACTCCAGGGCATGTGTGGGGGAGCACTGGGCACAGGCAGAGTTAGGCTTTGGCTGTGAGTCTGAGCAGGGCCTCAGATATTGGGAATGGGCAGGAGATCCTGGCTGTGTAAGTTGGGGATGTGAGGTCTGGTTCTAGATCAGCCTTTTCAGTCTGCCCTGGCCTGGTCATTAATAAAAGTGGGGCCAATGTGTTCCCTTTGAGAGACCAAGTGGCTTGGAGGGATTGTGGGCCCCCTATCTCCCCTACTTGTTGGGTTTTCTTGGGTGTGAAATGGGGGTTCGTTCACCATACAGGGAGCATCTGGTCTGTGCTGAAGTCTGTGTAAGTTGCTGGGGCCTCTGAATCAGAAGCCATACTCCCTGCCTTCAAGGAGCTTCAAGTCCAGAGTAGGAGGGTGGAACAGGGAGAAAGGTGACCCTGGTTGGCATCACTAATGCCAGGCACACACTGTTTCATGTTTACTGGTCAGAGCAATCCTGCCTCCCATTGTACAACTAGGAAATCTGAGGCTCGGAAAGCCTGAGGCAGAGCGGCCGTGCCTGTCAGGGTGGTGGCTAGGTGTGTCCATTCTGTCCACCGCATGCAGCGGCCTCCTCAGGAGCCTGGGAGGACAGGGGAGGCTCCCCAGGGAGAGGATGGTTGGTGTAGGAGTTAATGGGATAGCGAGGGAGTGGGCATTCCAGGCAGCGGCAAGAGCCTGTGCAGCGGTTGGAGGAGCCAAGCAGCCTGCAGTTCAGGCTGGCAGGAACGAAGGGCATGTGTGGGGGAGCACTGGCATGGATCGGGTGGGAGAGGTGTGGACTGGAGGGGTAGGCCTTTATCCCTCCCGCTCTGGGGTGCCCCAGAGGCTCTTGGGGGAGGGGTGTACTCAATTCTGCTCAAGGAAAGTCCTGAGAAGTTGGGAGTTGGGAGGCTAGATTGGAGGGGCTGGGAGCTGCTCAGTGGCCTGTGGCAGAGATTAAGTGAAATCCATGTGCCTGAAATGGAGGAGAAAAAGTCACTGCTCTTCTTTCTGTCCTCCTTCCGACACCCATGGTATGTGTGGAGGGGCAAGGGGTGCTAGGTCCTGATTCACAGGGAGACTGCTGGCAGAAGCCTGACCACTTTCCCTGGAGTGGGTCAGCGGCCGACCTCCTCAGTGGCCTGGCCAGGAGCTGTTCTGATCCCGCCCATTTCTTCCTGTTGTCTCCTCATCCAGTGTTTTTTTTTTGTTTTTGTTTTTAACCATTTTTTCATCTCCCAAGGCTCTGTCATGCATCAATGCAGTTTTGATTTCACATATGGGGAGTGGTTTTGTTACTGCCCCTTGAGGGCTGGAGAACTTTGGCACGCAGTAGGCTCTGAGCAAATATTTGTAAGCATGTAGGAGTGAGTATTGGTCTAACTATGGGACCCTGTGCCCAAGGCCCATCCCTGGCATGCGGTGGCAGGAGAATTGAACAGTAGCCCCTTGCAAGAGGTGGCCTCTGCCCATCCTCAGGTGGACTCTGTCTTCCCATGGGAAGAAACTTTCTTTCCTCATCCCTTGGAAACTAGGTGGGGGGCTCTTGGGCAGCCTGGTCTTGCCACAGTCCTGGGATCCTGGCCGGGTTCGAGACTTTCCCTGCTGCCCCCTTCCCCCCGCCCCCTTGGGTGGCTAACAGAGGCAGCCTTGTTCCTGCTCCCATAGAGCTGCCCTGTTTTCTGCACACTAAAAATGGAAACCCCCAAGCTATTTCGGGAGCAGTGCCCAGCCAGGCTGTGACCACGGCCCCCCTGCTCCCACCGGGCTGTGGCCACAGTGTCCCGGCTTCCACCAGGCTGCTGGACCCTCCCCTGAGCCTTGTGCCCGGCCCTGTTCACTTCAGGGCAGCCTCAGGAGTACCCTGCTCAGGCCTCATCTGCTAGGATGAGCCGACCTGGGAGAAGCAAACGCTTGGGATATTTTGCACAGACAGCTTGGCAGCTGGGTGATGGGAGGGGCTGGGCAACGTGGCCTGGGCACAGGCAAGTAGGGGAAGTGTCTCCCAGTCTGAGATGCATTGTCTGTCCCAGCACTTCACCAACCTTGGTGCTCCTGGCTAGAGACCACTGGGGAAGGTGGTATTGCCATAGTTTCTTGGTTCAGGGACTCAGGAGCCTCAGCTGGGGCCCAAGAAGGGGTCTGTGTGGAAAGCAGGCACCCAAAGTCTGGGGAGGTCCTGGGGATGGGCCTGGGAACAGCCAGGCATGGCACCTTCCTCCAGGACACACTCCACTTACCCCACATCTTGGGCCCTGGCACTATTCTGAACTGCAGGAGAGGAAATAGCAAGAGATGGCCTAGCTTCTACAGCTCTCTAGTACGTAGGGCTCCAACTAAGTACTCTCAAACGAGGGGAGTGTGCCTGAGTGTGCGTGTGTATGTCTAAATGTGAGTGGTGGTCTGAATGTCTCGGGTGAGTGTGACATATGTGCCTGCAGTGTGTTTCTGTGTGGGGGAGTTGTCTCTATATGGATGTGTCTTCATGTGGTGTTTGAACATGGGTGGCTGTGTCTGTGTGTGTCACTGTGCTGTGTGTATAGATGGCATCTGCATCTCTCTCTCTCTGTGTGTGTGTGTGTGTGTGTGTGTGTGTGTTGTAGGCATATACATACAGGGTGGGTGGTGTGTATGTATCTTGCTGTGCGACTGCCTGTCTGCTGAAGCGCTGGTGGCCCTTTGGGCTGGGACAGCCCCTGGCTGTGTAGAGGGTGTGTACCTGGGTGCCTTTACAGGGTGGAGTTTGAGCAGAGAGAGGGACCTCACAGGGAGAAGGCCATGCTGGGGGCCTGGCTGGGCCCTGCCAGCCACGGGGCTCCTTCCTAGCTGACCTTTCCCAGGCCCCTCGGGTGCCTGGCTCTGCTGCCCTCCCCCTCCTCATGTGGGCTCTGAGGAGGCGTCCTCTGTGGAATGTGTTTGGTGGCCAGGGGCCAGGCTGGGCCCAGCTCCACCAGCAGGCTGGGCGGTGGGGAGGGGGTGCTTCTGTGCTGCCTCCCCGGTGGGGAGCCCAGGGCTTCCACGTGCCTGCAGCCCAGGCCCCGGCTTCACACTCGGCTTTCCCGCCTGCTAGGTGACTCCCACACGGGTCATGCTGTTGTCTCCTGATCCAGCCGGCCCTGCCAGGTGAGCCTGACCTCACACTAGATATCTAGGAGCAGCATGACTCCTACCTATTCTGAGGGCTCTCGGAGGTGGGGGGCAGCCCTTCAGGCCCCACCCCTCCGAGCTGGAACCTCTTCCCATCTCTCAGGCCTGTTGGTTCTGTGGTTATTACCCTTCTGGATTCCTGGCCTGAAAGGCCCTGCACCCAACTCTTGTCTTGATTCTAACATTCTGCTGGTTCAGGAGACCTCCCTCTCCTTCCTTCTTCTGCCCGGGAAACCCTCATCCATGTAGAGCCTCTCCTTTCTTGGGGTCTGGGCCCCTCCTTCCCATCACCTGCTCTTCTGCCCCATCCAGACCCTGCTTCCTGGGCATGGCCTCTCAGCCCCTCACCCTCTGATCTGGGGGGATGGTGAGTGGGGTGCAGGTCTCCTGAGAGAATCGTGCCTGCAGAGAATGGGCAGTGTTGTCTAGGAAGTGTCTCCTATTTCTGACCTTGTTCTAGTGTGTGGTCCTGGGGTCATCCTGGACATAGTGCCTATCTAAGAAGCCTGGTCCTCCTCTGCTCACCCCCTAGGTTAGGAGGAGCATCTTGGCAATGCCACAGTCCTATCCCTTACCAGTGGCCCCAGGGTGCTCTGGCGGCCACGTGAGCCCCACTCTCTCGACCTCTCTTCCTGCCAGGTGACCATGCCTGCTCTGGGCCCAGCTCTTCTCCAGGCTCTCTGGGCCGGGTGGGTCCTCACCCTCCAGCCCCTTCCACCAACTGCATTCACTCCCAATGGCACGTATCTGCAGCACCTGGCAAGGGACCCCACCTCAGGCACCCTCTACCTGGGGGCTACCAACTTCCTGTTCCAGCTGAGCCCTGGGCTGCAGCTGGAGGCCACAGTGTCCACCGGCCCTGTGCTAGACAGCAGGGACTGCCTGCCACCTGTGATGCCTGATGAGTGCCCCCAGGCCCAGCCTACCAACAACCCGAATCAGCTGCTCCTGGTGAGCCCAGGGGCCCTGGTGGTATGCGGGAGCGTGCACCAGGGGGTCTGTGAACAGCGGCGCCTGGGGCAGCTCGAGCAGCTGCTGCTGCGGCCAGAGCGGCCTGGGGACACACAATATGTGGCTGCCAATGATCCTGCGGTCAGCACGGTGGGGCTGGTAGCCCAGGGCTTGGCAGGGGAGCCCCTCCTGTTTGTGGGGCGAGGATACACCAGCAGGGGTGTGGGGGGTGGCATTCCACCCATCACAACCCGGGCCCTGTGGCCGCCCGACCCCCAAGCTGCCTTCTCCTATGAGGAGACAGCCAAGCTGGCAGTGGGCCGCCTCTCCGAGTACAGCCACCACTTCGTGAGTGCCTTTGCACGTGGGGCCAGCGCCTACTTCCTGTTCCTGCGGCGGGACCTGCAGGCTCAGTCTAGAGCTTTTCGTGCCTATGTATCTCGAGTGTGTCTCCGGGACCAGCACTACTACTCCTATGTGGAGTTGCCTCTGGCCTGCGAAGGTGGCCGCTACGGGCTGATCCAGGCTGCAGCTGTGGCCACGTCCAGGGAGGTGGCGCATGGGGAGGTGCTCTTTGCAGCTTTCTCCTCGGCTGCACCCCCCACTGTGGGCCGGCCCCCATCGGCGGCTGCTGGGGCATCTGGAGCCTCTGCCCTCTGTGCCTTCCCCCTGGATGAGGTGGACCGGCTTGCTAATCGCACGCGAGATGCCTGCTACACCCGGGAGGGTCGTGCTGAGGATGGGACCGAGGTGGCCTACATCGAGTATGATGTCAATTCTGACTGTGCACAGCTGCCAGTGGTGAGTTCCAGTATTGCCCCACTTTTCCGCCTCTCTGAGGCCACTGGCCAAGCATTTGCAGCCAAGGAGCTGCCCAGAGAGTCCGAGGGCAGCTGGTGGTAGCACGAGGATGATCAGATCAGCAAATATTAAGTGCTTCCTATGTTGCCTGGGCAGTGGAAGGGTACCTTACCACAAATCTGGCATGCGGGTGGCAGCAGTGTCTGGATGGGCTTGGACCAGGATGCTGGAGGGGTGGCACTTGTGTCGGTGGATTGGGAGGGTGTTTGGGGGTTCTTGGGTAGGGACAGGGACCTAGAATGGAATGAGACCTTTGGTTCTTGAGCAGGAGAGGAAGGTGAGGTCGGGATTGATGAGCTGTAGCCTCAGGATGGATAAAAAAGGGAAGAGAGACTGGGGGCGGGGATGAGATTGTCCCAGGAGGGCCAGCAGAGAAAACACAGTTGTACAGGGAGAGCTACCAGAGCGGCTGGGGGAGGGAATGAGGTTGTCCAGGGACGATGCGGCCGAGGAGGTTATCCAGGGAGGGCCTTCCTGATGCTTCTTGCTGCCTATAGGACACCCTGGATGCTTATCCCTGTGGCTCAGACCACACGCCCAGCCCCATGGCCAGCCGGGTCCCGCTGGAAGCCACACCAATTCTGGAGTGGCCAGGGATTCAGCTAACAGCTGTGGCAGTCACCATGGAAGATGGACACACCATCGCTTTCCTGGGTGATAGTCAAGGGCAGCTGCACAGGGTGAGCCCACAGGAAGTACTGGCCCCTGCCCCAGAGTCTGGAGGGAACAGATTGCTAGGGACCCAGCCTGGTTTAAGCTATCCCTGTGACCCCTGGGCCAGGAGAGATGACCTGAGCTCCTCTCCCCAGGACTGGGTGGTGTTTACCTGTGACTTTCCTCCATCCCCGCTAGGCCAGTTGGTATGACCTGTGACTGCCTAGGAGGAAATTCTATTTGTAAATTACTTCGATTGGGTGGAGGAGGGGAGGGCTTTGGGCCTCTGGCCATGGACTTGGGTCCCAGACCCTGTGGTCTCTGATCCCAGGTCTACTTGGGCCCAGGGAGCGATGGCCACCCATACTCCACACAGAGCATCCAGCAGGGGTCTGCAGTGAGCAGAGACCTCACCTTTGATGGGACCTTTGAGCACCTGTATGTCATGACCCAGAGCACAGTGAGTGCCAGGCACAAGCCAGGGCATGGCTGCTGGGAGGGGCCTCTGGGTGGGGCCAGGGACCCACTTGTGGGTGAGCCACTGGTGTTTGGATTGCTGGCCTCAGGTCCTCTTTGCTGTCTCAGCTTCTGAAGGTTCCTGTGGCTTCCTGTGCTCAGCACCTGGACTGTGCATCTTGCCTTGCTCACAGGGACCCATACTGTGGGTGGTGCGTGCTCCTTGGCAGGTCAGATTTCTGACCCCATCCCAGCCCCAGCCTCAAGCCCACAATGCTCCTGCATAATTGTCCTGTCCAGAATTCCTGACCCTTAGACCATGACTCTCAACCCCTGATCCCCAGACACCCCAATTCCTCACCCCCATCCTCTGCACTGGGCATCAGTGCCCTGCCAGGGCAGACACAGGAGCCTCTATCATGCCCACTCTAGGGCCCTGCCCAGGTCCTCCAGATTGTAGGAGTCCCTACCCTATGAACTCCCAGTGGCCCATGAGGGTCACAGATAGACACTGGTCATCTCGCCCAGGTGCAGTCGCCGTTCTGAGTGCTCGAGGGGCCAGGGCCCAGAGCAGTGGCTATGGAGCTTCCAGCCTGAGCTGGGCTGTCTGCAAGTGGCAGCCATGAGTCCTGCCAACATCAGCCGAGAGGAGACGAGGGAGGTGAATGATCAGATAGGCAGGGCCCTGGTGGGGAGGGCTCTGGGCATCAAGGTCTGGGTAGAGATCTTGGATCCTGATGTCGGACATGCCAGATACCACATGGCCTCACACAAGTCACTTCTTTTAGGAGCTCAGTTTCCCCATCTATTTCTAACTCAGGCCAGAGGGTGTTTGGGGAGGCCTGAGGGCTGTTGATTGCTGGTGCCTGCCCACATTGGGTGTCCCATAAATGTGAGCCCTGGTCTGCTGCCCACTAGCCCCAACAGTGTGTCCCTGGCTCTCTTGGCAGGTTTTCCTATCAGTGCCAGACCTGCCACCCCTGTGGCCAGGGGAGTCATATTCCTGCCACTTTGGGGAACATCAGAGTCCTGCCCTGCTGACTGGTTCTGGTGTGATGTGCCCCTCCCCAGACCCTAGTGAGGCCCCAGTGCTGCCGAGAGGAGCCGGTGGGTGAGAGAATGGGCCAGCCTGGTGGGGGCCAGCCCCTGCTTCAGGGGATGCGGTGGGGTTAAAGTGTGAATCCAGGCAAAGAGCCATGAATGGATGCCTTTCTCTGGGTCCTCCCACTCCCCAACCACCTGAAGCCTCCATTCTGTGCCCTTGGACTGTATTCCCTCATCCCGGGTCCTCTTCCCCATTCAAGGGCTCAGGATATCGGCTCTGGGTCTGAGTGCACCTCCTTGCTGCTTAACCCTGGCCCTCTCTCCCCCTCTGCAGACTACGTATCCGTGAGCGTGGAGCTCAGATTTGGCGCTGTTGTGATCGCCAAAACTTCCCTCTCTTTCTATGACTGTGTGGCGGTCACTGAACTCCGCCCATCTGCGCAGTGAGTTCCTCGCCCTGTCCCCAGGCCTGGGCTTCCCTGTGGCGACCCTTGCCCCATGGCTGTGCTCTGTGCAGGTGCCAGGCCTGTGTGAGCAGCCGCTGGGGGTGTAACTGGTGTGTCTGGCAGCACCTGTGCACCCACAAGGCCTCGTGTGATGCTGGGCCCATGGTTGCAAGCCATCAGGTGAGTGTGACTTTGGGCTGGGCCATACCGGGGGGGTTGGGGGTCCCAGTGTGAGAGTTTTTCTCATGGCCCGGGGTCTGTCTGCCTATGTGAGGCTCTGTCCTGAGCACCAGAGCCGCTGTATGTGACGGACTCCCTGGAGAACAGCCGCCGATACATCCCGCCTGTTTTGGGAGAGGGCATTTGTAGCTGAGAGGCAGGGGATGTCTGGCCTTCATGCCCCACCTCGGCACAGACACCCCTGGAGCCTTCCCCCGCAGTTTTCTCCAGTGGAGAATTAATGGGCTGTTTTTATTTCTCTTTTCCTTGGTCTCCTTTCCTCTTAACATACACTGTGCCTGCCTGCCTCCTGTCCCGCGCCTGCCTGCTGAGTGGCCCTTCCTGTCTTCCTCTGCCTCCCCCTTCAGAGCCCGCTTGTCTCCCCAGACCCTCCTGCAAGAGGTGGACCCAGCCCCTCCCCACCCACAGCCCCCAAAGCCCTGGCCACCCCTGCTCCTGACACCCTTCCCGTGGAGCCTGGGGCTCCCTCCACAGCCACAGCTTCGGACATCTCACCTGGGGCTAGTCCTTCCCTGCTCAGCCCCTGGGGGCCATGGGCAGGTTCTGGCTCCATATCTTCCCCTGGCTCCACAGGGTCGCCTCTCCATGAGGAGCCCTCCCCTCCCAGCCCCCAAAATGGACCTGGAACCGCTGTCCCTGCCCCCACTGACTTCAGACCCTCAGCCACACCTGAGGACCTCTTGGCCTCCCCGCTGTCACCCTCAGAGGTAGCAGCAGTGCCCCCTGCAGACCCTGGCCCCGAGGCTCTTCATCCCACAGTGCCCCTGGACCTGCCCCCTGCCACTGTTCCTGCCACCACTTTCCCAGGGGCCATGGGCTCCGTGAAGCCCGCCCTGGACTGGCTCACGAGAGAAGGCGGCGAGCTGCCCGAGGCGGACGAGTGGACGGGGGGTGACGCACCCGCCTTCTCCACTTCCACCCTCCTCTCAGGTGATGGAGACTCAGCAGAGCTTGAGGGCCCTCCCGCCCCCCTCATCCTCCCGTCCAGCCTCGACTACCAGTATGACACCCCCGGGCTCTGGGAGCTGGTGAGGCCCAGCCCAGGAAGGAGGCCTCAGGGGAGGGGATGTGGGGAAGATGCTACCCCTAGCTTGCCTTGTGATTCTGCACTGGGAGGAGGTGAGGGGCAGGGTGGAGTCTGCAGCCCCACACCGGCCTTGCCTCTGGAATCTGGCAAGGCAGAGGGCTGAGCTGGGCAGGGTGGGCTCCATAGACTGCCTTGCCCTTGGTGCCTGCAGGAAGAGGCGACCTTGGGGGCAAGCTCCTGCCCCTGTGTGGAGAGCGTTCAGGGCTCCACGTTGATGCCGGTCCATGTGGAGCGGGAAATCCGGCTGCTAGGCAGGAACCTGCACCTTTTCCAGGTCAGTGTGTCCTGCCTGCCGCTGTCCTTGCAGCCTCCTTAGCTGTTGAGAAACTCTGCACAAGCCCTGGGGAGCAGGAGGAGGGCAGAGTCCGAGGGCTCAACTCCAACCCAGAAGCTGTGCTGGGGGATCTGTTGGGTGACCTGCAGGACTCCCTGGGCCCAGCTCCTGAAGCTGCCCAACAGCTGTGTTCTCTGCCCTCAGGATGGCCCAGGAGACAATGAGTGTGTGATGGAGCTGGAGGGCCTCGAGGTGGTGGTTGAGGCCCGGGTCGAGTGTGAGCCACCTCCAGATACCCAGTGCCATGTCACCTGCCAGCAGCACCAGGTGCACACCATGAGCGCCTGGGTGGGCACGGGTGCACTGCACTGGCCACAGGCTGGCTGCCAACTGTAGCTGGCTGCACCACACTTTCCAGAGCCACGCTCTGACCGTGTCGCCCTGAGGGAGTCTCCACACCCATTTCTGACCTCTGACCATGTGCCCCGTGGAGTCCTTGCATCCCAGCTCTGAACTCTAACTTGAGACCCCATGGGGTCCCCATACTCCATTTCTGGCTCTGCCCTCCAACTTGTGGCCCCATGGGGTCCCTCTGACCCTATGCTCCTAACTGGTCGTTTTAGTCCTTTCTCTGACTAACCCCTCCCCAGGCCTGACACTTCCCCCAGTGCTTGACTCTGAACCCACTCCCATTTCTCCAGCTCAGCTATGAGGCTCTGCAGCCGGAGCTCCGTGTGGGGCTGTTTCTGCGTCGGGCCGGCCGTCTGCGTGTGGACAGTGCTGAGGGGCTGCATGGTGAGCCACCTGCGGGCTGCTGGGCTGGCGGTGGTAGCAGGGCTCTCCCAGGCCTGCCTCTCACGTGTGTCTCTGCCACCCCCAGTGGTACTGTATGACTGTTCCGTGGGACATGGAGACTGCAGCCGCTGCCAAACTGCCATGCCCCAGTATGGCTGTGTGTGGTGTGAGGGGGAGCGTCCACGTTGTGTGACCCGGGAGGCCTGTGGTGAGGCTGAGGCTGTGGCCACCCAGTGCCCAGCGCCCCTCATCCACTCGGTTTGTTGAAAGGCTGGCCATCCCTTCCTCAGTGCTGCCCTTAGAGGGAGGGTGTGGGGGCCCAAAGGTGGGAGGTTGGGGCTGCCTTTCCAGTTGAGTAGAGGTGAGCAGTCCTTGTCCTGGAACAGGTGGAGCCACTGACTGGGCCTGTAGACGGAGGCACCCGTGTCACCATCAGGGGCTCCAACCTGGGCCAGCATGTGCAGGATGTGCTGGGCATGGTCACGGTGGCTGGAGTGCCCTGTGCTGTGGATGCCCAGGAGTACGAGGTCTCCAGCAGGTAAGCTGGCTGCACCCAGCAGGAGCACGGCGCAGCCTGGGGCCTCCGCGGTTGGCGTTGCTGCTTGGGGCCTCCCACCCACCGCTCATCTGCCCCCCTCTCTCCCTGTTCCTTGATCCTGGCCACAATGCCCGAGTGCCAGCGTTGCCACTGAAGACCCTGAGCACCCACCACACCTGTAGGTTCCTGGCCTG
The DNA here is from genome assembly GCF_000001405.40 of Homo sapiens. Classification (NCBI taxonomy): domain Eukaryota; kingdom Metazoa; phylum Chordata; class Mammalia; order Primates; family Hominidae; genus Homo; species Homo sapiens. Next base: position 48,417,716 of record NC_000003.12, on the reverse strand, counting down.
GGCTGCTGGGGAATCCTTCCTGGGCCCGTCACTGCCCAGAACTGACTCGTGGCTCTGCTTCCTGCTCTGCTCACCTGGTCTTCTGAGGGACTGTGGATATATTAATAGCTGTGGCAGCAGGACCCTCAGATCAGACAGATAAGCTCAGGGGCTGGCCTTCTCACCAGCTCACTCTTCCCCAGGCATTGTCCTGGGCTGCCAGGCTCTTCAGGAAGGTAGACTTGGAAGGCACACCTCAGAAAGGCACACTGGCCGAGGGCCAGGCTCCACTGTCGTCTCTAGGGACCCCTGCTGCCTTCCTGGGGCTCCTGGGTTATGGTAACCTGGCCAGCGGTTGCAGGCCCCAAAGGTACACACGCAGGACATTCCTAAGGAGATGTCCATAAGCAGCAGGGCCCAAACGTGGCTGAATATCAGGGTAACCTGCAGATCCTGTCCCAAACCAACACAAACATCTGGATTCAGGAGGCCCACGGTGGGGCCCCCAAATCTGTATTTGAAACAAGGAACCACTCTCCTGGAGCACGGAGTGTCCCCTGAATGTGTTATGACCGAGAACTTACGGTGACTATCTAGACTGTTAGTGTTCCAGACCATAAGACTGCTGTGATTTATGAAGCAATTAGCATATATTCTGTCTGGAGCCTCCCCTGGGTGGCTCACACGTCACTTGTGTCTTCCTAGTGTTTGCAACAACTGTGACAATGTCACTGAGTTGAGCCACTGCAGGCTTAACACTCTGGAAGTTTAATTTGCCCAAGCTTCTATTTTCTGGCTAAGAACCAGCATTTTCTTAGATGGTTCACTTTCCCTTCACCTGTATTTCCCTGTCTGACTAGAGGCTTTCAGGGACTCTTTTTCCTGAATAAATCAAGTTTCTACCATGCTTTGAGTGGGTACTGTGCATGTGACGTGGCGGAGGACATGGGCGGCTAGCTGTGCCCACTCACTTGCTCAGCAGCTCGCCCCACAACCAGGCTGACAGGGCCCCTTTGTAAATTTATGCCACAGATAAATTCTTCCTTATTGGGGGCCCCTGGGGTTGAACTTAAATGATTGAAGCCACAAATATTAATTCTCAGATACCAAGGCCTTCTGATGTGTCATAAAGAATTCCCTCCAAAGTGAGAGAGGGTCTCTGTCAATCTTATGGAGCATGGGAAGGGGAAGACCACCTGACAGTAGGGCAGGGAGAGGGGCTGCCAGGTAAGCTTGAGGGGCCCTTGATGCAGCCTGGCACCCCCTAGCCTGCCCTGTGCCTACAGCCTCGTGTGCATCACCGGGGCCAGTGGGGAGGAGGTGGCCGGCGCCACAGCGGTGGAGGTGCCGGGAAGAGGACGTGGTGTCTCAGAACACGACTTTGCCTACCAGGTACCTGACTGCTGAGCCACCCCCAGCTGCCAGCGGGCCAACCTCTCTGGTGGCTCCTCTCAACCCATCTGGTTATTCCTTGGTGGGGCTCCCAGTCCTGGGCCAGCCTGTCTCTCAGGCTGTCCCTGCCTCCATGTGTCTGGTCTGATGCTCATCTCTCTCCCTGTCTGTCCCACAGGATCCGAAGGTCCATTCCATCTTCCCGGCCCGCGGCCCCAGAGCTGGGGGCACCCGTCTCACCCTGAATGGCTCCAAGCTCCTGACTGGGCGGCTGGAGGACATCCGAGTGGTGGTTGGAGACCAGCCTTGTCACTTGTGAGGGCCACTTCCTCATCCTGCAAAAATCCATCTGCTCCAGGGGAAAGATGGAGGGGTCTGAGATCCTGGGGAGAGCAGAAAGGGGAAGAGGGCCAGTCTGCTCCTTCAGAGAGTGGCCAGACCCTCCCTAGCCAGCTGTGGTGGGAGTGCACCTCCAGGGACACCTGGTGGAGACTGCAGTCAGCGCTTGAGGGAAGCCAGTTGGGGCCTGAGTGGTCCAAGTTTTCCCTGCCTGCGCCCCTGCATTCATTCCCACCTCCCCTCCCAGGCTGCCGGAGCAGCAGTCAGAACAACTGCGGTGTGAGACCAGCCCACGCCCCACGCCTGCCACGCTCCCTGTGGCTGTGTGGTTTGGGGCCACGGAGCGGAGGCTTCAACGCGGACAGTTCAAGTATACCTTGGACCCCAACATCACCTCTGCTGGCCCCACCAAGAGCTTCCTCAGGTGTTGGGCCAGGGGTGTGGCTGCATGGCAGGTGGCAGGGAGGTCTTTGCAGCTCCACTATGTGGGGGTTTGTAGGGCTTTATGTTGAGGCACTGAGAATCCCATGCTGCTAGTAGGGGCAAGGGGTCGTGTGGTTTGGGGCTGGGGCTGAGCTGACCTAGCCGGGACTGGGCTGTGCTTTAGGTCCAGGTAACATAAGCCATCTTACGTTACGTAAGCTCACGGTCTGTTTCAGTGGAGGACGTGAGATATGCGTCCGTGGCCAGAATCTGGACGTGGTACAGACGCCAAGAATCCGGGTGACCGTGGTCTCGAGAATGCTGCAGCCCAGCCAGGGGCTTGGACGGAGGCGTCGCGTGGTCCCGGAGACGGCATGTTCCCTTGGACCCTCCTGCAGTAGCCAGCAAGTAGGACACCCTTGGGTACCCCCACACTCTCCCCTTGCCCCATACCACACCCTGGGGACAGCCAGAGCAGGTGCCAGAGGAGGCTCTTCCCATCTTTGCTTGGCCCCTCGTCAACCTGCCTGTCTTCCTTCCAGTTTGAGGAGCCGTGCCATGTCAACTCCTCCCAGCTCATCACGTGCCGCACACCTGCCCTCCCAGGCCTGCCTGAGGACCCCTGGGTCCGGGTGGAATTTATCCTTGACAACCTGGTCTTTGACTTTGCAACACTGAACCCCACACCTTTCTCCTATGAGGCCGACCCCACCCTGCAGCCACTCAACCCTGAGGACCCCACCATGCCATTCCGGCACAAGCCTGGGAGTGTGTTCTCCGTGGAGGTACAGCTCCTACTTGGACCTGGCAGGGCCCCGAGACCCTTCCCTTGGCTGGACAGCACTGCTGTGTGTGGCGGAGAGGCCGAGACAGTAGAGCAAGGGCCGGTGGATGGACATGGCTCCTCATCCTTGCTGTGGTGGGGGCAGAGGGGGCTGGTGGGGGGTGCCTAGCCTAGCATCTGGCACGAGCTGGACTGCTTGGCTGGTGGCCCGGGTCCTGATGCACTCCATGGCAGGCTCTGGAATGACTGCATTTGTATGTTCGGCCTGTGCAGTAGCTGGGTGGTGTGGTCCACATAGGCCATCGGGCTGACCCCCGTTGGCAGCCTGGCTCACATGGACATGCGCTAGGCATGTGTCTTGGACATACACAGTGGGCAGCAGATGGGCATGCGGGCAGACCACAGGTTGATACAGCATCATCACCCCCCTGGTGAGTCATCAGACACAGATTGGGGGCTCCAGCTTTGTTAGGTAGCTGGGCAGGATTTGGGAGGCAGCTTTATGTTCTCCAGATTTTTCGTTCTGGAGAAGAAAGATAGGAAAGGGCAACAAAGGGTGATGAGGAGCAGCTTGGAGGACACCGTGTGACTGGCCTGCACTCGGGAAGGGTGCTGAGAGGCTGTCAGCTTTGCTGCTGCGGCTGGGTCTCAGGGTCCTTCCCACATTTGGGGAGGACAGGATCTGAGGGAAGGGTCCTGAGTGACTGATCGGTGACCCTCTGTTCCAGGGGGAGAACCTGGACCTTGCAATGTCCAAGGAGGAGGTGGTGGCTATGATAGGGGATGGCCCCTGTGTGGTGAAGACGCTGACGCGGCACCACCTGTACTGCGAGCCCCCCGTGGAGCAGCCCCTGCCACGGCACCATGCCCTCCGAGAGGCACCTGACTCTTTGCCTGAGTTCACGGTCAGTGGGCAGGTCCCTGGCCGGGCTGGGCATTGACCTGGGCCAAACCCTTGCTCACAGGTGGCTCCTGACACAGGTGCAGATGGGGAACTTGCGCTTCTCCCTGGGTCACGTGCAGTATGACGGCGAGAGCCCTGGGGCTTTTCCTGTGGCAGCCCAGGTGGGCTTGGGGGTGGGCACCTCTCTTCTGGCTCTGGGTGTCATCATCATTGTCCTCATGTACAGGTGGGTGCAGCCAGATGTGGCTGGGCTGGGGCAGGTCGTGGGATCTGGCTGGACTGGGAAGGGACAGACCGGGCCAGGAGTCAGGAAACATTCTCTGTAAATGGCCAGAGAGTAAATATTTTCGCTTTGCAGGCCAAGTGGTCTCTGTTCAACAACTCAGCTTTGCCACTGTGGCACAAAGGCAGCCAGGGACGACATGGAAACACATGAAAGTGGCTGTGTTCTAACAAATCTTTATAAAAATAGGTTGTGGGATGGATTTGGCCTGGTTGTGGTTGGCTGATCTCTAGGCTAAACTGTGCTGGGCTAGACGGGGCATGGGTGTGTGTGACTTGCTTGGGACGGGACAGGCTGAATCGTACTGGGCTAGGCTTGAGCTTGGCTGGCATGGCTGCATTGGACTGTGCTGGATGAGGCCGGGGTGTGCCTGGGGATTGTCAGGCAGGCCTGGGCGAGTAGGACTCATCTGGCCATCCTCTCCTGACCCTGGGGCTGAGCAGGAGGAAGAGCAAGCAGGCCCTGAGGGACTATAAGAAGGTTCAGATCCAGCTGGAGAATCTGGAGAGCAGTGTGCGGGACCGCTGCAAGAAGGAATTCACAGGTGTGGCTGAGAGAATGGGCCCCGCCCTCCAGAACTCTGCCCAAACCCACTCCCATCACACGGGATTGGTGCTTAACAGGTGCTTAACCTGGCCTCTTCTGCTTAACAGACCTCATGACTGAGATGACCGATCTCACCAGTGACCTCCTGGGCAGCGGCATCCCCTTCCTCGACTACAAGGTGTATGCGGAGAGGATCTTCTTCCCTGGGCACCGCGAGTCGCCCTTGCACCGGGACCTGGGTGTGCCTGAGAGCAGACGGCCCACTGTGGAGCAAGGGCTGGGGCAGCTCTCTAACCTGCTCAACAGCAAGCTCTTCCTCACCAAGGTACCCCCAGCTGCATCTTCCTGGCCTGCCCCTGGCCCTGCCCCTTCTCCAGGGCATGGTTTCTGAGCCCGCCCCTCTGTCCCCCTAAACCCCTTTTCCCATCCCTTCTCTTTGGCTGCAGTTCATCCACACGCTGGAGAGCCAGCGCACCTTTTCAGCTCGGGACCGTGCCTACGTGGCATCTCTGCTCACCGTGGCACTGCATGGGAAGCTTGAGTATTTCACTGACATCCTCCGCACTCTGCTCAGTGACCTGGTTGCCCAGTATGTGGCCAAGAACCCCAAGCTGATGCTGCGCAGGTCTGTGTGGCTGTTGGGGCTGGGTGGGCCCTGGACAGCTGGAGCTGGGGTGGGGCCTCGGGCTGGGGGGTCTGCAGGATAGAGAGGCCCGCAGCCCCACCTGCTGACCCTGGCACTCCCCTTTCCCATCATCTCAGGACAGAGACTGTGGTGGAGAAGCTGCTCACCAACTGGATGTCCATCTGTCTGTATACCTTCGTGAGGGTGAGGGGGCAGAGGTGGACAGGGCTCCTGTCCAGGGAGGGTCAGGCCCTCCAAACTTCTAAGCCCTCAGCCACCATGCAGCTCGGACACTTGTGCCAGAGCAGAGACTCCTGCTCAGCCTGTCCTCAGTCCCCTTAAGCCCATGTCCTGTCCCCTTCCCCAGTGTGCGTCATGTCCCATACACCTCTGCCACCTGCTGGGGGGCCCTAACTGCCTGTGCTCTCCTAGGACTCCGTAGGGGAGCCTCTGTACATGCTCTTTCGAGGGATTAAGCACCAAGTGGATAAGGGGCCAGTGGACAGTGTGACAGGCAAGGCCAAATACACCTTGAACGACAACCGCCTGCTCAGAGAGGATGTGGAGTACCGTCCCCTGGTGAGGGTGTGCAAGTGTGTGGCCTGCAGTCTGAGTGCGGTGAGGGCGAGGGTGGAGAGTGTGTGGGTGTGTGGGGTCTGGACACCAGCTTCTGATGTGGTACCTGGATGTAGAGCTGGGTTGACCTCTGGCTGGCTCCTGGAGAGAGCCCATCAGACTAGCTTAGCAGGATAGCAGTTTAGGGCAGACTTTGATGATAAGGCCTCTATGTGCCCCAGGCTAGGGATGGAACTAGGGTAGCCACAACCAGGGTTTGGGAGAAGCCAGCCCTACCTTAGACCATGGGCTTGAGCTGTGTCAGGGCCTGACCCTGTCTGCCTGGCCCTCCTACCAGGAATGCGGCCTTGCCCACCAAGCCAGCCTCACTCTGGCAGGCACTTCTCTCTGGGTTTGCTTTCCCCTTAGTTACGCACAAGGGTTCCTGTGGGAAACCCCCATTCAGGCCTGCTGAACCCCTCCCCTGTCGGATAGGTGGGAATATTTGCTCCCGATGGTGGGAATGCAGGCTTCCCGAAACTCCGTCAGCCTGACCCATTCAGCCAGGAACCTGGGGATCTGAGTGATGAGGGACTTGTGCTCACTCATTTTTTTCTGCCATTTACCCCATAGTGGTTTACAAGTGCACTGCGCTAGGTGCTGGGGTCACAATGGGGAGGAAGCTGCTGTCCCTGGGGAAGGCAGGCAGGTGAAGAGACGAGAATTAGGGATTGTGTGGTGCGTGGGGATTGGAGGCAGCAGTTTCTCATGAGTTGTCTCTGCCCTTGGCCTGTGTCTTGGTCATCCTGAGTGCACATGAACCCTGATGGCTCCTGTGTGTCCTGCACAGACCTTGAATGCACTATTGGCTGTGGGGCCTGGGGCAGGAGAGGCCCAGGGCGTGCCCGTGAAGGTCCTAGACTGTGACACCATCTCCCAGGCAAAGGAGAAGATGCTGGACCAGCTTTATAAAGGAGTGCCTCTCACCCAGCGGCCAGACCCTCGCACCCTTGATGTTGGTGAGGGCGTGGAGAGCCCCTGGGGACCTGAGCCACTGTTGGGCCTGGGCTGGCCCCGGACCAACTCTGCAGGGACAACTCATCACTCAGGGTGGGGAGGATGCTGGGAGGCAGGCAGAAGCTGGCTTTGGAACATCTTTCTTGGACAGCCTCTCATCTGGGGAGGGGGTCCCTGCTCTTGGTCTTTGGAGAGGTTGAGTAAGGCTGCCCCATGATGGAGGGGCTGGTGTCCCTGTGGAGGAGGAGATGGGCTCCACTATGGGAAGGGTATCTTCCAGCCCTGCACCCAGTTCTGCCTTGCCCTTGCAGAGTGGCGGTCTGGGGTGGCCGGGCACCTCATTCTTTCTGACGAGGATGTCACTTCTGAGGTCCAGGGTCTGTGGAGGCGCCTGAACACACTGCAGCATTACAAGGTAGGAGGAGTGGGAGCTGGAGGAGGGCATGGTGGGGTGGGACTGGTGGAGGGATCACCAGCTGTGCTCAGCAGGTCCCAGATGGAGCAACTGTGGCCCTCGTCCCCTGCCTCACCAAGCATGTGCTCCGGGAAAACCAGGATTATGTCCCTGGAGAGCGTGAGTACCGCTCCCATCACGGTCCTCTGCCCCTGCTGTGCCCAGCCCGGAGTCATGGGGAAGGTCCTCTGGGCCTCAGGGCAGGCTTGTGCCTATTTCCATTCGGCCCAGGAAATCCCTCAACCAGGTGCCCCCACCCCTGGGAGAGCTGGCAAGAAACAGGGGGCCTGGGGAGGTGGCACCTGGGGAGGGGTGACAGCTGTGGGCTCTTGGCACAGGGACCCCAATGCTGGAGGATGTAGATGAGGGGGGCATCCGGCCCTGGCACCTGGTGAAGCCAAGTGATGAGCCGGAGCCGCCCAGGCCTCGGAGGGGCAGCCTTCGGGGCGGGGAGCGTGAGCGCGCCAAGGCCATCCCTGAGATCTACCTGACCCGCCTGCTGTCCATGAAGGTGGGGTGGGGCTGCCAAGGTAGTGGGGCCTGGGCTGAGAGGGAGCATGGCCACTCGTGGGATTTGGGGGTGGTGTGGGGCTCGTGCAGGCACAGTGCCGGGGGGTGTCTGAGGCTGGGCTGCTGCTGAGGGCCCTTTGCTGACCACACCTCTCTGCTTCTTCCTTCCCACAGGGCACCCTGCAGAAGTTCGTGGATGACCTGTTCCAGGTGATTCTCAGCACCAGCCGCCCCGTGCCGCTCGCTGTGAAGTACTTCTTTGACCTGCTGGATGAGCAGGCCCAGCAGCATGGCATCTCCGACCAGGACACCATCCACATCTGGAAGACCAACAGGTGGGGTGGAGCTGGGTGGGCTCTAGGTGTGTGTGGGGGGTCTTCTCTTCTGCCTCCCCAGCACATTCATCGGCCATGCCTGCCCCACCCGCAGCTTGCCTCTGAGGTTCTGGATCAATATAATAAAAAACCCGCAGTTTGTGTTCGACGTGCAAACATCTGATAACATGGATGCGGTGCTCCTTGTCATTGCACAGACCTTCATGGACGCCTGCACCCTGGCCGACCACAAGCTGGGCCGGGTGAGCGAGTCTGGGATGGACACGGGGGGATGGGTGAGGGTGGACAGTGCTGTGTGTGCACTCAGATTCCAGGCTTTTCTGAGAACTTCAAGGAGGGCTTAGGGGAGACCTCTGACCTCCCAAGCCAAGGCTTCATCCCGGGGCCACCTCAGTTTTAAGGGATGAGCAAGAGGAGGGGACACTGTGTGCCAATTCACAGGTGAAGTTGTGTGCAGCAAGTACAGCCTGGTGTGGCTGGGGCATAGAATGCTGGCCAGGCGTGGCAGTAGGCCAGGGCCAGTTGGTCAGGACTCACTCCTGGGGCAGTGGGAGCCACAGAAGGTCTGGGAACAGGGAAGTTATGTGACCAGACCTGAGAGTTTGGTGGAACATTGTGGCTGCTGTGCATGGATGAGCTGAGTGAGGGAGTCCCAAGAGGGCGCTGTGCTGTCCTGACAAGCAGTGGCTGGGTTCAAGCCGGGTGGGAGGGTGCAGGGCAGGCAAAAGCTGAAGGTTGGATGTGGGGGATGAGGAAGAAGGAGGGGAGTCACACATGATCCCTGGGCCTCTGGCTGTGGTAAGCTTAGACTTGGAGAAGGTGAGTCTGGTGTTTGTGGGGTTTCCAGATAGAGACATGGATTGTTCAATCCCAGAGCAGCTCTGGGCTGCTGATTGGGTTTAATTCCTTAGGGTGGTGGAGGTGTCTGCCTGCCAGTAGGGAAGTAGGGAAGAGAGTTCATGGAGTGTCACAGTTTGAGGGATGTGTGAGGAGGGGAGCTGGGAAGCACAGGAGACTGAGTAGTTGGAGCCGTCCGGGAGCACAGAGGTTGGGAGTCTATTGTCATAGCAGTCAAAGCCGAGAGTCCCCTGACATATGAGGTCCCCAAGGTGTCTGCTCAAGCACCCAGTGGGCAGGGCCCTCGTGTGACTCTGCAGGTCCATGAGTGGGGCTCTGCTTAGCCTAGACCCCCAGGTCTCAGTTGGCTTGGGACTTCTTGAGAGATACATCCCTACACCTCTGGGAAAAATCAAAATTAGCTTGGCACGGTGGCTCACACCTAGAATCCCAGCACTTTGGGAGGCTGAGGTGGGCAGATCGCCTGAGGAGCTCAGGAGTTTGAGACCAGCCTGGGCAACATGGCAAAACCCTGTCTCTACAAAAAATACAAAAATTAGCCAGGAGTGGTGGTGTGTGCCTGTGGTCCCAGCTACTAGGGAGGCTGAGGTGGGAGGATGGCTTGAGCCTGGGAGGTTGAAGCTGCAGTGAGCCATGACTACTCTGTTCACTGCACTTCAGCCTGGGTAACAGAGCGAGACCCTGTCTGAAAACAAAAACAAAAACGGAAAGTTCTGTCCAAAATTGTAGCACTGTCTTTTGGGAGCCATTTTTGTTCCACATGCTGTCATCATGCCTATAATGAGCTAAGAATCAAAGGGCCACACCAGGACCCGCAGGGCCACCTCCAGGGTAGACCCTATGTGGTGGCTGGGATTTTTGCCAGATCCTTCCAGTACCTCCCCTTCCCAGCAGAACAGCAAATGGTTCCTGGGTAGCTCAGGAGTAGTCCGAACAAAGAATGCCAAGGGTTCCCCCATGGGGAGTTGTCAAGAAGGCGCGAATCCTGACTCAGGTTGACAGAGGAGCTGGCCTTGGATCCCTGCTCATGGGGGACAGTGCCACCTCGAGATATTCTCACCTTCCCAGCAGCTCTAGGATGAGGAGAGGTCCTGAGAATAGAAGTATGCTGCCCAGAGCCCATGGCTGCTGGGACTTGAACCCAGTTCAGTTGTAGACGCTGTGTCTAGGTGTGTTAAAGTGGTGGAAACTGGACAGACCTGCTTCAAATCCTAGCTCAGCCACTGGGGAGAGAGGTGGTCTGTGGCCGCTTAGGTAATGTTCTGGGTCTGTTTGCTCATTTTTAAAATGATGACCCTGGGAGTGAACAGCATGCGTCCTGCCCTACGTACCGGGCTCTTGCTGGATCTAGATGGTGGCATGTGGAGCTGAGAAATGATTTCCGATGACATCAGAGACTGGACATTGGTGGAAGGGAGGGAGCAGCAGAGGCTCCTGCGGAAGGAAGTAGGCGAGGGTGACCACCTGTCCTGGTTTTCCGGGACTCAGGGGCTTCCTGGGATGTGAGACTTTTCCTTTTCAAAACTGAAGCAGTACTGGGAAACCCAGGACACTTGATCACTCGAACAGGGACCCTCATCCTTCCTTCCTTCCTCTTTTGCTGTCCTCCTGCTATGTCCAGGACTCCCCGATCAACAAACTTCTGTATGCACGGGACATTCCCCGGTACAAGCGGATGGTGGAAAGGTACTGGAGGGCACGGTGGGTAGAGGTTGGAGGGCGTGTGCAGCTGAGGCTTGGGGGGTGGGCTCTGGTTGGGAGCAGGGGAGTGGGCTTGTTTACCCAGCAGCTGCTGTGCCCTGGCTCTCTGGCAGGTACTATGCAGACATCAGACAGACTGTCCCAGCCAGCGACCAAGAGATGAACTCTGTCCTGGCTGAACTGTCCTGGGTAAGGCCTCCCTCTGCTTCTTGGGTTGGGCATAGGCCTCCTGCCACAACGGTCCTTCCCCCTTCACACTGCCCCTTTGCAGGGAAGCCCTTGGGAACCTCAGCAGCCCTGTGAGCTGGTTGGGGCAGGAAACATAAATGCAGAATGTTCCAACTGCCACTGAAAGACCAGGGCTCCCACCATCTCATCACAGAGCAAGCAGGGGTCTTGTCCTGGCAGCTGCCATGTACCCTGATTCAGCCAGGCTCTTGCAAGGTAGCTGGGATTCAGCCCCAGGCCTGCCTGGGTCTGCCTGCATGCGTCTTCCCACTGCTGTGCTTCCCTTGGTGGCACAGGTGTCCCCTTCACCTCTCCCATTCCTGAAACCGCCCTAAAATGTAACTCCAGGGAGTTTATGAACAATGTTTCTGAAATGTTGATGATGACAACCACAACACTAATAGCAGATATAATTTTGGGGTGTTGTGTGTGAAGCCCTTCATGGGGTGCTTTGATTGTCTTATTTGATCCTCACAAGAACTCCACAAGCTAGGTGACACCAATTCCATCGTCCAGGTGAGGAAGTTGAGGCTCAGAGATGTCCCCATGGAGGGGCCTGAGAGTGACCTCAGGAAATACTTGAGTTAGGCCAGAGCAGAATCATGCTGGGCTGTCAGCCTGCAAGTGGCATCTGTGCCACTTGGCTCTGGAGTCATCTGGGTGGCAGAGGGTCTGGGCTAGAACCTCAAGGGGGTGAGAGAGGCAGGGCTTCAGTGGAAACCCCAGACCTTGCTGAAGCAGGTAGACCTGGGCTGTCTTCCTACCAAGGAGGCCCCCTTGCTCTACCCTGTTCTGTCCCCATCTGGCACACCTGGCCTGGGGTCCCTGGGCCATGGAGGGGACTCTGCTTCCCACTGTAGTGCCCATCCCATTCTCTACCTCTCAGGTCCCCTTCTCCCCCAGCCCTTCCCTGGGGTCCTGGGCTGCCTCCTGTGGCTCTCTGCACCCCTCGTCTCTCTCACCTTTCATTTGGCCTCTTCCCTAGAACTACTCCGGAGACCTCGGGGCGCGAGTGGCCCTGCATGAACTCTACAAGTACATCAACAAGTACTATGACCAGGTGGGCAGGCCCTGGACCCCGACTGGGAGGCTGACCCAAGGCCTCCCAGGAGACTTAAGGGGCTCTGACCCTGTGACTCACGTTGGGGGCTTTGGTCTTCCCCAGGGACAGAGTAGTGGGGGGCCGGGCCCCTTGGTGGCTTGAGAAGTGTTTTCCAGGCGGGCTTCCTGGCATTGGCTGTGCTCTCACCTGTCCCACTGCTCCCCATTCCAGCTCCCCAGCAGGACGGCGAGGCACAGTGCTGGTGGTTGTGGGGGCCAAGGGGTCTACCAGGGCCTGGAGATGGTGTGCATTTGCTGAGTTGGCAGCATGTTGGGCACGGCCAACATGCAAGTGCAGGCCTGGCTTGGCTGCATGAGCTGCGAAGAGGAGAGTCCAGGCACAGGGCCAGGGGTGTGAGGGTACACTGGAGCTGGTGAAGCTTTTTGGAGGATCCCTGGGCTGTGCCTGAAGAGCTGAGCACCTGCCAGTCAACCTGCTGGATGCCTGGTGGAATAGTCCACTTAGATGTTTGTGTGGCACCAGTGACATGGCTATTGCTGCTCAGAGATGAGGAACCTGTCTCATGGCCCACAGCCTTCCTCGGCATGGTGTGGGCCATGGCACGGGGCTTGGGGGAGGCAGGGTGTGATGCAGGCATGTCCCCTTGTGGAGACATAGTGGGCAGTAGCTGTTTTCCCAAGTGCTGCTGCCCTCCGGTTCCTACCGGTTCCCTTGGTGGCAGCCCCAAATTCGTGGTTCGTGTTTGATCAGTGTCTGTTTTCCCACCACGTGTCTGGTCATTCTTGGGTCTCTGCCCCTTGTCTGGCACCGGGCAGACAGGAACTTGGGAAATACTGTTGGCTGGCGGGTGGGTTAGCCAGGATGGCTGCAGCAGGGCTTCTGAGGAGCTCGCTACTGAGTCAGGTCCTTCATTTCCTACCTTATTCATCCTGGAACCCCGCGGTGACTTTGATGTTATTACCCCTCCCGCCAGCGAGGCCCTGAGGTCCCAGAAAGTACGTGAAGTGACCGGCTGGGTTTCTTGGCCTCCTACCCCACTCATGCCACAGCGTCTTAGGAGGGCTGTTGAATTTTGCAGCAAACACGTTGGCCAAAGAAGTCTCCCCTGATGGCATTGGTCTCTGTTTCAGATCATCACTGCCCTGGAGGAGGATGGCACGGCCCAGAAGATGCAGCTGGGCTATCGGCTCCAGCAGATTGCAGCTGCTGTGGAAAACAAGGTCACAGATCTATAGGAACCCAGGAGCCACGGCCTGCTGTTGCTTCAGCCTGGCCTGGGCAGCCCTGGAAGCTCGGAGGAGAGGCCACCTTCTTAGGTGCCTGTAGTGACTGACAAGCAGAGTTAGTGGAAGGTGACTCCCAGTCTCCTGGTGGCTCTGGCCTCGGCCCTGCTGGATCCACCTCCTAGACCCGGGGCCTCAAGGCTCATGGGGTAGTACCCAGCCTGCTCCCCGAGTCCAGCGACCCTGTGACACCGGTCTGCAGGGAGTTGGGGACTAAGGGCTTCCAGAGAGTGGCTGGAAGAGACTCCAGGCCCCTGGGGAGACTGTACTGTTCCTGAACACTGGCCTTGGCCACACTGGGATTCGGAGAGGAAGGAGGAGAGCCCCATGCTTCCTGTCTGCCTCCTCCACCATCCCTGACCTCAGTTGAGCTGCCTCTGGCCTTGTTGCTGCTGCCACATCCTAGGTCTAAGAGTTGAACGCCTCTCCTAGGCCACTACAAACTGACCCCTCAGCAGGGCTGGCTGCCACAGGGCTGCCCTGCCTCATAGGTAGCCATGGTGAGGGCTATCTGCTGCAGGGGGGTCTTGGGGAGAGTGGTGACTCCATTGACCCAGCTTTTCATTAAAGGATAACACACTGCACTGAGTCTGATGTGTGAGCCCGGCCTAGCCCCTGGCTACTAGGAGGACGGCAGCTATGCCCAGCAGGTACCAGGGGGAGGTGGTATCTATACTCTTGGGGAGTCTCATGGTTCCCCATCATATCCCAGACTGCAGGGCTGGCTGAGGCTCTCCTTGACGCCTGGGCAGGGTCTGGTGGGGTCAAAGCTTCCGTGAAGGAAGAACCCCATCTGGGGCAGGGCGGGTGACCGAGATAGAGGGGTCTACAGTCTCTTCAAGGGGGCCTGCTTTATCTGCAGTTTGCGTATTCTCACTTCTCCACTCATGTTCTATTTATCTTGAAAGGGACTAGGAAAGGATGACATAATTACAGGCAACTCTAGGCAGAGGGGGTCTCGAGGGCCATTTTCCATGGTCCTGTTCCTGGACTTAGGGTTTCTGTGTTGCCTTCCAAATCAGGGCATCCTAGGGCCGGCTCCTAAACTGTCTGCCTCCATGAAGGCCGCCTTATATGGTTCTTCCTGATTTGTACCTGGAGGTGAGCTTGGAGACTGTCTTATCTGGTCTCATGTTGCTAGTTGGGTCTGTAGGGCAGGGGGTTGATACTCCTCTTGACTTGAGACCACCCTCGGCCTTAGCAGAAGGCCAGCCCCCCATGGAACAGAAGAGATAGGGTGGCAGCTCTGCCTGGCAGATGAGAGGAAGGCCCTTCAGCCTTGAGGCCTTCAGAGGGATCATCCCTTTGGCCCTCTGCTTATCCTCCATAACCCAGTGACCCTTAGCATTTCCTCTCGTCTGGCACAGAGACCACAACCTCCCCTCGAGGTCTTCATTGAGTGTTTAGAGAGAGACAGACTGATAGAATTCCAGGAGGACTCCTATCCCCTGCCTTTTTTTGGCCCTAAATAAAGCCATCCACTGTAGGGTTGCCCCTACAATCCACAAAGTCCTTGTCCCTAAGGAGCCATGTTGGTCTTGTCTGTGCCGGGGGTAGTCATAGCTGCTATTCTTCGCTGTGGCTCCATTGTCCCTTCTTTCCCATTTCTGCCGGATGTGGGGACCACAGTCAGGTCAGCAGCCAGGTGCCATCATTTGGGAGCATGTGAGCTTGGATGCTCTGGCCAGGTTTTCATAGCCACCCAGAATGGTCCTGACTTTTCCCGTTGGAGACCATGGAATGGGTCTCCATCTTGACCATCTCTGGGAGCAGGGTGGATGGGAAATCCACTTGAGGGTGGACTTCAAGCAGACACAGAGGGAAGCAGCCTTGGTCAGCACCACAGACCTCGACAGAGCCATGCCTCTGTTCCAGAGGCCTCTCTGTTCCAGGTTCAGGCCCCTGCAGGTTTTAGGGGTAGGTGAAGGCTCCCGGGAGAGGGGGGCCATGTGCCTGCAAGCCTGGGCACGTGCCCGCGGGAGGGGTGAGTACTGAACGTGCTTTGAGTCACTCACTGAGTCATGGCTCAGCCGCCACAGAACATTGTTATAATAACAGACATAGAGAAGAAAAACCTGGCACAAGAAGATAGGAAATTCTGTCTTCACTCCAAACCATGACCAAGAATGGAGATTCCAACACCAGCAAGAATTTGTGATCGCTTAACTTGGGTCATGACCACAATTTCAGCATAGAACATTTGTAATTCAGTTTGATCAATCTTTTCCTAATTTTTATTAAGACTGCAACGAAAGTGTGCCCTCATTATTACATTTTTCACAAACCTGTTAGCATACAAAGGGCCTTTGTTTCTCATTACCACCCGGGGCTCCTTAAGGCGTTTTATGGAGTGATGTGCTTTATTAAAAAGCGTTTTCACCAACTTAAAAGTTGGAATAATTGTCCAAATGGTTACATGACCCAGGAGTTCTATATTTTTATTAATTTTCTGATACTGAAATAATCGTGCTAATTAAGATAACAGCTGAATTTATGCTGATGAATGTTGGAATTCTTAGAAGCCACCTGAAACCTTCCAAATGGTCAGGACCTGGATCCCACTGGCCAGTGCCAACAGGTGACTCTGGGTGGTGCTGGGGGATACAGGGAACCTAGCTGTGTTCTGCTTGGCACCAATGGCTGCTGATGCATGTGTTTCCTCCACCAGGTTCCCTAAGGATGCCACATTGAAGAACAAATACACCCCAAACTACCTAGGTCAGCTGACTGGCGATGTTTTATGGATCTCTCTTTAAAAGTGTTCTGTCGGCCAGGCGCAGTGGCTCACCCCTGTAATCCCAACACTTTGGGAGGCCGAGGCAGGCGGATCATCTGAGGTCAGGAGTTTGAGACCAGCCTGCCCAACATGGCAAAACCCCGTCTCTTCTAAAAATACAAAAAATTAGCCAGGTGTGGTGGCGGGCGCCTCTCATCCCAGCTACTCAGGAGGCTGAGACAGGAGAATCGCTTGAACCCGGGAGGCGGAGGTTGCACTGAGTCGAGATCGCGCCACTGCACTCCAGCCTGGGTGACGAGCAAAACTCCATCTCAAAAAAAAAAAAAAAAAAGTGTTCTCTGTCTTAATTAAGGATGATGGTTTATCCAATTCCAAATGTTTACCAAAAATCTAAGATAAGGATATCACCATGATGTTTGAAAGAGAATTTATGCCCTGGTTGTGATGTTGGGGTTTTATTGATAAGAGTTTCAGTTATCTGGATGATATGTGCACGTGTAAGGAAACAGAATGGTTTGCCAGTTGTCCAGGTGGCCATGAAGAGAACCTCTGGAGGTCTAGGAATGTGAAGCTCAGATTTTGGAAACCTGGTCCGGTGTCCTGGGCCACAGGTAAGTGGCTGAAGCTGGTGGTTTGCTGCCATCTTCTGGCCATAGTGTGGAATTTATCAGAAGCAGCTACCAATGAGGGTGTCTGGAGCTCTATAAATTGCAAGCCTGGGCAAGATAGCCAGACCCCATCTTTACGAAAACTGTTTAAAAATTAGCTGGGCATGGTAGCACACATCTGTAGTCTCAGCTATTTAAGAGGTTGAGGTGGGAGGATTGCTGGACTCCAGGAGTTTGAGGCTGCAGTGAAAGATTATGCCACTCCACTCCAGACTGGGTGACAGTGAGACCCTGTCTCTTCAAAAAAAGAGAGAGAGAAATCACAACAGTGGAATTCAGTAGTGCTGGAGCTTAGTGAGTAATCTTACCCTGTCTTTAACGTGAATTCTGGTTTTAGGGTGAGCTATGTCTTAGGACATAGTTGAGATAACAGTGAGTGACTAGTCAAGAAAACAGCCGGGCACAGTGGCTCACACCTGTAATCCCAGCACTTTGGGAGGCCAAGGTGGGTGGATCACTTGAGGTCAGGAGTTCGAGACCACCCTGATCAACATGGTGAAACCCCATCTCTACTGAAAATACAGAAATTAGCCGGGTGTGATTGTGTGCACCTGTGATCCCAGCTACTGGGGAGGCTGAGGAAGGAAAATCACTTGAACCTGGGAGGCAGAGGTTTCAGTGAGCTGAGATTATGCCACCACACTCCAGCCTGAGCTGAGATTATGCCACCACACTCCAGCCTGAGCTGAGATTATGCCACCACACTCCAGCCTGAGCAGCAGAATGAGACTCTGTCTCAAAAAGAAAACAACAACAACAACAACAAAAAACCAGAAACCACTCTAGGTGTTTCCAATGGAAGGAATTTAAATATAAGGGATTGATTATGAAAGTGTGTGAAGGACAAAAAGGGGAGTAGTTATCCAGCGGTGAGTGACTATAGAAGCCTCTGTCACCTATAAGCTGGCAAAGGGGGCAGCAGTGTTACCCACAGCCTCTGACTGCTGAGTCAGTGGCGCCCGTGGGAAGCCAGGAGCTGCATGCTGGCTGACGCTGCAGGTGCCTGGGAACCTGCTAACCTGGCCCCTCCACCCATGCTGGTGAGTTGGTGCTGCTGGGGCACCTGCTGCCCTAGTGAATGGGTGCCACCAGGAAGAGAGGATTCAAGCCTGTCTTGCTCAAGACCTCCTCCACCACCAGACTTGCCTCAAGATCTCAGGCCCAAGAAGCCCCAGGGAGTGGAGTGACAGGAGCCTTGCTCTGGGAGGCAGGAGACCTGGATTCTAGTTCCTCCTCCTCTCACTGACTGGGCCTCTGGAGAGAAGGGCAGGGACATTCTGGCATGTGGCAGGAGCCACTCTGTGTCATGGGGTTGGATCCCAAGCTGGCACCTGGCAGGATTTAATGAAGAAACATTTATCAAGTGCTGGATCAGTCCAGCTCCTGGCAGGAAACTGACAGCATGTACCAGGAAAGATGCAGCTGGAAGAGAGTTTAATGAGGGGACTACTTACAGAGCTGCAGGCTCTGGGAAGCCAATAAGGGATGGTGAAGCACAGCTGTTACCAGTCCTGGGCTCTAGGGGTAGGGACAGAGTAGTCATCAGGACCAGTGGGGCTGTGGCTAAAGGTGGAAGCTTCAGAGGGAGGATGCTGGGGGAATAATTACCCTGGCCTCTTGTTCCTCCCCACTGCCCAGACTCCTGCCAGCCCGTCCCGTTGGCCAAGCCACCTGAAAGCCAGAGGGCAGGGGAGCCTGAATGGCAGGGCAGCCTCTGGACTGCTGAGTGGTGAAGAAGTGGGCAGAAAACTGCCTCTGGCCTGAGGACCTGCTGTCCTGGGAGGCACCTAGCAGGTGCTTTGTCATTCAAGGCCACAAGGTCACGGCCATAGCAGTACTTGGTTTCCAGCCCCCTGGCTTGCAGAATTTTCCACCGCACTCCATGCCCTAGTGCTCCTTGGGCGGTGCTGCACTGTCCACCTGAAGGACCTTGGAAACACCAAATTTTGGGGGCTGACTGGGCCTCTTCACCTTATCTCCAGGTTGGGTGGGATGCTGGGTGTGCAAATAGGGACCCAAGGAAGACTCCACACTACAGGCTGTGTCTACAGCTTCATCTCAGGGCAGAAGTCAGCAGGGCCAGGCACAGACCCATCCGGAGCTGGGGGAGGGGCAGGACGCCTGGTTCTCTACACCCAAAGAAATGTGTGTGGGGCACTCCCAAGCCCCCACGCAGAGACAAACCCTCGCGCCTGCGCCCAGCCCAGGTTGCTGACTGGAGTGGAGGCAGCAGAACTCTGTGTGTGTGTGTGTCTGTGTGTTTGATGTATATGTTTGAAGTGTGTGTGTAGCATTGGGGACAGGCAGAGGCTCTGCTCAATGGGGAATGATGTTCTGGTGGAACACCCCATGGACTTGGAGCTTGAGAAGTGGGCTTTGGCCAGGCCCTGGCACTGACCACCTAGGAACAGTCATCTTTTCCAAGCTTCTGGTTCCTCTTCTGTAAGGTGTGAGTCCCTAACCACCTTTCCAAAGACAGCATCCTGTGCAAGCTGTCACGGGAGGGGGAAGGGCCCTGGTGACCCTCAGGGCCTCTAGAGCCTGTGGGCAAGAGCTGGCCCTCCATGCCAAGGTGCCAGGCCTAACCCTGGTGAAGAGTGACCCAACTGGGCGACTGCCTGAGGCCTCAGAGGAGGACAAGGAGAAGGTGCACAGCAGCAGGGTGCACACCTTGCCCTGGCCTCTCCTAGGGTAGAGGACGGTGTGAGCCCCCAGAGGCTGTCATCCAGCCTGAGAGGTTTCTTGGCTCTTCCTCCCATGCCCAGGGTTCTCCCAGACTGCAGAGCAAGATCCAGGCTCCACACAATGCCAGAGGCCCTGCCTCTATCTTCTCTCTGGCCAGCGGCCCTATCGCTAACCCCACACATGAAGGATACTGCTTTGGCATCATCGTTTGTGAGGGCCAGGCTGGGGAAGGGTGGAGAGAGTGTCCTTCCCTGGGGAGGCTGAACCCAGGGAGATGGAGTGACATGCCCCAAAAACACAGCAAGTGGGACTAGAACCCATGTCTCCAGATGGAACCCCAGGCTCCCACTGCTCCATGCTGTGCAGGTTACACCTCCCACCCTGCCGCTCTCTCCGGGGGCCTCAGTCCACCTCCTGAGCCCATGTCCTCAGTCCATGATTGGACCGGGTCCCTGGGTCCCTTGGAGGACCAGCCAAGCCCAGGTCCTTCTTTGCTTCTTACTCCCCACCCCAGTCTCCTTGTTCTTCAGTCTTTTGCTTTCCCACTGGCTCCCTTCTCACACCTCCCATGGCTGTGCCCATTTCTCCTTTTAACTCTGTCAACTTTTGGATCCTATATTTGAAGCAAGGCATGCATATATATTTTAAATTTTATTATCTCTGTTTTGATCTTTTTGTCATAAAAAATTCGTTTTTATTTCTAATAATACTTCCTGCCTTAAAGTCTACATTTCCTGTTTGAATGATGTTCAGTGTCCATTGTGTAAATTCTCATGTGGTAATTTCCTTTAAGAAATTATTGAGGGGCCAGGCACAGTGGCACATGCCTGTAATCCCAGCACTTTGAGAGGCTGTGGTGGGATAATTTCTTGAGCCCAGGAGTTCGAGACCAGCCTGGGAAGCATGGCAAAACCCTGTCTCTACAAAAAAAAAAACAAAAATTAGCCAGGGGTGTTGGTGCATACCTGTAATCCCAGTTACTCAGGAGGCTGAGGTGGGAGGATCACATGAGCCTGGGAGGTTGAGGCTGCAGTGAGTCAAGATTGCACCACTGCACTCCAGCTTGGGTGACAGAGTGAGACCCTGTCTCGAAGAAAAAGAAATTATTGAGGGCAGGGTGGTGGCACACGCCTGTAATCCCAGCACTTTGGGAGGCTGAGGCAGGAGGATTGCTTGAGCTCAGGAGGTTGAAGCTACAATGAGATGTGTTTGCACCACTGCACTCCAGCTTGGGTGACAGAGTGAGACCCTGTCTCAAGAAAAAAAGGAGAAGCTACTGAATTGCAGTAAAACCGTGTGCTTCTATGAGGGGATAAAGTATTTACTTGTGGCTGGGCACGGTGGCTCACGCCTGTAATCCCAACACTTCGGGAGGCCGAGGCGGGAGGATCACCTGAGGTCAGGAGTTCGAGACCAGCCTCAACATGGAGAAACCCCGTCTCTACTAAAAATACAATTAGCCAGGCGTGGTGGTGCATGCCTGTAATCCCAGCTACTCGGGAGGCTGAGGCAGGAGAATTGCTTGAACCCAGGAGGCGGAGGTTGCGGTGAGCCAAGATCGTGCCATTGCACTCCAGCCTGGGCAACAAGAGCGAAACTCCATCTCAAAAAAAAAAAAAAAAGCACTTACTCGTAACCCAGGAAAATATATTAGTTTCCAGATTAACATATTTTGCTGCTTTTCAAATTATGGTTTCTAAATATTTCATTTTTTTCTCCTTTTTAAGTTTATGCCAAAATAATCTGAGGTATTGCTAATCTTTCAAATGTGAGATTTCCAACAATCACAAAGGAAAATATTAATTCTCCTGAAAGCAGCATTTTGGTAATGGTATTATATAAACTTATTTGAATTATTTTATCTCCCTTTTTTTCTGATACAGAGTTTCGCTCTTGTGGCCCAGGCTGGAGTGCGATGGCGCAATCTCAGGTCACTGCAGTCTCCGCCTTCTGGGTTCAAGCGATTCTCCTGCCTCAACCTCCCGAGTAGCTGGGATTACAGGCGCCTGCCACCATGCCCGGCTAATTTTGGTATTTTTAGTAGATACTGGGTTTCACCATGTTGGCCAGGCTGGCCTTGAACTCCTGATTTCAGGTGATACGCCAACCTCGGTCTCTCAAAGTGCTGGGATTACAGGCATGAGCCACCACACCTGGCCTCTTATTGAGTTTTGAGAGCTCTTTATATATTTGGGATACAGATCTGTAGGGGTTTGAGGGATCTGGGAGCTGATCAAAGAAAAAGATGCGACCATGGGAGGCAGCAAACTTTACTGAGTGGGGCTTGAGTAGGGTTGTGTGAGAGGGAAGTTCCTCATAGCATGAGACTGTCTAGAGGCTTGAGGTGCAGGAGCCACCATCCAGAAGGGGAGGAGAGCAAGGGAACACTTGGAGAGGAGATGGGAGTGGGGACCTTTGTGTCTAGGTGATGTTGCTCAGCAGCAGGGGCGTGGGAGCAGATGGGAATCTTTGGGTCAGAGAGCTCTGAATGGCTGTAGCAGCCTAGGCTGTTATAACCAGAAGGCACTATCTTACCAAAGGGCAATAGCCGTCAGATGAGGTCTGTGGGGAGGGATGGGATGGGAGAGCCACAGACTGGAGAGCCAATTCATCTACTTAAAAAGAAAAAAACTGTGCCCCAAATTATAATAGTTCCTTTATTAAACCTTCCTCAAATTACCTTAATTTGTATGTGTCATCTTTATCATCCTGGGACCTTGACTGATATAAACCCCAAATGTGACTTTGGTTATGGTTAGGAATTCTCTGAAGATAATTGTTTCTCTGTCTTGATTTCACCCATCTCTGAAGCTGAGGGAGGTAGCTGTTCATCCTTCTCTAACGAATAGATTTTCCCTCAGTTTACCTACAAGGAGTATTACTTTTCTGAGGGTCCCGGATCTTGTAGATTTCTGATCTCACCACCAATTTGGTGGAGGCCTGTATTTCATCATGTAGCCTTTGGAATTCTATGAAATAAGACATTAACTTCAGCATTTGTTGAATTTTCTGGATTTTTTTCATTCTCCAATTTTGGAAGTTTCTATTCTATTCCAGCCATCTAACCATGGATTTTTTTAGTTTTGCTTTGTGTTTGCAGTTTTGAACAATGCTGAGGTGCTATGCATTTCCACCATGTTTCTGGAAAATGAAAACCCAACAGCAATTCAATTTTACCCCCTTTTTAACCTAAGTTATCTGGGAATTGCAGATCCTTGTGGGATCCTCTACTTATTCCTGTTCCCTTTGGCAAGTGACATTCTTTGTACATGATTCTACACATTTCTCTCCCTCTGTCTTATCTTCTACTTTGGTCTCCACTGCCCATGTATTACCTTATAGACTCTGTTCTCTTATAATCAAGAAAATGGCTTAACCAGATCTCTTCAGCCATGTCATATGTCCACTTTCATTGTTCTTTAATTTTCCTTTTCTTCTGAGACAGGGTCTCACTCTGTTGCCCAGGCTGGAGTGCTATGGCACAATCACAGCTCACTGCAGGCTCAAACTCCTGAGCTCAAAGGATCCTCCCACCTCAGCCTCCCAAATAGCAGGGACTATAGCCATGTGCCACCACTTCAGGCCACAGCATCTAAATTTCACTAAAATAATCATTCTGGGCTTGCAAATAGAATTTCTTTACTACATTGCAGAAGATGATGCAAGGTCAATTTTGTTAGTTTCCATATTACGTATTCAAAGAATACATCACCAGAATGCTGGAGTCACTTACTTTCCTCACCCTAAGTACTATGCTTGCATTATCACACATCACACTGGAGATGCAGCTGTCAATGGAAAAATAAGATCATCAGTGAACAAAAGAGAAAGTAGGTACATCCATTGTTAATACTGACTTAGAACTTGACTAAGATATCAATACTTTCCAAATTAATTGGTCCTTCGTGCTCTTAGATTTGGTTTTGAATAACTACATAAAATCAGGGAAAGTTACACTGATTATTATTTGCAGGAATAGCAATCACAACCTGCTCTCAAATATTATTGCCAGAATTGTCAGTATCTGATTTGACAGATTATCTGGTTTAATGATGATTAGAGAGGTTGTTTTTTTGTTTGTTTTTGTTTTTGTTTTTCCTGAGACAGGGCCTCGCTGTGCTGCCCAGGCTGGAGTGCAGTGGCACCATGTCAGTTCACTGCAACCTCCATCTCCTGGGTTCAAATGATCCTTCCAACTTAGCCTCCCAAGTAGTTGGAACTACAGGCACGCACCACCACGCCCAGCTAATTTTTAAAAATATTATCTTGTAGGCCAGGCACGGTGGCTCACGCCTGTAATCCCAGCACTTTGGGAGGCCGAGGTGGGTGGATCACAAGGTCAGGAGATCAAGACCATCCTGGTTAACACAGTGAAACCTCGTCTCTACTAAAAATACAAAAAATTAGTCGGCGTGGTGGTGCACGCCTGTAGTCCCAGCTACTCGGGAGGCTGAGGCAGGAGAATTGCTTGAACCCGGGAGGCGGAGGTTGTAGTGAGCCGAGATCGCGCTACTGCACTCCAGGCTGGGTGACACAGCAATATTCCATCTCAAAAAAAAAAAAAAGAAAGAAAAAAAATATTTTCTCATAGAGATGGGGTCTCAGCATGTTGCCCAGGCTGGTCTCAAAGTCCTGCACTCAAGCGATCTGCCTGCCTTAGCCTTCCAAAGTGCTGGGATTACAGGCGTGAGCCATTGTGCCCAGCCCTGGATTTTTATTTTAAAATAGAATTCTGCTCCCTTTTGAGTATACCTGCTCTACTCCAATTGAATATCATAAGAGATGCCACGCTTCCCTCCCCACTGTATGATGAGGAAATGGTGGGAGCATAGCTCTGTTGTTGATTCTTGTTCTGTATTAATGAAGTGACACTTTTACCCCTCTCCACCAGAAGCCCAGGTAGGGTTAGTACCCTGTTGACCATCCCTGCCTTGCACTAACTCAAGTAAAGGTGACACTTCTCCCCCTCCCCACCAGGCCCTGAAGACACTGAGATGGAGTCCTGTCGACTATCTCCCCCGGTGCACTGACGTGAGTAGAAATGGTACCCCAGGCCAGGTGTGATGGCTCACTTCTGTAATCCCAGCACTTTGGGAGGCCAAGGCGGGTGGATTACCTGAGGTCAGGAGTTTGAGACCAGCCTGACCAACGTGGCAAAACCCAGTCTCTACTAAAAATACAAAAATTAGCTGAGCATAGTGGTGCATGCCTGTAGTCCCAGCTACTTGGGAGGCTGAGGCAGAAGAATTGCTTGAAACCGGGAGGTGGAGGTTGCAGTGAGCTGAGATCATGCCACTAGCACTCCAGCCTGGACAAGAGAGTGAGACTTTGTCTCAAAAAAAAAAAAAAAAAAAAAAAAAAGGGTACCCCTTCCTCTGCCCACAAAGCACTGCAGAGATAATAGCTGAAAACATCCCCAAATTCGTAGACCTATAGATTCAAAAAGTTAATCAAACCCAAACAGGTTAAACTCGAAGAATTTCATACCAGACATATCCTAATCAAATTTCTGAGAATTAAAAACAAAGGAAATAACTTGTACTCAACCAGAGCAAAATGACACATTATCTAGAGAGATATAGAGATTTGAACGACAATGGATTTCTCAGACATCATGGAAGTCAGAAGGAAGAGGCACAACATTTTTCAAATGCTGAAAGAAGTTAATATACCAATTAAAACAGAGTATCCCTGGTCAGCAGCATAATGTTATAAACAAACAACAAATAAAGCACACAGTGTAGAAGGACCCCAAATAGTCAAAGCCATCTTGAGCAAACCTCATTAGCACATTTGCTGGAGGCATCACATTACCAGATTTAAAAATACATCACAAAACTATAGTAATCAAAACATCATGGTTCTTGTGGGCTTTTTTTTTTTTTTTTTTTTTTTTTGAGACTGAGTGTTGCTCTGTCACCCAGGCTGGAGTGCAGTGGCACAATCTCAGCTCACTGCAAGCTCCATCTCCTGGGTTCATGCCATTCTCCTGCCTCAGCCTCCTGAGTAACTGGGACTACAGATGCCCGCCACCATGCCCAGCTAATTTTTTGTATTTTAGTAGAGATGGGGTTTCACCGTGTTAGCCAGGATGGTTTCGATCTCCTGACCTCGTGATCCGCCTGCCTTGGCCTCCCAAAGTGCTGGGATTATAGGCATGAGCCACCATGCCTGGCCGGTTCTTGTGTTTGTATCCCCAGAGACAAACCGTAAACAAACAAAAAATCCAGCATGGTACTGACATACATACAGATACATTGTCCAGTGGAATGGGATAGAAGGCCCAGAAATAAACCCTCACATTTAAGGTCAATTGATTTTTTTTTAAAACAAAAGTACCAAGAACAGTCAATGGAGAAAGGACAGTCTCTTCAATAAATGGTACTGGCAATGAAAAAGGAAAACTACAGGCTAATATCCCTGATGAACATAGACGCAAAAATCCTCAAGAAAATAGTAGCAAACTGAATCCAACAGCAAATCAAAAAGCTAATTCACCATGATCAAGTAGGCTTCATTCCTGGGAGCAAGGTTGGTTCAACACATGCAAGTCAATAAATATGATTCCCCACATAAACAGAATTAAAAACAAAAAACCATATGATCATCTCAATAGACACAGAAAAAGCTTTCAATAAAATCCAGTATCCCTTTGTGACAAAAACCCTCAAGAAACTAGGCACTGAAGGAGCATACCTCAAAATAAGAGCCATCAATGACAAATCCACAGGCAACGTCATAATGAATGGGTAAAAACTGGAAGCATTCCCTTTGAGAACTGGAACAAGACAAGGATGCCTACTCTCACCACTCCTAGTAAACATAGTAGTGACTAGTAGTGATTAGTAGTGATAGTAGTGATTGCTCTAGCTAGGAAGTCCTAGCTAGAGCAGCCAGCCAAGAGAAAGAAATAAAGGGCATCCAAATAGGAAAAGAAGTAAAACTATCTATTTGTGGACAATATGACAATATGATTGATTTTATATATATATGTGTGTGTGTGTGTGTGTGTGTGTGTGTGTGTGTGTGTATAGATAGATATAATATGTATTTTTTAAATCCCCCCAGAGAGGGTCTTGTTGTGTCACTCAGTCTGGAGTGCAGTGGCACAATCATGGCCCATTGCAGCCTCAACCTCTGGGCTCAAGTGATCTTCACATCTCAGCTTCTTGTGTAGCTGGGACCACCAGTGCACACCACCATGCCTGGCTATTTTTTTTTTTTTTTTTTTTTTTTTTTTTGTAGAGACAGGGTCTCTGTATGTTGCCCAGGCTTGTCTCGAACTCCTGGGCTCAAGTGATCATCTTGCCTCAGCCTCCCAAAGTGCTGGGAATACAGGCATGAGCCACTATGCTCCAAGACAATATGATTCTATACAAAGAAAACCCTAAAGACTCTGCCAAAATGCTCCGGGAACTGAAACCAACTTCAATAAGTTTTCAGGATACAAAAATCCATGTATAAAAATCAGTGGCATTTCCATATACTGATAATGTTTAAACTGAGGGCCAATCAAGAATGAAACCTCATTTACAACAGCACCCCACAAAATAAGTTACCTAGGAATACATCTACCCAAGGAGGTGAAAGATCTCTACAAGGAGAACTACAAAACACTGCTAGAAGCAATCATAGGCCAGATGTGGTGGCTCACGCCTGTAATCCCAGCACTTTGGGAGGCTGAGGCAGGCGGATCACTTGAGGTCAGGAGTTTGAGACCAGCCTGGCCAACATGCAAAACCCCATCTCTACTAAAAATACAAAAATTGGCCAGGTGTGGTGGCACGTGCCTGTGGTCCCAGCTACTTGGGAGGCTGACGCAGGGGGATCTTTTGAACCTGGGAGGTGGAGGTTGTAACGAGCCAAGATTGTACCACTGCACTCCAGCCTGGGCAACAGAGTAAGACTCTGCCTCAAAAAAAAAAAAAAAAAAAAAAAAAAGAGGAAATCCTAGGTGACATTAAAAAACAAATGCAAAAACATTTCATGCTCATAGAGTAGAAGAAGCAATTATCATTAAAATGGCCACACTGCCCAAAGCAATCAACAGATTCAGTGTTATTCCTATCAAACTGCCAATGTCATTTTTCACAGAACTAGAAAAAAACTATTCTAAAATTTATATGGTATCAGGAAAGATCCTGATTCCATATTAAATAGCCAAAGCAATCTGGAGGAAAAAGAAGAAAGCCAGAGACATCAATTATCTGACTTCAAACTATACTATAGGCTATAGGCTAAACAAGGCTATAATAACCAAATTAACATGGTATTGGTACAAAAACAGAATAAAGATTCAAGGAACAGAATAGAGAACCCAGAAATGAAGCCACACACCCACAGCCAACTGATCTTCAACAAAAGTTGACAAAAATAAACAATGGCGTAAAGACTCCCTATTCAATAAATGGTGCTGGGATAGCTGACTAGCCATATGTAGAAGAGTGAAAGTGGACCCCTACTTTTCACCATACACCAAAATTAACTCAAGACAGATTAAAGGTTTAGATGTAAGACCCCAAACTATAGGAGTCCTAGAAGAAAACCTAAGAAAACACTATTCTAGACATCAGTGTTGGCTTTGGGAAAGAATTTATGACTCAGTCCTCAAAAGCAATTGCAATGAAAACAAAAATCGGTAAGTGGGACCTAATTAAAAGAACTTCTGCACAGGCTGGACACGGTGGCTCACACCTGTAATCCCAACACTTCGGGAGGCTGAGGCGGACAGATCACTTGAGGTCAGGAGCTCAAGACCAGCCTGGCCAACATGGTGAAACCCTGTCTCTACTAAAAATACAATTAGCTAGGTGTGGTGACACATGCCTGTAATTCCAGCTACTTAGGAGGCTGAGGCAGGAGAATCACTTGAACCTAGGAGACAGAGGTTGCAGTGAGCCCAGATTGTGCCACTGTACTCCAGCCTACGTGACAGAGTGAGACTCCATCTCAAAAACCAAACAAAACAAAAAAAGGTTTTGCACAGCAAAAGAAACTATCAACAGAGTAAACAGACAACCTATAGAATGGTAGAAAATATTCACAAATCAAGCATCTGACAAAGGCCTAATATTCAGAACCTCTAAGGAACTTAAACAACTCAAGTAAAAAACAAACCCATTAAAAAATGGGCAAACATGGACAGCTCAATGCAGCCTTGAACTCCTGGGCTCAAGCAATCGCCTAACCTTGGCCTCTCAGAGTGGTGGGATTACAGGGATGAGCCACCATGCCTGATGATCTCACTTATACATGGAATCTAAATAAATTAGACTCGTAGATGTAGAAGATAGAATGGTGTTTACCAGAGGCCAAGCAGGGTCAGAGCAGGGGGTTAGACAGGGAACAGGGAGGTGTTGGTCAAAGGGTACAAAGTTTCAGTTCTTCAGGAGGAATAAATTCTGGTGAGCATGGTGGCTATAGTTAATAATAGCATATTGTATATTTCAGAATAGCTCAAAGAAATTTTAAATGTTTTCACCACAAATAAATGATAAATATTTGAAGTGATGGATAAGTTAATTAGCCCGATTTGATCATTTCAGCGTATACATGCAAGAAAACATCATATTGTACCCCATAAATATATACAAATATTCTTTGTCCATTAAACTTTTATACTTAAACTTAAAAGACAGATTAGCATAATGGATAAAAAGCATGACCCAACCAGATTCTATCTACAAGAAACTCACTTCAAATATAATGATATAAGTAGATTGGAAGTAAAAGAATGAAAAACAATATAACATGCAAATATTAACCAAAATAAAGCAGGAGTGGCTAAATTAGTATTAGATAAAGTAGACCTCAGGGCAAAGAAGATTACCAGGGACAAGGAGAGACATTACACAAAAACAAAAGGGCCAATTAACCTAGAAGATATATTAATCCTAAATGTGTATGCAGCAAGTTACAGAGCTGCAAAATACATGAAAACTAATAGAACAAAGAGGATAAATAATCCGTAATAGGAAATTCAACAGTCTCTCAATTGATAGAATCACTAGACTGAAAATCAGAAAGGATAGAAAAGAACTGAAGAAGATCAACCAAGGTGATCTAATTGTTACTTATAAAACATTGTGCCCAACAAGAGAAGAACACACATTCTTTTCAAGCTCACATGGAACATTCACCAAGATAGAGCATATCTTGGGTGACAAAACAGATTTTAACAACTATAAAAGAATGAAGAAAATATGGAATATGCTCTCTGGCCCTAACTGCTTTAAATTAGAAATTGATGACCAAAAAGACCACAATAAAATCTCCAATCTTGGAAATTAAACATACTTTAGAATAGTCCATGGCTCAAAGAGGAAAAGGGAAATAAGTATATGGAACTGAATGAATGAAAATCAAAATCTGAGGATTGCAGCTAAAGCAGTGTTTAATGGAGAATTTAGAACACCAAATGCTTATATTTTAAAAAGAGGTCAGAAATCAATGATCTAAACATCCACCTTAAGAGACTAATAAATGTCAGGCACAGTGACTCATGCCTGTAATCCCAGAACTTTGGGAGGCCTAGATAGGCAGATTGCTTGAGCCTGGGAATTCAAGACCAGTCTGGACAAACTGGCAAAACCCAATCTCCACAAATAAATAAATAAATTAATTAATTAAAAAATAGTCTGGCATGGTGGTACACCCCTGTAATCCAAGCTACTCTGGGAGGCTGAGGTGGGAGGATCACTTGAGCCCAGAAGGCAGAGGTTGTAGTGAGCTGACATAACACCCCATTGCACTCCAGCCTGACAGGTTGAGATTGTGTCTAAAAACAAACAAACAAACAAACTAGAAAAAATAGCAAAATAAAAGTAACCAGAAGCAAGAAAATAAAATTTAAGAGCTGACATAGACAAATTCAGAATAGCAAAATAGAGGTTGTTAAAAAAAAAAATAGAGACCAAAAGCTGTTTCTCTGAAAAAATAATTAAAATTAATAAGCCTCTAGTAAGGCTGACCAAAAAATACAAAACCAAAACCAAAACAAAAAAACACAGAAATGACACAAATTACCAGTATTACAAATTAAGGAGTTCATATTACAAATTTTACAGGCATTAAGAAGATTAAAAAACAAATCTACACACATTTGACAAGTTAGATAAAATGACTGATTGCTGGAAATTCAAACTGTAAAAACTCACCCATCATAAAATAGATAATCTGAGTTGTACTATAACTATTAAGGAATTTATAGTTAAAAGCTTTTCAAAAAAGTCATCTCCAGGCCCAGATTGTTCTACTGAAGTTTACTAAACATTTAAGGAAGAAATAACACCCTGAGGCAGGAGAATCGCTTGAACCCAGGAGGTGGAGGTTGCAGTGAGCCAAGATCATGCCATTGCACTCCAGCCTGGAGGACAAGAGCGAGACTTCGCCTAAAAAAAAAAAAAAGAAGAAGAAGAAGAAAACTACAAAATGATATCCTTCATGAACACAGAACCCAACAATCATCAAGTATTAAACTCAATTCACAATATGTAAAAAAAGTAATATAAAATGAGTAAGTGGGATTTAGTCTAGGAATGCAAGGCTGATTTAATGTTCAGAAATTCCATATATCCAATAAAATAAATGAAGAAAATCCACTTACAACAGCATCCAAAACTGAAATACTTGAGTAAATTGAACCAAGGCGGTAAAAGATGTATATACTGAAAACTATAAAACACTGATAAAAGAAAAAGAAGACATAAATAAATGGAAAGCTATCCCATATTCATGGATTGGAAGAATATTGTTAAAATGTCCATACTCCCCAAAATGATCTACAGATTCAATGCAATCCCTATCAAAATTTCAATGACCTTTTCCACAGAAATAGAAAAAGCAATCCTAAAATGACTATGGAACCACAAAAGACCCCAAATACTCAAAGCAATCTTGAGAAAGAATAAAGCTGGAGGTGGCATATTATCTGATTTCAAAACATATTATAAAGCTACAGTTATCAAAACAGCATGATATTGGCATAAAATCAGGCACAGTGACCAACAGCTCAGAATAAATGATCCCAGAAATAAACCTGCACATTTATAGTCAATTGTTTTTCAACAAAGGTGCCAGGAACACATGGAGAAAGGACATGCTCTTCAACAAATGGCACTGGGAAAACTGGATAGTCACATGAAAAGAAAAAAAGTTGGGACTTTTTCTCACATCACATACAAAACTCAAAATGGATTAAAGACTTAAATATAAAACCTGAACTACAAGAAGAAAGTGCAGGGGAAAAGCTCTGTGACATTGATCTGGGCAATGAGTTTTCGGATATGACCCCAAATGCACAGGCAACAAAAGCAAAAATAGGTAAACGGGATTGCATCAACCTAAAAAGTTTCTGCACAGGAAAGAAAGCAGATCAAAGAGACAATCTATGGAATGGGAGAAAATATTTGCAAATTATACATATAAGGGTTAATATCCAAAATATATAAGAACTCTAACTCAACAGCAAGAAAACCACCATATTAAAATGGGCAAAGGTTCTTCATTGCCAATTTTCCACAGAAAACATAAAATGGCCAACAAATATGTGAAAAAATGCTCAGCATTATGAATTATCAGGGAAATGCAAAATAAAAATGCAATGAGATACCACCTCATTAGAGGTGTTAGAATGGTCATGCTCAAAAACATGAAAGATAAACAATTGTTGGTGAGGATGTGAAGAAAAGGGAACCCATGTATGTTGTAGGTGGGAATGTAAATTAGTACAGCCATTATGGAAAACAACATGAAAGTTCCTCAAAACACTAAAAATAGGATTATCATATGATACAGCAATCCCACTCCTGGGTATACATCCAAAGGAATTGAAATTGGTGTGTTGAAGAGATGTCTGCACGCTCATTACTCCCATGTTCACTTCAGCACTATTCACAATAACTAAGATATGGAATCAACCTAAGTGTATATCAATGGATGAATGGATAAAGAAAATGTGGTATATGTGTAGATACATACACACACACACACACACACACACACACACACAATGGAATACCATTTAGCCTTAGAAAAGAAGGGAATCTTGTCACGTGCAACAGCATGGATGAATCTGGAGGTCATTATGTTCAGTGAACTAAGCCAAGCACAGAAAGACAAATACTGCATCATCTCACTTATGTGTGACATCTTAAAGAAAAAACAAAAAATCGAACTCACAGAAGCACAGAGCAGAATGGTGGTTAACAGAGGCTGGGAGAGAGGGGGAATGAAGAGATGTTGGTCAAAGGGCCCAGCATTTCCATTAGGCAGGAGGAATAAGTTTCAGAGATCTGTGGCACAGCATGGTGACTGTAGTTCATAATAGTGTATCATATTTACAAATTTGCTGAGAGTAGATTTTAAGTATTTTTTACCACAAAAGTAAGTGTATGAAGTGATTGATATATTAGCTTGATTTAATCATTCTACAATATATACATCTATGAAATCACATTGTACCCCATAAATATATAATTATTTGTTAATTAAAAACTAATAAGATACTCTGTCCTGACCACTAACAAAAAAGAAAATCAATATAATTCACCTTACTAAGAACCTAAAAAAGAAAAACTATATGCTTATATCAATTTATACAGAAAATGTCTTTGAGAAAATTCAACATCTATTCATGACAACAAAAACCTCTCAGCCATCTAGGACTAGAAGAGAACATTTTCAACCCAGTAAGGGGCATCTACAAAAACATACAGTGAATATAATAATAATGGTGAAAGACCAAACACTTTTCATCCAATGGAAGGATGTCGGCTCTCCACTCCAGTGCCACACAGGAGGTTATAGCCAATGCAAAAAGGGAAGAACAACAAGGCATACATTTGAAAAGAAAGAAAACTGTTTGACAGACGACATGATTGTCTACATAGAGAAAGCACAAAGTATCTACCAATCTATGAATAAAAGCTATTAGAATGAATGAGTTTAGCAAGGTTGCGGGATACAAGGTCAATATACAAAAGTCAGTCGTATTTCTATATACTAGTAATGAAAAATGGAAATTGAAATAAGACAGTACTCTTTATAATAGCACCAAAACCACGAAATATTTAGGTATAAATTTTACAAATATGTGCAAAATATTTATCCTAAAAACTACAAAAACACTGATAAAATAAAGATGGCCTAAAACAGTAAGAGACATTCAGGTTCATGTACTGAAAGAGCCAAAATAGTAAAGATGCCAATTCCCCTAATTAATCTCTACATCTAAACAAATTCCAATATAAATCTCAGAATTTTTGTAAAAATTTACAAACCAATTCTAAAATTCACTTGGAAAACAAGGGAACCAGAATAGTCTGAATAATTTTGTAAAAGAACAAGTTAGAGGACTCACATTATCTGATTTCAAAGTCTCTATAAAGTTACATTTTCAATGTAGTGTGTTATTTGATAAGAGATACATATATAGATGATTGGAACAAAAGAGAAAGTCTCAAAACTAACCCATGTAAATATGGTTGATTTTGGACAAAGGTACACAGGCAATTCAACGGAGTAAGGAGTTTTTTCAACAAATGGTGCTGAATCACTGAATATTCATATACAAAAAAATACATCTTGATCTTTATCTTTCCCTTACAAAATTTAACTCAAAATACATCAGAGACCTAAATGTAAAACCCTAAACTGTAAAACTTTTAGAGGAAATCTTAGAACATCTCTGTGATCTTGGGTTAGGCAAAGATTTCATAGATACAATCCCCCAAGCCCAGTCATTTTAGAAGAAAAATTGTACTTCAAAGTTAACCCTTGCTCTTTGAAAGACACTGTGAAGAGAATAGAAAGACAAACCAGAGTGGGAGAAAATATTTGCAAACCCTTATCTGATAAAAGACGTGTATTCCAAATATATAAAGGACTATCAAAACTCGATATTAAGAAACTCAATATTAACAACCCAATTAAAAAATGGTCAAAAGATTTGAAAAAATGTGTTAAAGAAGATAATGTGGATGGCAAATAAATTGCTCAATGTTATTGGGAAAAGGCACAATAAATATCACAATGAGGTATCACTATACATCCATTCAAATGTAAGAAAGAAAAAAAATCCAGGGGAAGTATTTGAAATTATTGAAAGGAAATAAGTATTTATGATTGGTGTAGGCTAAAATTTATTAGATATGATATACAGAGCAAAAACCATGAAAGTCTGCTAAGCATGCTTATAGATATTTAAAGTATTTTTGCCTCAAAACACTGGAAATCATTATCTGAACATAGACATTTTCCTATTCTTGTAAAAAAGTTAATAACAGCTGCCTGATACTTCCTTGTGTGGATATACGATGGTAATTTAAACAATCTCTTATGTTTGGACACTTAGGGAGCTTCCAGCTCTTGACTATCACAAATGCTGTAATGAACAGCCAATGTACTTGAATGATTGGAGGTATAGCTTCACAGTAAATTCTTTTTAGTGGTGTTGGCAGTGCAAAGGATATATGTATTTTCTTAGATGTTGCCAAAAAAGCACTATAAGCAGTATAATGACTAGCAATAATCTGGAAGAAAATGTGTGCAAAGCCTTAAGAGACAAGACTTCTACGTGTACTACGTAAAATCTCAAGAAAAACAATTTAAAGGCAAGCAAACCAGGGGCAAAAATCAGCAAAATGGAGGGAAAGGCAGCTCACTGAAGCAGCAAGCAAGTGGCTAATGAACTCACAAAAGGTACAACTCAGCAAGAAAACACAGGGTATTGGGACATAATCTATCCACTGCTCATGGGAATATAAATTGAGAGCCACTTTGGGAAGACTTAACATCTATTGCAAGTCCCATGACTTCAAGAACTAGCGATTCTCTTTTCAGGCATGAGTTTATTGATATCTATCCTCAGAGAACCTTAAAAAAAAAAACCCCTGTTTTCCCTTCATTCATCTTGATGTAGAAATTAGAAGTTTTCGGCAGGGTGCGGTGGCTCACGCCTGTAATCCAGCACTTTGGGAGGCCAAGGCGGGCGGATCACGAGACCAGGAGATCGAGACCATCCTGGCCAACATGGGGAAACCCAGTCTCTACTAAAAATACAAAAATTAGCCAGGTGTGGTGGCACATGCCTGTAATCCCAGCTACTTGGGAGGCTGAAGCAGGAGAATTGCTAGAACCCGGGAGTCGGAGGTTGCAGTGAGTTGAGATCACGCCACTGCACTACAGCCTGGTGACATAGGGAGACTCCGTCTCAAAAAAAAAAAGTTGTTTAGGGGATGTTTACATCACAAAACAGAGCTTACCTGTCTGTTGTGTGATCATGCCACGTGTTTTCCAGGTGACAGCAGCTCCTGAGGTATGGATGGCGGCCTCCTTCTTCCCACATGTACACGTGCACAGAGTTCTCGGATGTGGTGAGCACATAGCAAGGATCCTTCCAAGGATAGCCAGAGTGAGTGGCCAAGGAGTCAAAGTCAGATCAAAAAGCAGTGGAGGAGAATCATACATACCACCCAGAAGTTGTTGATGGCTGCCTGATGGTCCTCAAATCGTTGCAGCAGGAAGCCAGTGATGCTGAAGAGTAACAAGTATGGTCCACTGGTAAAGACAATCATATATCCATCACTGGCTCCCATCCAGATAGGGCACTTCAGATGAGCTGCCACCTGGAAACTTGCGATCTCATATGCTGTTTTCATGTAAAACGCACATATATATACACACACACATAAGGAAGTAAAGATCAGGTCATTGAATAATAATATCCTCACACTGAATAAAAAAGCATAGTCCCCACTTCCACAGACTTCATTCCGGGGAAGAAAATGAAGGGTAGTCCAGTGGCCTGACAAATACATATCACTGACTGTGGTAACAGGTGCTAGGACACAGGAACAGAGGTTTGTGGACAATAAACAATCCCCTGGGCATTGGAACCCAGGCCCTAAAATATGATGGAAATCTATATGTGTTCGCCCAAGAGAGCAGGGTGGGGGTAGAGATCAGCATGGGTATTAGAGTCGAACTGGGATGGGTTCACCCCCAGCTAAAGAAATCCCCTGCTCCTGGCCGGGTGCGATGGCTCACTCCTGTAATCCCAGCACTTTGGGAGGCCGAGGCAGGCGGATCATGAGGTCAGGAGATTGAGACCATCCTGGCTAACAGGGTGAAACCCTGTCTCTACTAAAAATACAAAAAATTAGCCGGGTATGGTGGCGGGCACCTGTAGTCCCAGCTACTCGGGAGGCTGAGGCGGGAGAATGTCGTGAACCCAGGAGGTGGAGCTTGCAGTGAGCCGAGATTGTGCCGCTGCACTCCAGCCTGGGCAACAGAGCAAGACTCCGTCTCAAAAAAAAAAAAAAAAAACTAGAAATCCCCTGCTCACTTTATACAGGCTGACCCATTTATTAGAGCTAAACACGAATGACTGTGTGATGAGGAAGAGAAACAAGCGTTTCTAATGTGGCACAGCCTACCTTGGATGACTGTTTGGCCTCCAGTCTTCTTGGTTGTTAGATCAAAGGTGATAAATTCTGTCTTTTTTCCAGTGCTACTTTGGGACATCAGTGTTATCCTGTTTTTCACCTTTGGGGTCCAGCAGGCGCTGGCACATAATTTATGTGGGAGAAAGGTAGACAGAGGAACACTGCCTTCTGATGGTCTCAGTAAGGACTCTGTGAGGAATACCTAAAGAGAGCATCGCATGCATGGTCAGGGGCAGGGAACTTATAGCCTCTCAGTACAGGAGTGACTCCAGAAGAGCCTTCTTAGAAATTCTCATCTTGTGGCCAAAGCTTTGTTCAATATCTCAGGAGTGATGAGTGGTCACTGCTTATCACTCCAGCATAAAAGGAACTCACTGTCTTCCTATTCTTCCTGTCCCATTCACAGAACAATGTCCCTGAAGCATGCTAAGGTGTTATGAAACCATCTTGCCATGTTGAACCCTTGGTCAAGTTGAGGTTGGCTAAGCAGATTTTCCCTTCTTGGGGAACAAGTCAAGGGCTGTGTGGCTTTTACTACCTGCCTTCTGAACTCCTCCCTCTTTGGTGCCCAGTCCACCAGTGCCCCACTACAAATGGCCTGCTCAAAGGCCAAAGCCTTCCTCAGAGTGATATTCAGAGGCTGTTGCATATTCAGTTACTTTTGGACTTCTCTACACTTTGCAGCCAACATAGATAAAAGTAAAGAAGGCAAAAGAGAACAAGGACAAAGATATTTTTGTAAAAAAAAAAAAAAATTTTTTTTTTTTTTTAAGAGGTAGGGTCTCGCCATGTTGCCCAGGCTGGAGTGCAGTGACTATTCACAGGTGCATTCCCACTACTGATCAGTATGGGAGTTTTGACCTTTTCTGTTTCTGACCTGGGCCAGTTGGCCCCTCCTTAGGCAACCTGGTGGTCCCCTGCTCCCAGGAGGTGAACGTATTGATGCCAGACTTGGTGTGGACACCCTATCAGCATAGCACACTATGGCCTGGAACTCCTGGGCTCACGTGATCCTCCCGCCTCAGCCTTCTGAGTAAGTGGGACTATAGGTGCATGCCACCATGCCCAGCAATCCCTATTTCTTGATACCTGTCTCACCCTCTTCCATCTCTTTGGCAAATTCGGGCTTCATGAACGAGTTTTTGTTAAACATTTGCCACAGCAACTGGATGTTGTTACTTCAAAGAGCATTGTTTCCTGACCATCACAATGGATTCCCCTTGTGATGTGGTCTTAGAGAGGAAGGAGCAGTGTGCCTGGTCCTCACTGAGCTCTGCAGTTTCTCTGCATGCTTCCTAACTTGACATTCCTATCCTGAAATTGAAATACACAGAACAGCACCTACCTGTGGCAAGGTACGACTGTATGTCCCACATGCAAATACCCATTTCTTGTCAGGAGAGCAGTGTAGAAGTACAATACCATATTGAAATGCAGTAACTTTAGAAACATCTCTTAACCCAGGCAGTGTAAATGTGTAGATGTCACCTGCAGCATCGCCAACCTGAAACCAAAGCATCCCCACCATATCAATAGGAAGATATGTGAAATCCTGAAGTACAGAGGAGGCAGCACTATGAGCTGCAAGATATGCCACTGTTTCTTCAATCACATAATGGAGATCAAAACCTCTGACCAGTCTAGCTTGAGACACTGTTGGGATAATCCCATGGAATAAAACTTTCCAAGCCCCAAAGCATTCTTCTCAAGGACAGTTATTCATTAGCACATCAACACTATGCTTTTTCTCAATGTCACCCCAAAGCCATCTCTTCTCCCTCAACTGTCCCCAACCAAGTTCATGGACTGGACAATAACACCACTTGAAAGAAAAGGCACATATAAAGTAATTCAGGAAGTTTTTGGCTTTTTGTCTTTAGAAGAATTGCTGGGGAAATGTACTTGAGGCAAGTCAAGGGGCAAGATAGTGTGGAGGTTTGTATAACATTCATTGATATACTGTGATTGACTCGCAGGGTATGTGGAAGGGATGACAAGAGAAATAGGCCAGGCGCTGTGGCTTATGCCTGTAATCCCAGCACTTTGGGGGGCTGAGGTGGGCAGATCACGAGGTCAGGAGTTCAAGACCAGCCTGGTCAGTTTCTACTAAAAATACAAAAAATTAGCCAGGCATGGTGGTGTGTGCCTGTAGTCTCAGCGACTCAGGAGGCTGAGGCAGGAGAATTGCTTGAACCCAGCAGGCAGAGGTTGCAGTGAGCCAAGATTGCACCACTGCACTCCAGCCTGAGCAACAGAGTGAGACTCTGTCTCCAAAAAAAAAAAAAAAAAAGGGATAGGACAGTAATGTGACACGGATGCCTGACAAGACAACAGGCATTTGATTTTTTGGTCCCCTCTAAATTCAGGGCTCACTTACCATCAGGAATGGGCCATCCTTTGTAAGATAGGCTTCCATGCAATAACAGGGCTGTGGCATGGGGAGAACAGCCAGAGCGTCCCTGTCCTGACAGTTCCACACTTTGATAGTTTTTTTCCGATCCATAGTGATGGCGAGATGCATCTGAGGGAGGGTTACCAGATTTGAGAAATGGAACTCCTGGACTGGGCTTGACCAGATCATGGTACCCTAGAAAACGAGAGTAACACGACCTGTGTTCAAGGAACCCTTACACCTACTGTGCTTTCATTCTGCCCATGTTTATTTGGAAGCCTCTTCCAAATCAGATCTTCTTGCTTCTGGGCAGAGGATATGAAAGTTCTCCACATCTCAATATTTTGGAGGAGTGAACATGAAAACAGGAACTACACATTATGCTCCGAGACAAGAACTTGGTACATAACAGGCGCAAAGAATGATCAGACTTCATAGGTTCAAATCACCTCTGCCTCCTACTCACAGTGCAGCCTTCAGCAAGTCACTTTCTATCATGCCTTCTAATGAGGCTGTCATTACCTTTCACATCTCATGAAACATACTTAGAATTCTGCCTAGGACACAGTAGGAACCCAAAATGTATTAACTATCATTAAAATTGTTATTCAACCTTGTACATTACATACAAGATAGAATAGTTGTCTTTCTAGATGATTCTTTAGCCTTTAAAAAAATTGTAAAGTATATCATATAAGAAAAGAGCACGAAGTTTAATAAATTATCACAAGTGATTACCAATGTACCACTTCTAAGCCCTCCTGAAGTCCCCTTTGCATGTGCTCTATTTAACAACTCCCCCATGGCTCTCCGCACCCAAATGTAATCATTATTTTGATTTTTCACACTATAACAAGTTGCCTATGCAGTAATATCTAAGGCCATGTAACCAAGCATCCCAAAATTTAGTGGCTTAAAACAGGCTTTTGCTAACTCTGTTTCTTTTGATCAGAAATTCAGGGGTAGCTTGACTGGGTAGTTCTGGCTGTAGGTCTCTCATGAGGGTGAAGTCAAGTTTCACTTCCAAGATGGCCTCTCATATAGCTGTGTAAGTTGGTGTTGGCTACTGGCAGGGGTCCTCAGTCCCTCACCACACAGATCTTTCTGGAGGGCTGCTTGAGAGCTCTCATAACACTGTGGCTGGATCTCCAAGAGCTGATGACCCATGAGTGAAGAATTGTCTTCTGTGACATAGCTTCAGAAATTATACACCATAATTTCCACAATATCCTATTGGTTGCACAGGTCAGCCCTATTGACTGTGGCAGTGGACTACACAAGATTGATCGTGATTATCATGGGGCAAAAATATTTGGGCCATCTCAGAGATTGGCAGCTGTAGTCTGCCCCACAGCCTCCAGTGATTCAGTTTCCCCCTACATGAAAATATATCCACCATCTCCCAATGCTCTCAAATGTCTCATACCATTGTAGTATCATTGCAGAATCTAGGCTCTCATTGTTTCTAGGTCCAGGTATAGATGAAGCTCTTTAGATTCAATTTATCTTGACGTGAAAATCTTCAAACTAAATATACAAGTTATCTGTCCCTCACTATCCCCAAAGTACAAGTGTGGGGTAAGCGCAGGATAACATAGTCACTGTTATTCAGAAAAGGTGAAAATGGAAAAATAGGAATCACTGCTACAAGAAATTTTGAAATCCAATAGAAAACATGCTGGCAATTTGTCAATTAGGACTCAAGGCCCAAGAAAGATCTTTAATGACTCTTGGTTCTACTCTCTAGGCTCTTGATTCTGTCTGGGTCATCCTTCGCTTTCTCTATGCGGTGGCCCAATTTTTTAGCTAAATTGTTTTTGGTAGTCTGCTTCCTGCCTGTAAAAGTTTTGAAATCCAAAAGGCCTCTTTTCCTTTTGTGTGTTTTGGCCCCTTTAAATCCAAGCTGACAGTGTTTCTCTCAGTGTAATTCTCTTCAACAAAAACTTTATGGGTCTCCTAAGAACCTCACTGCAGTTTATACCATTAGACAAAAGCCACACTCAGTTTTGAGATAAATCCTTTGCACGCCTTGGAGATCATCTGAGCTAGAGACCACTTTCTGAAAAAGCCAATATAACAAATGCCAATCATTGACAAAGAGGCAATAGAACAGGTAATAAAGATGCAGAAAGCCCAAAAATTATTTCATAAATGCATTCCATGTTATTGGTAGAAAATAAGACCTTATACAAATTTATATATAGAAACACATATTAAAAAGTAAATTCTCAGCCAAGTGCAGTGGCTCATGCTTGTAATCCCAGCACTTTGGGAGGCTGAGGCTGGCAGATCACTTGAGGCCAGAAGTTCAAGAACAGCCTGGCCAACATGGCGAAACCCCGTCTCTACTAAAAATACAAAAATTAGCTGGGCATCGTGGCGCGCGCCTGTAATCTCAGCTACTCAGGAGGCTGAGGCACGAGAATCGCTTGAACTCGGGAGGCGGAGGTTGCAGTGAGCTGAGATCGCGCCACTACACTCCAGCCTGGGCAACACAGTGAGACTGTCTCAAAAAAAAAAAAAAAAAAAAAAAAAAAGGCCGGGCGCAGTGGCTCACGCCTGTAATCTCAGCACTTTGGAAGCCCAAGGTAGGCGGATCACAAGGTCA
Source organism: Homo sapiens (assembly GCF_000001405.40). Lineage (NCBI taxonomy): Eukaryota > Metazoa > Chordata > Mammalia > Primates > Hominidae > Homo > Homo sapiens. The sequence goes on along the minus strand of NC_000003.12, from coordinate 48,375,903 downwards.
GGAGATCGAGACCATCCTGGCTAACATGGTGAAACCCTGTCTGTACTAAAAATACAAAAAAATTAGCCAGGCGTGGTGGCGGGCGCCTGTAGTCCCAGCTACTTGGGAAGCTGAAGCAGGAGAATGGCGTGAACCCTGGAGGCGGAGCTTGCAGTGAGCCGAGATCCTGCCACTGCACTCCAGCCTGGGGAACAGAGCGAGACTCAGTCTCAAAAAACAAACAAACAAAAATAACAACAACAACAAAAGTGAATTCTATGTGTGTCTATGGTCCAAATGAAAAGGTCACAAATTACATGATAGAAAACCTGATTTGACACTTTGTTTTTGTTACCACTTCCGAATATTTTCCTCTCAGCACTTCCGTTTCATATATAGAACAGGATGGATGCAAATATGCAGTACTTTTGCCACATATTGGCCAGACTCACCTCTTGCACATCCCAGGCACAAAGCTCTTGCTTTGGAGATACACTACAAATGATTGATTTCTCCTGTTCATCCACTGTAAGTCTATTTCCTGAGAGATAAGCCAACTCCGTCTCAAATGCTAGAAGGAAACATAGAAGACTTGGCCACCAGATAGTTAAGGGATGATCCAAACCAAAAGAAGATAATTTAAAATATTTCTGTACCCTCTTAGGAAGGTTTGGGTAACAATATGGAGAAGATAGAAATTGGGCTCCAGAGTCATCCAAACACAGGTTCCCACGGCAGACTGGCCATTTGGGAGATGTTGGCCAACTTGCTTTTCCTTTTTATCCTCAGTTTCCATAGATATAAAAGGCATATTAAAATCTCTCCATCAGAGAACTTTTCTGAGTTTTAAAAGAGTTATCAAGTCCAGGCACAGTGGTTCACGCCTGTAATCCCAGCACTTTGGGAAGCTGAGGTAGGTGGATCACTTGAGGCCAGGAGTTCTAGACCGGCCTGGCCAACATGCTAAACCTGTCTCTACTAAAAATACAAAAATTAGCATGTTGGCAGGTGCCTGTAATCCCAACTACTTGGGAGGCTGAGGCATGAGAATTGCTTGAACCCAGGAGGCGGAGGTTGCAGTAAGCCAAGATCATGCTGCTGCACTCCAGCCTCGGAGACAAAATGAGACTCTGTTTTTAAAAAAAAAAAAAAAAAAAAAAGTGTTATCAGGATTAGGCCAGGTACAGTGGCTCACGCCTGTGAGGCCGAGGTGGGAGGATCGCTTGAGTTCAGGAGTTCAAGACCAGCCTGGGTAACAAAGTGAGACCTAATCTCTACAAAAAAATTTAAAAAATATGGTCGGGTATGGTGGCTTATGCCCGGAATCCCAGCAATTTGGGAGGCCAAGGCAGGTGGATCACTTGAGGTCAGGAGTTCAAGACCAGCCTGGCTAATATGGTGAAACCCCATCTGTACTAAAAACACAAAAATTAGTTGGGCATGGTGGTAAATGCCTGTAATCCCAGCTACTCAGGGGGCTAAGGCAGGAGAATCACTCGAACCCAGGAGACAGAGGCTGCAGTGAGCCGAGATCGTGCCATTGCACTCCAGCCTAGATGACAGAGCAAGACTCAACCTCAAAAAAAAAAAAAAAATCAACTGGTTGTGGTGGTGTACCCCTGTAGTCCCAGTTACACAGGAGGCTGAGGCAGGAAGATCTCTTGAGCCCAGGAGGTTGAGGCTGCAGCTGTAGAGCCTATGTATGCATTTATTTAGAGACAGGGTCTGGCCCTGTCACCCAGGCTAATTTTTTAAATTTTTTCATAGAGATGGAGGGGGGGTCTCACTTTGTTGGCCAGGCTGGTCTTGAACTCGTGGGCTCAAGTGATCTGCCCACCTCGGCCTTTCAAAGTTCTGGGATTACAGGCATGAGCCACTGTGCCCAGCCAAGCCTCTGTTTTTTAGAGTTTCCCATTAATTTTTTTTTTCTGATTTTTATTCTGGGAGGGATGAGAAGCCTTAGGAAAAAGGGAGTAACAGGACCTGATTTTATGTTGTGAAAAAAAATCACTCTAGTTTCTTCATTCAGCACAGATGGTGGGGACAAGAGAGGAAGCAGGGAGATATCACATGGCTATCACGGCAACCCAGTCTGGTTCAATTTTAATTCCTTTTCCCTTTACTGAATGAGAATACACAACTGCACACAGCAAAAATCAAATAGAGTGGACCTCTGAAAACAAGCTGCTCATGTTCCTCTAGGGCACCTATACCCATACCGATGTTCTTAGTTACTTTGTAGATAAAGTTATGCGGCTGTGCCAATGCCAACCGAAGCTCCTTCCTTCTTTGATGCAGGAAAAATTGCTTCCATGTGTGTGTGCCCAGGTGTTGATTGGTGAAGTTGCTGCAGTCCCATCTCTGCAGAGATAGTGACCTGGAAACAGAGTCACAGTCCCATCAGGCTGTTCTCAGTCAGTTCACCTCCTCAGAGCCCCGGTTATATCACAACCCCCTACTCACACTAACTTTCCTGTGTATATCTCACAACACAGCCACACAGGCCTTGGGACACAGCATGGGTGCGCAGTCAGATGATCTCCTCTCCCCTTCCCTCCTTGCCCTTTCCCTTCCCTTACCTCCACAGGTAATCACTGTCTGCAATCCTATTCCAATGCTATGGGAGAGAAAGGAAGAGACAAGCAGGCAATCAGTTACATCAGAGAGCAAGGGTAATCCTCTGCTATTATTTGTTCTGGGAGCTGGGCCCGCACAGGTTAATCAGATGGGATTCCAGCTCTCAAAGCACTCTCAGTGTGGGGAGATAAGGAAATGGTAACAACAGAGACCTATCACTGCTAATACAGGCACTGGGTATTCCCATGAATTCACAGGAAGAAGTGTTGATTTCCTAGGGCTTGAAATGGGAGCCTCAAGGACTGTTTAGTCAGCACAACTCCTGGATATCAGCTTGTCCTTTTCGTTTAACAGAATATGAGGCCCTCAGTATGAAGAATGCTAACCCCCAAAGCCTCAGTGTAACCCTCTGCTATTCTGCAAAGTGGTGCTCAAACTGGTCGAGAGAAGCAGCGGGCTTGGGGGGCAGTGGGAGGTGGAAGGCCTTTACCTTGTTCACCTGGGAAACCTGCAGCAAGCCGAACAGGTCCAGGAAAGAGAAGATTCGCTTCAAAGCTAAGTCAGGCAATCGGATCTCCATTTCATGCGGCCTGAACCCACATCCACTTTCCTTTCTCCTCTCCGGGCTGCTCTGAATTTATAGGCTTTGCCAAAGTCTGCAGCACTTGTAAAGATTTTCACCCATGCCCATCTGTGTGCGGTAGAAACAAGCTGCAGGTGTGCAGACTCCCGGGCTGACCTCCACCCCGGCCTCTCCCCTGGGGCCTGATCCACACAGCTGGCAGGCATCCCTACCTAAACCCACTTGTTAGTGCTGTTCATTGTTTAGAGGAGCTCAGCAACACCTGTGCGCTGTGAGCTGGAGGTGCAGAACCTGGGGCAGCCCCAGTTGCAGATGAAGTTGTCAGAACCCTTTAGGAAATGTCACCGAGTGCACTCACTTTGATCAGATCTGAGTGTCTCTATGACTCTATTTAAGTTCCAAACTCCTGGAATTGGAGTCTGCTTGCCCTGTGTCTGTGCCTACCTTGGGATCTTGAATCTGGTGAGTGGGGCTCATCTCTCAGCGCCAGCATGGCCTCTGGGTTTCTACCTTCTCGCATTTAACTTTGCAGTGGAGGAGAAAGAACGTGCCAAGCTGGCTTCTCCACAGAGGTCCGCCCAAAGGGAGCAGGCCTTGTCTGGGATGGCTCTCCCAGCTGGTGGCTTTCCCTGGGATGTGACGCTTTCCCACAGTTACAGATCTCCCAAGAACCTGACAACTCATTCTGGGATTTTCTAAAGACCGTGTCATAGCCTGGGTGTTTGTGTCCTCTCAAAATTCCTACGTTGAAATTCTAACCCTTGGTGTGATTGGAGGTGGGGGGCCTTTGGGAGGTAAGTGGGTCACAGGCAGAGTCCTTATGATGGGACCAGTGACCTTATAAAAGAGACCCCAGAACGCTCTCTAGCCCTGTTCATATCATGCGAGGACATGAGAAGGTGTCAGCTGCAACCTGGAAGAAGGCCCACACCAGAACCTGACCGTGCTGACAGGTGACTCTTGGACTTCTCTCCTCCAAAATTGTGAGAAATAAATTTGTTTGTAAGCCACCCAGTCTATGGTACTTTGCTGCAGCATAAGACAGGGGTCCCTCTGTGAGGCTCAGTGGCCAACCCTTCTTAAAACTGCTGCCTCCAGGCAGACACACGGGAGTGGTTGTCGGGAGTCCCATTTATGATACAGTAGTAAGAGAGAGGAAAAATACAAATTGACATGGTGAGGAAATAAAAAGGAAAAGCAAAGACCAAGAAGCACCTAGAGGGGCGTGGGGAAAGGCGAGTCAAGGGGTGTGTGGAGAGGAGTGAGAAAAATACAAGGGTAAAAGATTTGTATTCCATAAATAGGAAATAATGCAGAGAGAGCCAGAGCCGTGGAAGGACACAGGAAGACAGAAAGCTTGGAACGGACTCTATTGTAGAGGAACAGAATTAATGCAAAGATATAGAAGGCTGAGAAATAAAACACTTTAAAATATGACAAGGGAAGAGAAGAAACAGTAAAATAAAGGATATTTTAAAAGTATTAAAGCACAAATATTATAAAATACACAGATAGGAAATATAACTGTAAGTGGACTGAGACAGAGTAGGAATAAAATGGAAAAGAGGACAGATGAGAAAGAGGCAAACATAAGGAAACTGAAGCAAATTGCCGAATGAGTGAATGAATGAATTTGAAATAGAGGAACAGAGGCCAGGCACAGTGGCTCATGCCCGTAATCCCAGCACTTGGGGAGGCCGAGGCGGGTGGATCACCAGGTCAGGAGTTTGAGACCAGCTTGGCCAACATAGTGAAACCCTGTCTCTACTAAAAATACAACAAATTAGCTGGGCGTGGTGGCGGGTGCCTGTAATCCCAGCTACTTGGGAGGCTGAGGCAGGAGAATTGCTTGAAGCTGGGAGGTGGAGGTTGCAGTGAGCTGAGATTGCGCTACTGCACTCCAGCCTGGGCGACAGTGCGAGACTCCATCTCAACAACAACAACAAAAAAAATAGAGGAACAGGAAGGTGTGTTGGGGGGTGGTGGTGGCGGGGTGCTACCAGAAAAGCGGCAGAGAAAGACACATTGCAACAATAGATGAAGACAAATCTAAATGTCACAAGAGTTAAGAGATGTAAAATTTGAGAGATGTGAAATGGTAACTGCGTAATAGTCTAAGCAAAAGATAAGATGCAGGTGAGAGAATGGTCCGGACATTGTCTAGGAGAAAGTAGATTAAAGCAGGCAGCTGGGGAAACCTGAGAAGAGGGATCCATAAGGAGTTGGGCAGCCTGAGAGTAGGACAGAGAGGGAGGGACGACACAGCATGGGAAGTAAAGGGGGCGTAGCAAGGGGAGAAGTAACAGCACACCTTTCATGGCGCCTTCTGCAGGCAAGGCACCCGTCTAAACAATTTACAGGGGCTCATCTATTTAATCCTCACAACGGCTAGATGAGGTAAGTCCTATTACTGGCCACCTTGCCAGGGTGCTCCGTGTTCTCTTAGATTCTGAATTTGTCTGGCATCCATCACAGGGCCAGTTGTATTCTCTGTATATTTTTAATTTTCTGTATTCTTGATGCTCTGGCATTTGTGATCTTGCTGACTGGGGAGAGACTCTCCTTCCCAGGCCTAGCCAGATAGCAAAGGAGAGTGCCTTTTATGCAAACGAACCAAGCTACAGCCCACACCCACAATCATCTCCTTTACCAAACTCTCACACAGCAAGTTAATATTCCTCCTGCCCTAAATCAACCCAGGGCCAGGTACCAGACAACTGGAGACGGCCCCTATGCCTCAAAGCCAGCCAGAACCATTTAAACTAGCCCATTCTAAAAGGCTTACCCTGTTCTGCCCTCTTCGTTTCTTACAGAAAACACAATAAAGGCTCAGGCCTATGCTGCCCCGCCCCTTCTGCCTCCTGACTGCCCTTGGTGCTCTCCATGTGGCCCTGCGTGGGGAGCCAGGCCTCTTGTTTATAGGGATCTGTGAGTATAAACTTCTTCCTTCATGACAATCATTGCTGTGTCTGCACGCTTTGCCACACCTGATTAAAACCAATCCCAGGCACCAGTTTTAGAACACATAGGTGGGAGCCAACACATACAGAGGTTAGGTGACTTGCCCACAGTGACACCCCTGGGAAATGGCACCGGGTTTGAACCCCAGCAGTCAGCCCCAGAGCCAGTGCTCTTAGCTGTTATGCTCTAATGGCTCAAAGAGAAGAGGGAATTGGGAAAACTTGGAATGATTAGGAGAAGAATGAAAGTGGATATATTTTTAGCCTTGAGTTTAAAATGCTAAACAACTGAATAAAACATGGTCCTGTAGTCCCAGCCACTCAGGAGGCTGAAGCATGAGAATTGCTTGAGCCCAGGAGGTGGAGGCTGCACTCCAGCCTGGCAACAGAATAAGACCCTGTCTCAAAAAAAAAAAAAAAAAATACAAAATGTGTTCAAAGAAATGAAGTAAAGAGAATGCTGACTAAATAGGAAAGAACACAGAAGATACATTTTTTTAAAATGGTGACAGAGGGAAACACCAAAGAGAGGAAACATGAAAGAGAGATTTTTAAGAGAAATAAGGAAGGACCACAGAAGTCAGCCTGTTGTCCCTGGCTCAGGCTGGGGGACTCAACTGTCCCCAGTGCAAGCAGGGCATGACTGACTTCTGTCTGGCTCCAGAGATATGGGGCTCAGGTGGGCAATCTGAACCCGCATTGGGGTACAATTATTGTGTCACACCCACTGGCCCTGATACATTCCCTGGAGGGAGTCACTGCAGAGAGTGCAAAAGGGTAACAAATTATGCTTCCACTACAAAGTAGCTTTGGGACACATTTATGGTTCCATTTATACAGAGAAGCAAAATGATAGACTTGGTACCCTGACTCTTCCAGAGGCACGTTTTGTGTTCATGGGAACCTCAAGGATGTAAGCCCGGGATAGGGACTGAGCACTGTAAGCTGTATAGTGACTTTGCAGAGCCAATCAGTTAATTTGTAAATGTGAGATGTTGAACTTTGTGAAATATGAGAAAACTTAAAAATCATGATTGGGAACCCATGTGAAATTTAAAATGTAACATTTATAGGTAAATGATATCAAGTAGATTCTAAATTGGTATTTTAAATTTGCTCACAATTATTTAAGTAAATATTCATGCAAGTGGATAATGATGGAGGAGAATATATTAAAATGAATATATTCCTGTTATGGGTTCATGATTCCGTTTATCTAAAACTTCCTTTTAATATTTTATTTTTGAATTGGAAGATATAACAGAAAAAACTTGATACAAATAAACATATATAATTCTGTCTCCAGAATGCTAGGCTAAGAGGATTTTTTCTTTCCTTCTGTTGTTGCTGGGCCTAATTTAAAGAATTAGAGGCACCTTTGATTAAGATTCATGCAACTGATAACTTGGTATAATGGAAATAAAAATCATAATTTTAAAAGGTTGTGAAAACAGTCTCACAGGAGACTAACATGTTTACAGGGATGACACTGGCTTCCAGTTCAAAGGAGTCCATGGGTAAGCCACCCACAGTCCCCGAGAGAAGGAAGCACAGCCATTCACGTGGAAGAACAATTTTTCCTGGTTCTCAATTCTTAAAGCAGGTTTTTTTTTGTATGTGAAATATTAAAAATCACTCCTACCATGGCTACCACTGTAGCTTTACTGAGAGTGGTGCTTGATACACACCCCAGCCTCTCCCAAAACTGAGCTCACTTCCTCCAAGGGGGGCAAGGAAGGTTTCCTTTCAAATGTGGGTGTTGTAGTTGAGGTGCATGATTCAGGTGTCAGTTTTGTTCACTGCCACTTATGCAGGTTTGCTCAGTGATGGTGAGGAGGCCCTGCTCTAAGGGGTCCCTGCAGGGGGAAGGAGCTGGGCTCGCCCATCAGAGGGAGATGGGAGTTCAGCCCAGCTGTGCCTCTCTTTGGGTGGGAGTCTCTGAGAAGGTCATGTAATTTCAGTGCATCTTGGCTCTTTATCTGAAGAATGGAACTCAAGTGGGTTTGCCAAAAGGAGTACCTTGAAAAAGAAATGTCTAGCATGGTGCTGGCCTTATGGTAGATGCTAAAGTCTGTGAAATCCGTATCTCTGAGCCAGGTGGAATCTGGGGAACACTTTCCCAGAAAGTCTGGTCACCAGTCCTTCAGGTCCACCAATGTACTCCCTACAACAACTCTGAGGGGGCAGTGACACAGGGCAGTTATCACCTGGCCAAAGGCACACAGCTGTTGGTGGCAGTGTCAGGAATCACACCAGGCCATTTGACTCCACAGCCATGCTCCTAACCTCTAGGCAATCCTGCCTCTGCAATCCCCTCAGTTACCAAGAAACAACAGTTTCCCTGTGAAGCAGGGGTGTGTGTGCAGCCCTCCCAGTGCCTGTGCTACTGGGAACACAGCCAGGCCTCCTGGCCTTTTGCTGCTGTGGGTGGGGCCTATCATGGTCACCTGGCCCTGAGCTCTGTCACTGAAGAAGAGATGGCTGAGCTAAAGAGAGCAGCACAGCATGAGCAGAACAGATGGTGGGACCATTCTGTGGGCCCCACTCTGTGACCACTTAGCTCAGATATCTGTGTGTATAATTCCATGTCCTCAGGGAAACATTCCTTTCCATTGGTTCTGAATGGGAAAGAGAGCTTAGGAAATTTTTCATCTCAAATGTATACAGTTAATTTTTTAACTTTTTTATTTTGAGATAATTATATAGTCATAGGAAGTTATAAAAATAGTACTGTCTGGGTGTGGTGGCTCACACCTGTAATCCCAGCACTTTGGGAGGCCGAGGCGGGTGGATCACAAGGTCAGGAATTCAAGACCAGCCTGGCCATGATAGTGAAACCTGGTCTCTACTAAAAAAATACAAAAATTAGCCGGGCGTGGTGGCGGGCGCCTGTAATCCCAGCTACTCAGGAGGCTGAGGCAGGGAATTGTTTGAACCCGGGAGATGGAGGTTGCTGTGAGCTGAGATTGCACTACTGTGCCCCAGCCTGGGCAACAGAGTGAGACTCTGTCTCAAAAAAAAAAAAAAAATAGTACTGAGAAGTCCCATATACCCATTACCCAATTTCCCTCAATGGTTACATCATAGGTAACGACAGCATATGATTGGTGCACTGTGTGTGTATAGTTCTATGCCAGTTCATCAGACACATGAATATCTGTAACAACCTTCGTAATCAAGACACAAAACTATTCCATTACCGCATCCAACACATAGCTGTTCACTGTCACATGAACTCCCTTCTCCCCACCACCCCTAACCCCTGGCAACCACTAATCTGTGCTCTATAATTTTGTCATTTGGAGAATGCTATATAAATGGAACTCTCCAGTATTTGACAGTATTTTGTTTCACTGAGTGTAATGTCCTTGAGGTCCATCCTAATTGTAATGTGTATCAGCAGTTAGTTCATTTTTATTGCTGTGTAGTATTCTATGGTATGGCTGTACCACAGTGGATTTAACTATTCACCTATTGAAGGACATTTTAGTTGTCTCTACTTTTTGGTTATTGCAAATGAAGTTGCTCTGAATAGTTGTATACATGTTTTTGTGTGGACACAGTTTTCATTTTTCTGGGATAGATGTCAAGGAGTTCAGTAAGTTCTATGACAAGTTATGTTTAGTTTGTGAAGAAATGGACAAACTATTTTCCAGCCTGATTTTACCATTTTACATTCCCACCAGCACAGTTTCTCCACATCTTTGGTACCTAGTACTGTCAGCATTTGGTATTGTCATTAAAAATTCAAAACATAAAATTTACAATTTCAGCCATTTCTGAGCATACAGGTCAGTGGCATTATTTTCACTCTTGTGCAACCGTCACCACTGCCCATTCTTCAGAATGTTTTCATCATCCCAACTGAAACTTGTACCCATTAAACAATAACTCCCTGTTACCCCTTCCCCCAGGCCCTGTTAACCACTATTGTTTTTTAATTTAGCAGTCCAATAGGAGTGCAGTGATATCTCACCATGGTCTGGATTTATACTTTTATAATGATTAGGGATGATGAATATCTTTTCTTCCCCTTCTCCCTTCCCCCTCCTCTTCTTCTTTTTGCTTATGCCAATTTTTAGAGAACCATTTGTTGAGAAAGCTACCCTTCCTTTGTTGAATTGTTCTTATACCTTTCTAAGGATCCAGCTGGCATATTTGTGGGAGTTTATTTCTGGATTTTGTATTTTCTTCCAGGTGATCCACCCACCTCAGCCTCCCAAAGTGCTAGGATTACAGGCATGAGCCACCGCACCCAGCCGTAAATTTTAGAATAAAGTTGTCTATGTTTACAAAAAGAATCCTGGAGTTTTGATAAAAATTGCATTAAATCTATACAGTGTATCAGTTTGGGGGAGAATTGACATCTTTATGATGTTGAGTTTCTAATTAATTAACATGGTCTGTCCATTATATAGGTCTTTGATTTCTTTCACTTCAGCATGCTGGTCCTGTCATGTTTTTTTAGACCTATTCCTAAATATTTCAATTTTGGAAGCAATTATAATAGTCTGTTTCAATTTCCATGTGTTCTTGTTACTATATAGAAATATGATTTATTTTAATATGTTGATCTTGCATCCCATTACTTTACTGATCTTACTTATTAATTCTGGGAGTTAATTTTGAATATTCCTTGAAATTTCTATATAGAACATTTTTATCATGTCACTGGTAAATGACAATTTTATTTTTCTTTTCTGATCTATATGCCTTTCTTTTCCTTTTCTTGCCTTATCATGCTGGGTAAGACTTCTAGTACTGTGATGAGTCAGAGTGGTAAGAGCCAACATCTTTATCTTCGTCCTGATTTTAGGGAGATATTGACTGTGGGTTTTTTACAGATGTTGAAGAAGTTCTTCTATTCCTAGTTTGCTCAGGGTTTTTTTTCTTGTTTATCATAAGTGGGTGTTGGATTTTGTCAAATGCTTTCTCTGTATCAATTGATATAATCATGTCACTTTCTTTAGCCTGCTAATATAGTGGGTTACATTGATTTTTTTCAAATATTGAACATGGTTTGCATTCCTGGTATTCCACTTGATGATGATGTGTAATTATTTTAACACTTTGTTGGATTCAATTTGCTATTAACTTGTTGACGGTTTTTGTGTCTAAATTCATGAAAGATATTAGTCTGTAGTTTTCTTTCTTTTTTGTACTGTGTTTGGTTTTGGTATTAGGGTAATACTAGTTTATTAGTCTCTTTGCACACTGCTTTAAAGAAATACTCGAGACTAGGTAATTTATAAAGAATACAGGTTTAATTGGCTCACATTTCTGCAGGCTGTGCAGGAAGCATCATGTTGCATCTGCTCAGCTTCTGGGAAGACCTCAGGAAACTTACAATCATGGTGGAAGGCGAAGTGGGAGCAGGCCTGTCACGTGGCCAAAGTAGGAGCAAGAGGGTGGGGGGGGGGGTGCTACACACTTTTAAACAACCAGATCTCATGAGAACTCACTCACTGTCACAAGGACAGACCAAGTGGATGGTACTAAACCATTCATTCATGAGAAATCTGCCTCCATGATCAAATCACCTCCCACCAGGCCCCACCTCCAATTTTGGAGATTACAATGGGACATGAGATTTGGGCAGGGAAACAGGTCAAACCATATCAACTGGCCTCATAAAATGAGTTGGGAAATGTTGTCTCCTATTTTCTGTAAGAGATAGTGTATAATTGGTGTTAATTATTCTTTAAATGCTTGGTAGAATTCTACAGTGATACTATTTGGACCTGAAGATTTCTTTTTTAGAATTTTAAAGTTACACATTCAGTATCTTTAATAGTAATAAGACTACTCAGATTATTTCATATTGAGGAAATGGTAGTAAGTTTGTGATCGTCAATAAATCTGTTCATTTAATCTGAGTTATCAAATTTGTGTGTGAAGAGTTGATCATAATATTCCTTTTATTATTATTTTGATGTCTGCAAGGTCTATGGTGATATTCCGTTTTATTATTGATATTGAGTTTGTGTCTTGTCTTTTTTTTTCTTCGTCAGTCTTGGTAGAGGTTTGTCAATTTTATTGATCTTTCTTAAAAAGCAGCTTTTTGTTTCATTTATATTTTGTTTTTCTGTTTTTAATTTTTGTTGTTTCTAAATTTTCTTAAGACTAAAGCTTAGATTATTGATTTGAGACTTTCCCTCTTTTCTAAAGTAAAATATTTGCTATTTATTTTCCTCTCAGCACTGATTAGGCTGCATCCCACAAATTTTTGTTATGTTGGATTTTGTTCTTCTTCTTCCTTCTTCCTTCTTCCTTATTCCTTCTTTCTTCTTCTTTTTTTTTTGACATGCAGTCTTGCTCTGTAACCCAGGCTGGAGTGCGGTGGCACAATCTCGATTCACTGCAACCTCCGCCTCCTGGGTTCAAGCAATTCTTGTGCCTCAGCCTCCCAAGAAGCCAGGATTACAAGCATGAGCCACGACGCCTGGCTAATTTTTGTATTTTTAGTAGAGACAGGATTTTGCCATGTTGGCCAGGCTGGTCTCGAGCTCCTGGCCTCAAGCAATCTGACCACCTTGGCCTCCCAAAGTGCTGGGATTACAGGCGTGAACCACTGTGCCTGGCCTAAATTTAGTTTTAAAAATTTCTCTTGAGACTTCTTTTTGGCTCATGAGATATTTAAAAGTATGTTGTTTAGTTTTTATGTAGTTTTTAGTTTTTAAGTAGTTAATGTAGTTTGTAGATGTTATTGGTATCTTTTTGTTATTGATTTCTAGTTTGACTTCATTGTGGTCAGAGAGTACATACTCTTGATAATTTCAATGCTTTTTTTTTTTTTTTCGAGATAGGGTCTCAGTCTGTCACCCAGGCTGGAGTACAGTGGTGCAATCGCAGCTCACTGCTGCCTTGACCACGGGGCTCAGGTGATTCTTCCACCTCAGCCTCATGAGTAGCTGGGACTACAGGTGCGTGCCACAATGCCCAGCTATTTTTTGTATTTTTTTTTTTTTTTTTTGTAGAGATGGGGTTTTGCCCTGTTGCCCACACTAGTCTCAAACTCCTGAGCTCAAGTGATTCACCCACCTCAGCCTCCTAAAGTGCTGGGATTACAGGGATGAGCCACCATGCCCAGCCTATAATTTCAATTCCTTTTAATTTGTTGAAGTTTGTTATGTGGCCCAGGATATGGTCCATCTTGGTAAATGTTCCATGGGTGCTTGAAAAGAATCTATATTCTACTGTTGCTGGATAGAGTGTTCTATAAATGTTGATTAGATTATATTGGTTGATAATGTTGTTGAATTCTTCTGTATACTTGTTGATTTTCTGTCTAGTTATTCTGTCAATTGTTGAGAAAGCAGTGTTGAAATTTCAACTGTAATTGTAGATTTGTCTATTTTTCCTTGCAGCTCTATCCATTTTTGCTTCATGTGTTTTCTAGCCCTGTTATTTGATATATACGTTTAGAATTATGTCTTGGTTAATTGACCTTTTTACTATTAGGCAATGTTTCTCTTTGTCCCTGGTAATTTTCTTGCTCTGAAATCTAATTTACCTGATGTTACTATAACTACTACTGTTTTCTTTTGATTATTGTTTGCATAGTATATTGTTTTCCATCCTTTTACTTCCAATTTACCTATACAATTATATTTGAGGTGAGTTTCATGTATACAGCACATAGTTGGGTCATTTTAAAAATACACTGTGCCAGGTCTTTTAATTGATATATTTGTACCATTTACATTTAGTGGAATTATTGATATTTTAGGTCTTAACACTGTCATTTTATTTATTTTAAAATTTTCTATGTGTCCTTTTTCATTTCTTTGTCCTCTTTTCCTTGCCTTCCTGTGGGTTACATGAATATTTTTTAGAATTCTAAATTTTTGATTTTTCTATAATGTTTTTGAGTGTATTTCTTTATATAGATTTTTAAATGATAGCCCTATGTATTACATTATATGTATATAATGTATCACAGTCTACTGAAGCCCACATTTTATAAGTTTGAATGATGTTTAGAGACTGTATGTCCCTTTAAGTCTATTTACTCTCTCCTATTTATAATTGTCTTAAATATTTCCTGTGTACCCATCTAGAACAATATCAATGTTATAATTTTTGCTTCATCTGTTCAAAGAGAAGAAAAATATATTTACCCATAATTTTGCTCTTTCTGCTATTATTTCTTCCTTCCTGATGTTCCAAGATTCCTTCTTTTTGTATTTTCTATCTCAAGAACTTCCTTTAGCCATTCTTTTAGCGTAGGTCAATTGATGAAAAAAAAACCTTAGTTTTCCTTTATCTGAGAATGTCTTGATTTCTCTTTCATTCTTGAAGGATATTTTAACTGGATATAGGATTCTGGGTTAACAGTTCTTTTCTTTCAGCACTTAAAATGTTGTGACACTTCATTCTGGTCTCCATGGTTTCTGATGATAAGTCTGTTGTATATTAAAATTGTTGCAGGTTGTCTCTTCTCTCTCTGCTTTTAAGATTTCTTTCATTGTCTTTAGTTTTTAGAAGTTTGATTATAATGTGTCTTGGCATGAGTTTCTTTGCGTTTATCCTGTTTGGGGTTTTCTCAGCTTCTTTAATGTGTAGGTTTACATCTTTTGCTAAATTTGGGAAAATTTCAGCCATGATTTTTTTGAATACATTTTCAGCCTCATCTTCTTTCTCCTCTCCTTCTTGGAATCCAGTGATACAAATATTAGATATTTTGTTATAGTCCCAGAAGTCCTTGAAACTCTGATTTTTTTTCCAGTCTATTGTCTATCATTGACTGGATTATTTCTATTGTTTTCTATGTAAGGTCACTGGGTTCTTTTTTTTTTTTTTTTTTTTTTTAAAGAAAACAAGGTTTAATGGACTCACAGTTCTACATGGCTGGGGAGGCCTCACAATCATGGCAGAAGACGAATGAGAGCAAAGGGACATCTTAGATTGCGGCAGGCAAAAGAGAGCTTGTGTAGGGGACCTCCCCTTTATAAAACCATCAGATCACATGAGACTCATTCACTATGCCAAGAACAGCATGGGAAAGACCCGGCCTCAGGATTCAATTACCTAAGGTCACTGGTTCTTTCCTGTGTCTTTCCCATTTTGTTGTAAGCCCACAGAGTTTTAAAAATTGGTTGTTTTATTTTTCACTTCTAAAATTTCCATTTTGTTCTTTATAGCTTCTTTTATGTTGCTGGAACTTTCTATTTTTCATTTGCTTCAAATGTGCTTGCAGTTGCTTGTTGAAGTATCTTCATGATGGCTGCTTTAAGATCCGTGTCAGATAATTTTAACATCTCTGTTATCCCAGTGTCGAAGTATTTTGATTGTCTTTTATAATTCAAGTTGAGAGTTTTTTGGATCTTTGTGTGATTTTTGATGGAAACCTGAATATTTGGGGTATTATGTGATTAGACTCAGGATTTTATTTAAATCTTCTGTTTTAGCTAGCCTCCTCTGACACTAGCTTGGCAGGAACGAGGGCAGGAGAGCATTGCTGATGCATTCCTGCCTCTTTTCTTCCTTGTTACTCCCAAGTGGGTGTAAAAATCCAGGTTTCCCACTTGTTCCTCCTTTAAATTAATTAATTAATTTTTAATGTTGGCAAATAAAAATTATATATTGTGTATATTTATGGGGTACAACATGATATTTTGATATATGTATACATTGCAGAATGGCTAAATTAAGCTAATTAACATACATATTACCTCACATAATCAATTTTTTTGTGGTGAGAGCACCTGCAATCTACTCTTTTAGCAATTTTCAAGTATATAAAACATTGTTATTAACTATGGTCACCTCATTGTACAATATGTTTTTTGAACTTATTCCTCCTAAGTATAATTTTGTACTCTTTGACCAACATCTCCCCAGACCCCTCAATGCCCACCCTCTGGTAACCAACATTCTACTCTTTGCTTTTCAACTTTTATAGATTCCATATGAAGTAGGATCATGCTGTATTTGTCTTTGTGCCTGGCTTATTTCCTTTACATACTGTTCTCTAGGTGGATCCATATTGTTGCAAATGACAGGATTTCCTTCTTTTTAAAGGCTGAATAGCATTCCCTTTTCCTTATCCATTCAGCTGCTGATGGACCCTGTGGTTGTTTCCATATCTCGGCTATTGTGAATAATGCTGCAGTGAATATAGGAGTGCAGATATCTCTTGGACATAATTGAATTCAATTCCTTTGGATATATACTCAGAAATGAGACTGCTGCATCTATGGTAGTCTTGTTTTCAATTTATTGAGGAACTTCTATACTGTTTTCCATAATAGCTGTACCAATTTACACTCCCACCAGCAGTGTACAAGGGTTCATTTTTCTCCATATCCTCATCAATACTTTCTATTTTTTGTCTTTTTAATAATCAAATAGCCATCCTCACAGGTGTGGATTTAATTTAATCTCATTGTGGCTTTAATTTGCATTTCCCTGATGGTTATTGATGTTGAGCATTTTTTCCATATACCTCATGGCCGTTTGTATGTCTTCTTTGGAAAAATATCTATTCAGGTCTTGTGCCCATACTTAAATCAGGTTATTTGTTTTCTCACTAGTGAGTTGTTTGAGTACCTTGTATATTTTTGATATTAACCATTTAGATGTGTCATTTGCAAATACTTTCTCCTATTCCATAGGTTGTCTCTTCACTCTATTGATTGATTTCTTTGCTCTGCAGAAGGTTTTTAGTTTGAGGCAATCCCATTGGTCTATTTTTGCTTCGTTGCCTGTGCTTTTGGGGTCATAGTCAAAAAAAATCATTGCCCAGACCAATGTCATGGAGGGTCCCCCAATTCTCTTCTCTTATAGTTTTACAGTTTTAAATCTTACATTTAAATCTTTAATCCATTTTGAGTTGATTTTTGTATATTGTATGAGATGAGGGTATGATTTTGTTCTTCTGTCTGTACGTATCCAGTTTTCCCAACACTCCACTCAACCTCATATGACACACACATGTCAGGATGGGGGTGCAGTTACTTGTTACTGCTCCCCATTGACAATGTGGAGCAGAATACATGTTTGTTACTGTTTGGCAGTGATCAAAGTTCTGCTTTCCGTTAGGTGTCTTCTGACACCACCCCAATAGGGATGAGGAGGGGTGTCTTACTACCACCAGATAGGGGTGAAAATCCAGAACCCCCATGTGGTTTCCAGTAATACCATGGGAGGGGAGGTCTTGTTACTGCTGGGCAGGGATAAAAATTTCTGGTTCTTCACTCACCCTTCTGTGACATCCTCTTTGGAAGAGCACCTTTTTTCACCTTGGTGAAGGTGGAAGTCTAGGTTCCCCATTAAATTTTTGCTGGTATGGGTAGGGATGGGGCCACAGCTTTTTTTCTATAGTGCTTGGCTGGAGTAGAGCTGTTATTGTGTAAATGTTTACTGTCTTGGTAGAGATGGTAGCAGTGGTCCATCTAGAGTGGCTACTGCCAAGACACTGGCTGCAGCAGGGAGGTGGGCTCGGGCCTCTAATTCCACAGAGCAGGCAGGAGCTCTGTCCCCCCATCCCCTACAGGGCTTCCAGCTCCACGGAGCAGGCAGTAGCTCTGCCCTTCCAGGCACAGGTGCAGCAGCCCAAACCGCACTGCAGACCTAGGCCTCCCACTCCATGGAGCAGGCAGGAGCCCCATCCTCCCAGATGGGGCTTCAGCTGTCTAAGTCATGGCTGCTGCTGCCCAAGTCGTGGCTGCTGATCAAGCCTCCCTGTGGTCTTGCAGGTCTGGAAGCAGGCAGGAGGCCTGCTCTCCTGGGTGCAGCTGTAGCCGCTCAAACCCTGGCTGCAGACTCAGGCATTCTTGCACTCTTGGGGGCCCAGGAAGGCCCCCCTGCCCTCACAGGCTCAGAAATGCCTGCTCCCACTGCCTGGTCTCTTCCTGCTCCCAGCACCAGCTCTGATCTTAGAGCAAAGTCAGGGCCAAGCCTAGGTGCCATGAATGGTAGCAAGAGGCAGATAGATTCCTGGGTGGAAGGGGGCAGGTTCCTAGGGAGGGCCTGAAGGGTGGAGGCTGAGCTGCCAGTCCCACCAACCGGAGTGGGAAACTGGTGCCTTTTCTGGGCCTGCCCATGGCCACCCATGGACCAACTGGTGTGCACTTCTTCCCCTCTGAGGCCCATAAAAGCCCTGGGCTCAGCCAGAGCTGAGGAGATGACAGGATGACCAGCTGCAGAGAGGAGCTACCCTCTTTGCTGAGAATTTCAGAGACCTGTAGAGACATCAGGATTACCAGCTGCAGAGAGGAGCAACCCACTCCAGTGCCTCCTCTTGGCTAGGAGCTGGGCAGGCATCAGGATGACTAGCTGCAGATTGGAGCTACCCTCTTCAAGACCTCCTCTCTGCTGAGAGCTGCAGATGACAGGACAAACTGCCAGCAGAGAGGAGCCACCCATACCAGGGCCTCCTTTCTGCAGACAGCTGAACACTTGATGGGACAATCTGCCTGCAGAGAGGAGGTACCCACTGTGGGTCTCCTCTGAGCTGTTCTAACACTCAATAAAGCTCCTCTTTGTCTTGGTCACCCTCCACTTGTCTGCATAACTCATTCTTCCTGGATGCAGGACAGGAACCCAGGCAAAGGCATCACTGGCTGCAGAAGTTTCCAGCCAGAAAAGCAACACCCCAAAGATCCTGTAACACTAGGCTGCCCCTTTCTTAGTTACTTGGTTGAGGGAGGCTTTTCCAGGAGCTTTTTTTCTGTGTGCCTGTTGGTGTTTTGGGGTTGCCAGCTTCTCCAGCACATGATCCAGAAAATATGAAGCAAAAAGAAAATCCAGGGAACTCACAGCTGTGTTTTTCCTCAGGTCCTGAGGTCACGAGCTGGCCTTACTTCTTCTTCCCACCTTTCAGAGTTGTCTTTTATTTGTTTTATAAACAATGTTCAGAGTTACAGCAGGAGTATAGGGCTAAGTGTCTCTTCTCCATCTTGTCCCTACAGTTAATTTTAATAGTTGATGTTTAGAGAGGTGAACATTCAGTTCCCTGAGTGCTATAGACATTGAGATTTACAAATTCACTTTCTATGCACCTGAGAAACAAAAGCAGAAGCAAGTCCCCTATTCTCTCAAAACTTCAGTTTCCTCAGAGTCTCCTGTGCCTCCAAACTGCATCCCTCTGGTCACAAGTTCAGCTCTGTAATTCATCATCTATTCAGCAAATATTTAATGTGTACCTACTCTTTGTAGTTCCTTATATAAGCCCTGGGGCTCACCAGAGAAAGAATTCAGGCTTCACTTTTCCTGTTCTGTCTGACTAGCTCAGAAGATTCCAAGGCAGCAAAAGAGCACAGGTAAGGCTAGGTTGGCAAGCTCTAGGAAGGCGAGGTGGTTTCTCTACCCATCCCTATTGAGTTCCCAGCCTCTTGCAGTTTCCTCTGACCAGTCCACAGACCTGGCCCAGTGCCTGGCACATAGTAGGTATTTAGTTAATATTTGCTGAATGTGTAACTCATTGAGTGGATGAATGAATATCTATATGAGAAAGAAAAGTTTGGAAAGATGAAGAAGAAATAAAAGGACAAACAGAGACTATGAAAGACAAAAAGAATGGCAGAGACAGAAACTTGGAAGCAAGACAGCAAGACAAAGTGATCCAGGAGCCTGACCCAGGCTCCTCTGCTCTCTGTTCTCAGTTGTAGGGATCTAGGCAGAGTGGGAAGAAAATTCTGTTCCACCAAAGTGCAGTTGGTTGGTTTTGAAGCCACCAGAGAATCCTGAGCATCTCTGCCCCAAGATTCTTGGAGGAGACCTATCCATCCTGAGTGTCAGGAAGAAGGACCACACAAGTACTTGCCTGGGCCTGGCTGAGGGTCCCACCCCTGTTCATTGTACCACAGTGGCACCTATGAACTACCACCCTTAGTATTCATGGAAGGCCAATGAAGGGGACAATGACAGTAGAATGGAAATTTGCATGGGTGGGCAGTGGCAGGCCACCTACAACTCAGGCCAGCCTGTAGGGCCATCTGTGGGTATCAGGAAGGCATGGAGACCCAGGGCTAACAAGGAGCCCTGCCTCTACCCTGTCATGTCCTGGGGAGGCCACACAACCTGAGAGTCTCCTCCTCATCCATGTGAGGAATCTGGGGCTGTTTCATGCCAGAAGGGGTCTTAGCAGGTCCACAGCCAGCAAACTTAGGCCATGAGTGTCACTACTTCCCTCCTTCTCTCTCTCCAAACCCCACCCCAAGGACCATGACTTGGTCCTTGTACTCTGTCTTAATGAGCCCTGAGCCACCCCCACGGTCTTCCTCCACCCTGCTCTCTGCCTGGGCATGGGATGAAAGTGTTCTCCCATAATGAACTTCAATTCACAGGATGGGCATGGATCTCCCAAGACCACACAGGAGCCAGAGGAGACAATGTAAAGGGCAGGCCCAATGGGCAGAAATGAGAGCATCTGGAAATGTGGAATGGGAGAGAAGTATGGACAGGAGGTCTTGAAAGCTGCACTGCCAAGTGGAGTCATGAGGGTCCTGAGCAGTAAATAAAATCACGTGGCCAGAGGGTTTGGGAGGGCCCTGAAATGATCCTGTGGGACACAGGGTTGCTGTGGACCAAGGCAAGAGCATTGGGAATGGAGAGTGGGGTTGGGACCAAGAGTCTCAGCAGAGAGGGAAAGGGATCTATAGGTTCCAGTGCTTTCATGCAGGATATGGGGGCCACAGAGAGTTCCATGGACAGAGGTGTCTAGGCTGGGCAGATAGAAGGCAAGGTGATGAGACATTCTTGAAGACCAGGAACCCAGCAGAAAACATGAGTCTGTTGGGAGAGGAGGACATCGCTTTGCGTGCATTGAATTTAGAAGCTGCATGAAGGGCTGTGAAAATGGAACTTCATGTGCTCATTGAATAATCTTGTGTTTGGCGGCCTCAGGTGCACTCAGAAGGTATATGGCTAGAACAGATCTTCACAGATTCAGAGCCATTGTCTTGGGTGAGGTGATAGGCACATGGGAAGGAGATGACTCGCATGGCATCTGCCATGCACACTGGGGCACTTGATACAAACCCAGGCAGTAAGGGAAGCACTAGAGCCATGGTGGGCTGACAGCAGAACTGGGGGCCAGGCACAGTGGCTCATGCCTGTAAGCCTGTAATCCCAGCACTTTGGGAGGCGAGGCGGGCGGATCATGAGGTTAGGAGTTCGAGACCAGCCTGGCCAATATGGTGAAACCCCATCTCTACTAAAAATACAAAGAGTAGCTGGGTGTGGTGGCGCACGCCTGTAGTCCCAGCTACTTGGGAGGCTGAGGCAGGAGAATCGCTTGAACCCAGGAGGCGGAGGTTGCAGGGAGCTGAGATTGAGCCACTGCACTACAGCCTGGGCAACAGAGCGAGACTCCGTCTCAAAAAAAAAAAAAAAAAAAAAAGTAGAACTGTGGGCCCATGGTGGGGCCAGAGTTTTCCCTGGACCTGCACAAAGAAAGATAACTCATCACTCATGACTTGTTCCTTTCTTCACCCACCAGATGCCCAGAAACTTTAACATACTTTGGACACTTCCTACCTTACTGCCATTGTTCCAAGTATTAAATCCTCAAAGTTACCAATGAAGTCATTTCTATTCTGTTTCCCTCCTAAAAGAAAACACTAAGGCCCAGAGAACTGCGACACACTGAATATTCAACTTCCCATCTTGCTGGCACATGTTGAACAGGCCCTGTAGCTCCTTTGCGGTATAATTCCCCTCCTCCCTGAATATGGCCAGTATTTCTCTGGTGGAGAATATTGTGAATTAACCTAGTTAAACCTATGGTTGTGTAATGACACCGTATTTGACGTATAGAACAGTTCCATTTCCCACCTCTCCTCCCAATTCCCCTGAACTCTTCTGTGGTGGCTTTTGATAAATTGAAGTTCTTTAATGAAATCCAATATATCAATTTTGTTCTTTAATGGACTGTGTTTCCTTTTGCAGATATATTTGCCCACCACAAAATCACTTATTGCTTGAATCTTTATTCTTTTCACATTTCACATGTAAACATGTGATTACTGTGAATTACTTTTTCCATAGGGATAGCCAATGGACATGCACCATGTGTTGAAAAGGCCATTCTTTTTTTTTTTCTTTTCTCATCCTGTGACTCTCAAGACCATTCTTTATTATATTTCTCTGACCTCTTTGCTTAAAATCAAGTGATTGTATATATGTTGATCTGTTTCTGGATTCTCCATTATGCTCCACTGATCTATGTAAGTGATTAATTTATTCACTTCTTTATCAAGACTGGGGTAAAATCATGTTAATCAGACAAGGCACTGAGATGACAGGAGATCAATTTGCAGCATTTTAAGATTGCACTTTTTTTTTTTTTTTTGAGACAGAGTCTCGCTATGTCACCCAGACTGGACTGCAGTAGTGCGATCTCGCTCACTGCAACCTCCGCCTCCTGGGTTCAAGCAATTCTCCTGCCTCAGCCTCCTGAGTAGCTGGGATTACAGGTGCCTGCCACCATGCCCAGCTAATTTTTAGCAGAGATGAGGTTTCACCATATTGGTCAGGCTGGTCTCGAACTCCTGACCTCAAGGGATCCACACGCCTCGGCTTCCCAAAGTGCTGAGATTACAGGCGTGAACCGCCATGCCCAGCCAAGATTGAGCTACATTTAAGATCTACTTCTGGATCGCCTTGATGTTACCTTAGGTGTGGACCTTGAGGTCACCCAGCCCAAAGTGTAGTGTATTTACTAAGGGGGCCCTTGACTTGGTTGGGCCTTGAAATTCAGTGTTTTCCTCTTTAGCCCTGAGAAACCAGGACATATGTTAGGGGATTTCTGCCCAACTTCTTATTCCCCTACTCAATGCAGTCCAAGAATCTGACAAATGCCTGAAGTGGAAGGAGAAACCAGGTGTTAGGGTCTCATCCTTCTACCTCCTTTCCCTGGGATATTGGCCATCCAAATCCTGACTGCTTGCCATCACACATTCCAATTTTGTCACTTCGTTTTGTTCACCTCTTGGTCTCTTAGCAGCAGCTCTACCTAGACCTCCCTGTGCCCGGGTTTTCAGGCTCCTTCGTGCTATTAACAGCCAAATGCCCACAGGCAAAAATCAGATAACGAATTCTGGCTCACCATGCCAGTTCACTTCCTTTTGCCATCTGCGCACTCAAATCCATGTTGCCTGGGCAGCTCTCTGAAGGTTTCATACAGATTAATTTTTTTAAATCTTATTTCCTTCTTAATCTGTTTTTCATGGGAGCACGAGTTTTCCACAAATCACTCCAACAGCCAGAAAAGGAAGTCTGGATCCCTGGTTTCAATGAGGTCTATATACTGATGACTCCCATATCTGTATACCCTTCCCTCCCTCACACTATATGTGAGTTAAAAACTGTATAACTGTTTGTCTTCTTAGCATCCGTACTTTTGTGTTTAAAAGGCAGCTGAGATTTTGCATGTTTGAAACAGAATTATCTCCGCTCCCACAAACACACATTCTCCCTGTGTTCCCACTCACAGTAAAGGCCACTAACATTTATTCCCTTGTTCAGGCCAGAAATCTCAGTGTTTTTCTGGATTTCTCTTTGCTAATGAGACTAACTGCCCTCATCTTCTCTGTAGTCCTTCATCACCCCCTTCACGGCTCAGCTAAAACACCATCGCCACATAAAGCTCTTCCTAAAATAACACTTCTCATCCAGCTTTGTCCTTCATGCTACTTTATTTGTCATTACCCTCAACAGCCCCTGTAATTAGATTTTAAATAAATTATTAAGTAAATTTATTTATTTATTTGCTTATTGTCTGTTTCCTTCTATGGAATAAAATTTCTTTGATGAAAGGAATATGCCCCTCTGATTCACTTCTGAATAAGCATAGTCCAGGCTTGTTTCTGGTGCATGTGATTTAATTATAACCTGATGAATGACGGGATGGATGAATAAATTCTAAGCTGATGAGAATTACGAGTTCTCTAAACATGGTTACTAGCAACTATGGCTAACACAGAAGAGCTCTTGCTTGATGTAAAGGCAAACACAAATTTAAAATGAGGCTTACTTCTGGTTGAAAATAAGGGAAGAGATTTCCCTCCCTTCCCTTTTCTTAGAGCATTTACTTTAGAAAATTTGTCACTGTAAGTTCTTTTTCTATCTTGAAATGCGTGTCAGCTGAGTACAGTGGCTCATGCCTATAATCCCAGCACTTTGAGAGACTGAGGCAGGTGGATCACTTGAGCCCAGAAGTTTGAGACCAGCCTGGGCAACAGGGAGACTCCATCTCTACAAAAAATACAAAAATTAGCTGGGTGTGGTGGTGCACACCTGTAGTCTCAGCTACTCAGGAGGCTCAGGCAGAAGGATCAATTGAGCTTGGGAGGTCAAGGATGCAGTAAGCCATGCTTACGCCACTGCACTCCAGCCTAGGTGACACAGTGAGACCCTGTCTCAAGAAAAAGAAAAAAAAAGCTTTTAAGAAGTTAAATAAGCTTCTTGCCAACTTTATGACCCAGGGATGTCTTTCTCAAAGACCTAGGAGCTGTAGGGGCACTACCTCCCTTGATGTTTACGTTTCAGTGAAATATAAGAGCATCCCTATCTCCCGGTTTCCATCAGGGGTAGGAGTCTAACTTCACTGGGTGCCTTGCTCCCGGTTGCAAAACTATCTCCTGTCATAAAGATCAAAGTTTATTTTGCTTTTGTATAAAACCACTACTAACACAGGTGGACACCCCAATTACCAGGTGAATTTAGGCTGAACTATGTGCAATAAATGGTGCTATCAAGTTCTCTTACTTGAAGACTAATTAAGGACTAATTACTGTTTATTTTTGAGAACATGTATGTAACAGATCGTATCTGCTTGGCTATATGAAAGGGTGAGATTTCTTTCTGTCTCTGCAATCTCTTAGTGGATCACCTGTGATGCACATCACATTCTGGTTGGGTGCTTATTAAAACTATTTTATTTCTCAGCTGGAAGTTGGGGCTCATGCTGGTAATCCCAGCACTTTGGGAGGCTGGGGTAGGAGGATCGCTTGAGGCCAGGAGTTTGAAACTAGCCTGGCCAATATGGCAAAACCCTCTCTGTACTAAAGAATACAAAACTTAGCCGGGTCTGGTGGTGCATGCCTGTAATCCCAGCTACTTGGGAGGCTGAGGCATGAGAATTGCCTGAATCCAGGAGGCGAACATTGCAGTGAGCCAAGATCGTGCCATTGTACTCCAGCTTGGGTGACAGAGTGAAACCCTGTCTCAAAAAATTAAATTAAAAATAAAAATGAAACTATTTTATTTCTTTTACCTTTGTGAAGAGGTTTTCTGAGTTGGGAGAATATTTTGTTTTTAATTATATATTTCCACAACACTGGCAAAGATAGAAAAAAAAATTTCTCTTGATATTACATGAATTTCAGACATATTCTAAACATGCTCATTTGTCCCCAAAGCAATATTCCAAAGGGCTAGATAAACATGAGTCACATCCAACATAAATGAAGATGAAGTCACAATCAAAGATCCAGCTACATGAGTTGGAAGAGGTTTAGTTGTGTTTCATATTTTCCCACCCTTTCATGAGGAAAAATATAGTAGAATTATAGAATTAGTTTTCTCAATAGAAAGAAATACAATATCAAAAAATACATAATATGTATTGCTGGACAATCCCAAACTACCACCTGCCTTTTTCTGAACAAAGTTATGTTTTTCAGATAAATGTTTGATAAACCCATAGAGTTACAGATGAGGCCTCCAAGGAGCTTTCTCAAGTGACAATTGACACTGAATATCTTAATAAAGAGAATAGATTTTTCTTGTTCTGGGGGAAGATATGCAAATTAGGAGAGGGCCTAATTATAGACAATTGATACAAATTTGAATGCTCACGGGTAGTTGTTTCTAGGGAGAGAAAGAGAAAAATCTAGACTTGGAGTAGATTGCAAAAATGGGTACAATTTCCCATGCCTCCTGGTGTGTGTGGTCCTTTACAATGAGACTTTGTAGCTCCTCCCAAGATGAGTCCTACTTCTCTACCTCTTGAATCAGGTCTGGCTTTGTGACTTCCTTTGGCCAATACAGAACCCCCAAGATGTCACTGTGCCATCTCAGAGCCTATGCCTCAAGAGGACAGGCATGCTTCCCCTCTCTCTCTGGGAACCATGCCCATTCCAAGCAATCCTGGGCTAGCCTGTTGGATGGCAGAGATGCACAGCCTCATTACTCCTGTCATACAAGTGGACCATCGTCATCCTCCAGCCACGTAAGTGATGCCACTCGAGACAAGCAGCACCCAAGTGACCTGCCGCTTGGCTGCAGATGCGTGCATGAGCCCAGCTGAGATGCAGCTAAGTCAGAAACGGATTAGAAGAACAGCCTGACTGAGCCAGGCCCAAATTGCCAACCCACAAAAACATGAGCTAAATAAATGGTTTATTTATAGCTGTAAAGTTTTGGGGGTGGTTTGTATGTAGCAATATAACTAATAAAACAATGCACAGTCAAATGCCTTTGACATCAGGATGCCTCTTGAATAAACTTCATATTCAAATTTACTTTCTAGCTAAGTCTTCACCATGATTTTGAAAGAGCCATATTTCTTTTTTTTTTCTGAAAGAACTGTATTTCAAAAACCCATTCTGTTTACATGAAAAATTTAAACATTGCTGAAGTTTTGCAGATCCGTAATTTAAGAAAAGAGAAAATATCTTCTGCTGACTAGATCATGGCAATAAATATAAACCTGCGAAATAACAGAAAAATCACATCATAGCTCAGGCACCATCATTCCACTCTAATATGAAGAAATCTGATGTTTCCCTTGCTCTCTTCTACACATGGGGATCACAAGGACCTTACTGAATCTCTGCCAAAGTCATATCCCAAGAGCCATTATTTAGGTTGAAGGTTGATATTTTCCATATCAATGAAGGTTATTCCAGTTTCTGGAACAGCAAGCACCACAATTTTTCAGTGAGATAAATTGCCTGAATCCAGAGATAACACATGAAGTTTATCTGCCACTGGCACAGGAGTCTGATGTGGCTCCACCATTCCTTGTGGCCTCAGAGCCTACTATATGCAAGTGGGATGAAAAACAGTGGAGACACAACCACGCCTTAACCACCCCGGCCCAGCAGTCACCCACAGGACTTGGTGTCTGGCAAGTGTGTCAGCTCACGGGTAGTGGGTCCTCAAAAGATCCTATCCAGATGCGAAGAGGATTGACACCTCTACGTGAAGGATAAACATGTTTTTGCCACATTCCACCAAATAGCATCTATTCATCTAAGTTTAATTTCACTATTTTTCTGGTGGAAAATTCTTCCCATTCATTGTAAATTGGTATTTAAATTGTTCTTCGTAAGTACCCATGATTATAAAAAAAATCAGCATTTGAAAAAGTGTATTTCAGGCCAGGCATGGTGGCTCACGCCTGTAATCCCAGCACTTTGGGAGGCCGAGGTGGGCGGATCAGTTGAGGTCAGGAGTTCGAGACCAGCCTGGCCAACATGGTGAAACCCCATCTCTACTAAAAATACAAAAATTAGCTGGGCGTGGTGGCGGGCCCCTGTAATTCCAGCTACTCAGTAGGCTGAGGCAGGAGAATTGCTTGAACCCAGGAGGCGGAGGTTGCAGTGAGCCGCGATGGTGCCACTGCACTCCAGCCTGGGTGACAGAGTGAGATTCTGTCTCAAAAAAAAAAAAAAAAAAAAAAAAAAGAGTGTATTTCTACTTCATGACTATTTTCTTTCATTTAGGAAAATCCATAATTTCTCCCCACAATTAGGTGTCTCAGTGGCTCTCAATTTGGTTAGCCACATTCTCCTAGTGAGAGTAAATCAGCAACTCTCAAACCACATGAGTGTAGGATGCCCATGGCTGATATTTATGATCTTGAAATCTTAAAGACCCCTGTTAAATGTCTTCTAATGAGAAAATGTCTTTTCCTGAAATGAATAAGGATTTAGAGAAAATATGATTCTCTGAACTTGCTCTGTGCTTTGAACACATTTATAAGCAACTTGGCAAGTTTCTCAGGTCCTCAATGAAGAGGAATAGAGTGGTTCCACTGATTGTCCTGGGGATGGAAGCTCTGATTCATTCACTAGATTGCACTGAGATGTGTGTCAGACACTGCTGGTGACCCCTTGGTGCTCCCTTGGCCCATCTGAGTTCTCCTGCAGCCGTAGGGCAGGACGGCTTCCTGTGTGTTATCATCTCCATAATATCTCACATCTGGGCATCTCTTCTCCGCCTGAGGCTTTCTGTGGTATCACATGAGCTTACTTGTTTGAACACAGGCAGGGACCAGGGCTGTGGGGGTAAAAGTCAAACACTGGGGCATGGGAGTTGATGGACAAATGTTGCAGCTTTACATTCTCAACTGGGAGGATTCCGAGTTTGTTTCACAGCATTTCTCAGCGATTCACCAAGTGGGAGTGAGCTCATTAATGCCACCTTGGATGGCTTTTCTACCTTCCTTGTCTCATTTCCCCATTTCCTCACTTTTGTTTTTCAGGACCATCTTCCAAGTAAAGGCTGGCTTTGCAAACTGGGGGGACTTGATCCACAAAGATTTGTGGCAAAAGGCAAATAGGTCTTGTTGTTCCTAGGGATGAGATGGGATGGGCAGCCAGTGATGATATTGCTCAGCTTCTATGACCAGAAATGACATAGATCAGGCATACAGAAGATTCATGTCAGCCACCAAACAGAAAGTTATGACCCCTCCCACAATTTTGATATCTGAACTAGTTCTTGCACATAGGGCCCATTGTTTGAATGGGGACCTGGGTGTCATTGAGAATGAAAGCAACAGAACCTCTGTAAGTATAGAAAACTTATATCTACCTAGTGTTTGCAGTAGGACCTCTGGCCATGGACCTGAGTAATAAACACTAGGGAAGGGAATATGCCTAGATTTATTGAGGACTATTGGATATAGATAATGAGCTCACCCTGATACTAGGATGATAAAAATGTTAAACTGGGGCATGTGGGGACCAGAGGATAGATGGCCCAAGTCAATTCTTTTTTTTTTTTTCCTTGAGACAGGGTCTTGCTCTGTCACCCAGGCTGGAGTGCAGTGGCGCGATCTCGGCTCACTGCAACC
Organism: Homo sapiens; assembly: GCF_000001405.40. Taxonomy (NCBI): domain Eukaryota; kingdom Metazoa; phylum Chordata; class Mammalia; order Primates; family Hominidae; genus Homo; species Homo sapiens. The sequence goes on along the minus strand of NC_000003.12, from coordinate 48,346,772 downwards.
TCCGCCTCCCGGGTTCAAGCCATTTTCCTGCCTCAGCCTCCCAGGTAGCTTGGGACTACAGGCATGTGCCACCATGCCTGGATAATTTTTTCGTATTTTTAATAGAGATGGGTTTCACCATGCTGGCCAGGCTGGCCTCGAGCTCCTAAACCTCAAGTGATCTGCCTGCCTCAGCCTCCCAAAGTGCTGGGATTACAGGCATGAGCTACCACGCCTGGCCCCAAGTCCATCTTCTGTTGGATCCAGTGGTTCTGCAAACTTACCCTATTGTCAGCTCCCTGGTCTATAATTATAAAATTATGATGGATGTACCTGGCAGCTGGCAGAGCACACATACTTGTTGTATGACCCATAAAGTAAAATCCATTACAGTAAGTAGAAGTAAGTGATTATTCCCAAAACTGCCTTGACTGATTAAAATAGTGTAAAGCAGAGTCATACTTCACTCAGGTAAAATTGCAGCCATGAAGATAAAGGGGATATAGGACCCATCATAGCCCAAGAATGGCTACTGCAAAAACAAGATGGATCAGGGCAGATGAGAGTCAACTACCCTAACCCTAACCCTGTGGTTGTTTCATAAGCAGCTGCTGTGCATATTGTGTTAACCTTACAGGACTAGATCAACAGGCTCTGGCAAGTGGTATGTGCCCATTTATCTGAAGAATGTGTTCTTTTTCATCTTTATCAGCAAAGATGATCAAAAGCGATTTTCATTTACCTAGATAAGAAAGCAATTCATGTTTCTCTCCAGAGATGATGGCAAATTTTCTGTACTATGTCACAATGTATCTGAAGGGATCCTGATCATTTTGACATTTTACTATACTGAGAACATCATGCTAATTGAATCTCATGGATAGGAAGTAGAAAGTTCTCTGGGTGACATGGTATGATGTATGTGTACCAGAGGATATGATAAATGCTACAAATCCTCTTTCCACTTTTAAAAGATTTAATAGAGTTTCTTATATAACAATGTTTGCCTCCACTTCCTAGACTTCTTCAAAACCACAGTTTCAATGAGGCTACTATAGCCATCAATCCCTCAAAAACTTCCTTCATGCTTAATTCAGGAGTTACTCCTATAGTGTTATATTAAAGTCTCTCTTAATAGTTTTGGACAAAATCAGCATTTCCTCTTTGTTAAGATGGCATTGGTGGGAGAAAAAAATGGTCCTTATGTATTTATATCTCCTTGGCAGTTCTACTCTTTTTAAAATACATATCTAATTTTCTTTTGTTAGTAAGAATCTTCACCGGGAAGTTCCACTCTTTCTTTTGTTTCTATTTCACTGTTTCTATCATAAATGTCTGGGTATTTAAGATTTGTGAGGAAGTATGTAGAATCACACATTCAGGGAAATTTATCCCTCAAAGGAACCATAATTCCATCTGGAAAGTAGAATTCAATTCTCTACACTCATTTATTGCATCTGAGGATATCTGCTTCCCATCCCTCTGGAAATTGCTGGAAAGTTTCTCCTCTAATTACTTTTGACAGTCTCTTTGGATATTTTCATTAACCACTAGTAGTTGTTTACAATAATTAATACCTTGGATGAAATGTTTTTAGAGAATTAGCATGATGTCCCTTTAGCCACTGTCATTACTGCTGCAGATGACATAATAATCACAGCTCTGGAAAGAGATGAGGTCAGAGGTTCCCAAAGTTATAACCCAGAGTTCAGCTGCTCCTGACCACACACAGATAGACTCTGACTCCTGAGCCACAGTCCTAGCAGCAGAGGTCGGTTAGATGAGTATTCATATATTTCAGGCAAGAGGAAATGTTGGAAAAGATGCCAACTGGGCTCTCCAATGAAGAAGACAAAGAGTTGTTCCTGGAATTGCAGATCTGATCAAGGTGCTTCCTCTTGATCAGCCTTAGCTATATAGCTTCCTATGTCTTCCAGCCAAAGTGCTGTGTGAATTTATCTACCTATTCTTGCTGATAAAAGTACTTTTATCATTGTAATCTGCAAAATAAACATTATAGCACACACATCTCAAGATATTTTAATACTGTCATGCACGGCATAACGTTTCAGTCCACAATGAATCACATATATGACAGTGGTCCCATAATATTATAATGGAGCTGAAAACTCTTTTTGCTAAGTGACATCTTAATGATGCTGACCCCATATAGGCCTAAGCTAATGTGCTTGTGTCTCAGTTTTTTTGTTGTTGTTTTTGGTTTTGTTTTTGTTTTTTGAGATGGAGTTTAACTCTGTTGCCCAGACTGGAGTGCAGTGGTGCAATCTCAGTTCACTGCAACCTCTGCCTCCCGGGTTCAAACAATTTTCCTGCCTCAGCCTCCCGAGTAGCTGGGATTACAGGTGCCTGCTACCATGCCTGGCTAATTTTTGTATTTTTAGTAGAGATGGGGTTTCACCATGTTGGTCAGGCTGGTCTCGAACTCCTGACCTCAGGTGATCCGCCCACCTTGGGCCTCCCAAAGTGCTGGGACTACAGGCATGGGCCACCGCGCCTGCCCTTGTGTCTTAGATTTTAACAAAAGTTTAAAAAGTGAAAAAAAATTAAAAAAAAATAAAAAAGCTTATATATAAGGATATCAAGAAAATATTTTTGTACAGTCATACAATGTGTTTATGTTTTAAGCTTACTGTTATTACAAAGTAGACAAAACATTTTTAAAAGTTTATAAAGTAAAAAGTTAAAGTAAAGGTTACTTTATCATTGAAGAAAAAAGTTTTAAATTAGTGTAGCCTCAGTGTTCAGTGTTAAATTTACAAGAGTGTACAGTAATGTCCTAGGCCTTCACATTCACCCACCACTCACTCACTGACTCACCCAGAGCAACTTCCAGTCCTGCAAGCTCTATTCATGATAAGTGCCCTATATAAATGGTACCATTTTTATCTTTTATACCATATTTATGCTGTACCCTTTTTATGTTTGGATATGTTTAGGTACAGAAATACTTACCTCATGTCACAATTGCCTACAGTACTCAGTACAGTAACATACTATACAGGTTTGTAGTCTAAGAGCCATACACTGTACCATAGTAGGCTATACCACTTAGGATTGTGTAAGTACACTCTATGATGTTCACACAACGATGAAATCGCCTAATGACGCATTTCTCAGAACGTATCCCCATCATTAAGTGATGCATGACTATAGTTAGATGAGATCATCAAAGCAATTATCAGATGAATTATGTTTAATATATGTTCGTCTACCACCTTCCCTCTGGGCCCTGGCTGGATGAGCCTGATGTATTTTTTTTCGTTGAGAAAATAATTCGCTTGAATGCTCATGAACAGGCTTACAGTCCCATTTGTATCGTCTTCAGTTAAGGATTAGTGGGCCTGAGAAAGTGTCCATCACTGCTGAGTCTGAGCCTATCACTGTATGTTGAACACCATGAAATCACTGGCTATGAAGTTCTTAAGAGAAGAAAGCAAACCTAACACTTGACAGTAACATCGGAGTTACTGGCCTTATTTTCATATAGCATATAAAGCTGAGACATTTCCACTCATACTTGACTTTTATGATCACCTTTATCCCATCACACATCCAAAATGTGACCTTGTCATCTTCTCTAAGCTCTAACAGACTCTAAAATATTGCAACATGAAAAGTGCCATGTCAGAGTAATGCCAAAGTGGCAGTGCTGCGTTGCTCGTGCAAAAAAAAAACTGTCAAAGTTTAGAGAGTGAGAGTGTACATGGATTTTAGGGAGACTGTTTCCTCAATTTTTAATCAAGTTCAGAGGCCAATGGATGATAATAAATCCATCCAGGCTTCTTCTGAGCTGTATTTACACTGCATTGTGCTTTTCCTCTTAAGCAATCTACTCTTTCTAATCATCTCAGCTCATATCTGTGTTCAAAGACCTGCTGTTTTAGAGAAGTACATGTTTTATGTAACATATGTATGCATTGTATATAATTGACATATATGTATATTATGACACATATATTATATATATATATATCATTTTTTTGAAGCACCTAATACCAAATCAATCCCTTTGGAAATTAAGCTTATATAGTGAGTCGTTATCTTTCACTAAATGATTATTGCCTATTTTGTTAGTCTTCAGTTTTTCTGTTTCAGATTCCTGCCCACTTTTATTGTTTGTTTATTTTTCTTAACTCCTTTTCTCTTACTTATTTGAGTGCTGTTATCCTGGCTTCTCTCTTTATCACAGATCCTTCTGTAGATTTTAAAAATCCGTTTTAGAAACTATTTTCATTTGTCATTTTTCATTATTTAGTCTTTAATGTTAGTCCAGCATTGATTCACTGAGGGAAAAAATCCTTCAATAGAAACATATAATCAAACATCACTCTTACCTTTATAAAAAAACAAAACTTCAAGGCCAGGCACAGTGGCTCACGCCTGTAATCCCAGGACTTTGGAAGGCCGAGGCAGGCGGATCATGAGGTCAGGACTTCGAGACCAGCCTGACCAACTGGTGAAACCCCGTCTCTACTAAAAATACAAAAATTAGCTGGGCATGGTGGCACACGCCTGTAATCTGAGCTACTCGGGAGGCTGAAGCAGAAGAATCACTTGAATCTGGGAGGCAGAGTTTCCAGTGAGCCGAGATGGTGCCACTGCACTCCAGCTTGGGCAACAGAGCGAGACTCCATAGCAAAACAAAACAAAACAAAAAGAAAAACAAAACAAAACTTCTTAATATTTCATCTCTACTATTACTATTCTGTGGAGCTCTAACTATCCATTCGCTCACTTCTTTTCTCTCTCTCTCTCTCTCTCCTTCTTTCTCCACCTGCTCAGCTGCTTATGTTTCTTTTTCTTTTTTTTCTTTTTTTTTGAGATGGAGTCTTTGTCACCCAGGCTGGAGTGCAGTGGCACATCTCGGCTCACTGAAACCCCTGCCTCCCTTGTTCAAGCGATTCTCCTGCCCCAGACTCTGGAGTAGCTGGGATTACAGGCACGTGCCACCATGCCTGGCTAATTTTTGTATTTTTGGTAGAGACGAGGTTTCACCACATTGGTCAGGGTGGTCTCGAACTCCTGACCTCAGATGATCCACCCTCCTCAGCCTCCCAAAGTGCTGAGATTATAGGCATCAGCCACCATGCCCAGCATGCTTGTCTTTAAATATCTTAAAAATATGCTGGCTTTCTATAATATGGCAAAATCTAAGTTGTTTGATTCCATGCCTTTGCGTTCTATGTCTCAAACTTAAATGATTTTCTAATCCAGACTCTCTTGTCACATTAAATATTCCATTAAATATGTACTTTGAAACTGGGATAATTTTCTTTTAATAAACACGCACATTTAGCATTCTATATCTTACCACTTTCTGAGAACTTGGAATGGAATATTCTGCAGTGTGGGTTAGATCTGGAAAGGGTTCAGATATTCTGAACCTTTCTGTCCCTGACTACTTAGATTTCATTTAGGATAATCTTCTAAGAATACCCATTTGCTGTTTAACACTGACTCTAATTAAAGTTGATTTTTAAAGTGTTTTATTTTATTTTATTTTGAGATGGAGTCTTGCTCTGTCACCCATGCTGGAGTGCAGTGGCACGATCTTGGCTCACTGCAAACTGCCTCCCATGCTCAAGCAATTCTCATGCCTCAGCCTCCTGAGCAGCTGGATTACAGACACATACCACCATGCCCGGCTAATTTTTGTATTTTTAGTAGAGACAGGGTTTCACCATGTCGGCCAGACTGGTCTTGAACTCCTGGCCTCAAGTGATCCGCCTGCCTTGTCCTCCCAAAGTGCTGGGATTACAGGCATGAGCCACCACGCCCAGCCAAAGTGTTTTAGAATTCTAAATTTTCCTCTGCCATCTTCCATAAAATGTTATTTCACATACAAATACTAGGAACAATATTAAAATTTTTCTATTTATGTGTGACCATATAGTCCTCTACCAACATCCTATTTCTTTTGAGAGAGTCTCACACTGTTGCCCAGGCTGGAGTACAGTGGCACCATCTCAGCTCACCGCAACCTCCGCCTCCTGGGATTGAGCGATTCTCCAACCTCAGCCTCCCAAGTAGCTGAGATTACAGGCATGTGCCACCACGCCTGGCTAATTTTTGTAATTTTAGTAGAGATGGGGTTTCACCATGTTAGCTAAGCTGGTATTGAACTCCTGGCCTCAAGTGACGTCCCTGACTCAGCCTCCCAAAGTGCTAGGATTATAGGCATGAGCCACTGCGCTCGGCCTAAAGTCTGATTTCTAAGAGATGAATTCAGAGTTTTTCCTGGGGATTCTAAGTATTAGCACAAAAAGATGATTCTTAACCATGTCTATTTATGTGAGATTCTGAAGTGTGGCCCGCACTATCTTAAGTCCTAACCTGGAGGTGCCTACCATGCCAAATGAAGGTAAATTAAGATTTTTCTGTGATTCATTGAAACCTGGCCACGTGTAAGGGAAAATTAGTCTTAATATTTTCTTTCCAGTGCCCCATCAGGAGAGCCTCACTTTCTTTTCATGTGTCAAATGACTGGTTTGGATTAGATTTCAGCAACCTTCAGGGTCTGACATTCTCGATTCTCAGTGATTAGTACTTGGGGAATTTAAAGTGATTGTTTAAAATATTAAATTTTAGTAATAATTTCATGTGTCATGTTAAATTTTATTAAAATATATGCATACAAAATATATGCATGCAAAGTACCTATATTTTGTATGCATACATATATTTTAATAAAATTTAACATGAATATATATATATTTTTTTGAGACAAGGTCATTCTCTGTCACCCAGGCTGGAGTACAGTGGTGTGAGCTCAGCTCACTGTAGCCTCAAACTTGTGGGCTCAAGCAATCCTCCAACCTCAGCCTCCCTGAGTAGCTGGGACTACAAGCACACACCACCACACCTGGCTAATTTTTTAATTTTTTTGTACAGACAGGGGTATTGTTATGTTGCCGAGGCTGATCTTGAACTCCTGGCCTCAAGTGATCTTCCTGTCTTGGCCTCCCAAAGCCTTGAATTACAAGCATGAGCCACTGTGCCCGGCTTAAAAAATATTTAAATATATATGATACATATAAACATTTACGATACCATGCCCATTCCAGAGTAGGCACTGAATAAATGTTTTCTTCAACTCTCTATATACTGCCTTTGTAATTATTATTATTATTTTTGTCATTTAATAAGCTAAGTAAGCTCTTGACTGTATCATTCATTTGAAAAACCAGTCAGGCAGCACTGACTAAATTGCCTGTAAACTGAGGCAAACGTTGTCTTTCTGAGCTTCTACCTGCTTGCCTCTTTCATTGGATAGGCAGATAAAAGGGAAACTATGCTAAGAACTTTTCTTAAAAGGACTTTGCCTGGTGTTGAGGAATCCACAAGCATTCAACCTAGCACAAGTAAAATATGCGGTGAGTTGGGTAAGGATGCACAAAAATTTGGACATGTTTCAGAAGGGTAAGAATTAGGGCATGAATCCTCTACCATTGCCACGGTTCACCTATAGGTCACCAAACTTTTGGTGTCCTAATTTCAAACCTCAAGAGAAGATGCCTAGAACAGGAGTAACCACAGAGTTTACTCCTTTCCAGAGCTTACCATTCATCTAAAGGTGGAAATAATCACTCAACGAATGAATGCATTCCCAATAACATTTCTGGTGGAGATCATTGAAATGGAGATCTATAAAGCAAGATAAGGGAATCAAATAATGGAATAAAATATGTATTAAGTCAGGGAGAGTTTCACTGAAGAGATTAGCTCAGCAGAGAACACTTCTTACTTCCTAATGTGATGATCTGTCCTGGAGAATGGTCCATGTGTGGTTAGGAACGTGTATTCTGCAGCTGTTGAATGAAATATTCTATAAATGTCTGTTAGGTCCTTTTTGTATACGGTGTAGTTTCAGCCCAATATTTCTTTGTTGACTTTCTGTCTGGATATTTCAACTGTTGTGACTGAGGAAGTGGGCTGGCTAGCTGCCACGGGCAAGGAGACTAGGTGAGTGCCTGTGACAGATGCTCTCTGGTGGTTCAGGGCCAACTCCAGGCCAGCTGTCAATCCTAGAGTGGGTGCTTGGGGCCCAGTGGCTGCAGGGGCCTCCCTGCGGTGTAGGTCAGCCAGTGTCCCTGGGTGATAGTGTGCCTTGTGGGTTTGGGCTTAGGATCCCAGTCATTCCTTTGGACCTACACTCTGGGCATCCAGGGTTTTGGTGCTGCAGGTACCCATGTAAATTTAGTGGAATTACGGCAGGACCTCAGGGATGGAGGGTTTTGCGGCTACTGGCCCCCAGGTATGCCGCACTACAGATAGGGGTCCCGTTTCAAGATGGCCCCATGCTAGCCGTTAAGGTCACGGGGATTGGGGATGTCAAGGGGGTTCCTGCTTTGGGATAATGTAGCCATGCAGACTCCTGGCAACTGTTCACATTGAACTCTGCCCCGTGAGGACAGGGGCAGTTGGGGGACACTCCTGTAGCAATGACTTCTGGCATCTGTGGTGGTGATGGGGACAGCCAAGGGTCTTCAGCTTACCTTTTCCCTGGAAGAAGTCCTCCCTGGCTCCCATCTGATCCTGGCAGGGGAGACAGTGTGCAGAGGCAGATGCCTCACTCCCCACCCTATGGCCCTATCCTGGGCTCCCATGCTCTGCAAGAGTTTCGCTCTTCTCCTGGTGCTCTCACATGCGCTTCCTCAACCACTCTAGACAAAATATAGTTGGTTATTTATTGTTTTGCTTCCTTTTTGGGGGCGGGAAGTAGGGGAGGAACAAGAGCCAGGCAACTCTAGTGTAAGCCATCTTGCTGACCTCACTCGCCTATCACAATGTTATTTCTGGTATAAAATTTGGAAGAACTTCCAAGACTTAAGTGACACTGCTATATAAAACTCTTTCAATTCCCGTCTACTTACTTATTGTAAACATGATTTTTCAGTGTGTGGAAAACAAAGAATAAATATAGAACTGATGTTGAGTCCTGAGTCATTCTAGCAACAAGTAATATTCAAGGGTAGATATTTAAACTAACTGAAAAGCATCAGCAAGCGTCAACCATGTATTACTCTGTTCTGGCACTGCTTTAAAGAAATATGTGTGGCCGGGCACAGTGACTCACGCCTGTAATCCCAGCACTTTGGGAGGCCAAGGTGGGTGGATCACTTGAGGTCAGGAGTTCAAGACCAGCTTGGCCAACATGGTGGCCAAGTGTCTCTACTAAAAATACAAAAATTTGCCAGGTGTAGTGGTGCATGCCTGTAATCCCAGCTACTCGGGAGGCTGAGGCAAGAGAATCGCTTGAACCCAGGAGGTGGCAGTTGCAGTGAGCCGAGATTGCGCCACTGCACTCCAGCCTGGGCGACAGGGTGAGACTCCGTCTCAAGAAAAAAAAAGAAAGAAAGAAATACGTGAAACCAGGTAATTTATAAAGAGAAGAGGTTTAATTGGCTCATGGTTCCACAGGCTGTATAGACTTCTACTTTTGGGGAGGCCTCAGTAAACTTACAATCATGGCAGAAGGCAAAGCAGGAAGGAGGCATCTCACATGGCTGGAGCAGGAGGAAGAGAACGAATGGGGAGGTGCTATACACCTTTAAACAACCAGTTATTGCAAGAACTTGCTACCAGGAGAACAGCACCAAGGGGGATGGTGTTAAACTATGAGAAACCACCGCTGTGATCTAGTCACCTCCCACCAGGCCCCACCTCCAACATTGGGGATTACAATGTCACATGATATTTGGTGGGGACACAGATCCAAACCAAATCAATCCATCACAGTAAGAAATGTATACTTACGCTGGACGCGGTGGCTCATGCCTGTAATCCCAGCACTGTGGGAGGCTGAGGCACATGGATCACGAAGTCAGGAGTTCGAGACCAACCTGGCCAACATGGTGAAACCCCATCTCTACTAAAAATACAAAAATTAGCTGGGCATGGTGGCGTGTGCCTGTAATCCAGCTACTCAGGAGGCTAAGGCAGGAGAATCACTTGAATCCGGGAGGTGGAGGTTGCAGTGAGCTGAGATTGCACCACTGCACTCCAGCCTGGGGGACAGAGTGAGACTCCATCTCAAAAAAAAAAAAAAAAAGAAAAGAAATAAATCTACCTCTACATCAAATAACTATCAAATTTTATAGTATACCTATGTTTTGATTGACATGTACTACTAACTGTGATAATAACTCAGTTCAAGAGAAACAGATTAAAACTTTATATCCTATGATCCCAGGAACTTTGAAAAATCCATTTATTTGCATATTTCTGATGATGAAAAGTAGAAAAGCATGATCAGTAACTCACCATCAAGCATAACATTGAAATAAAAGTTACATGGAGAAAGCAGAATGAAACGTTCATTCAAGGAGAAAAAGAAATGACATACAATTTCTAACTGAGTTCATCCATGTGGCTTTCAAATATACAATGTAAAATCAAATTGCCATAGAATGTAAATTCCATGGGTTATGTCTAAGATAATGATTTTTATTTTAAAATAGTAATATTTAAACTAGGCCAGTAATTGAGTTATTTGTAACTATTTAAACTTTTTTTTTAAGACAGTTTTGCAGGCAACCCCCTTTGGGTCCCCTCCTTTGTATGGGAGCTCTGTTTTCACTCTATTAAATCTTGCAACTGCACACTCTTCTGTTCCATGTTTGTTCCGGCTCGAGCTGAGCTTTCACTCACTCTCCACCACTGCTGAAAGCCAACGTCGCTGACCCACCATTGGCTTCCACACCTCCGGATTGGGCAGGGTGGCTGCTATGCTTCTGATCCAGCGAGGTGCCCATTGCCACTCCCAATCAGGCTAGAGGCTCGCCATTGTCCCTGCATGGCTAAGTGCCTGGGTTCATCCTAATCGAGCTAAACACTAGTCGCTGGGTTCCAGGGTTCTCTTCCGTGACCGACGGCTTCTAATAGAGCTATAACACTCACTGCATGTCCCAAGTTTCCATTCCTTGGAATCCGTGAGGCCAAGAACCCCAGGTCAGAGAACAAAAGGCTTGCCGCCATCTTGGGAGCGGCCTGCCACCATCTCAGGAGCTCTAAGAACAAAGACCTGCCTGGTAACAGCTGTTGGCCCGTACAGGTATTCTCCAAAGTGGTGAGTAATATTGAACCACTTTAGCTTGCTATCCTGTCCTATCCTTCCTTAGAATCAGAGGAAATACCGGGCACCTGTCAGCCAGTTAAAAATGATTAGCATGGCCACTGGACTTAAGACTCAGCTGTGAGGCTTTCTGGGAAAAGGCTTTCTAACAACCCCCAACCCTTTGGGGTTAGGAGCGTTGGTCTGCCTGGAACCAGCTTCCGCTTTCACAATTTCCTGGGGGGAAGCCGAGGGCCGACTAGAGGCAGAAAGCTGTCGTCCTGAACTCCCGGCATTGGCTGGTTGAGATCATGGTGCAGCCAGAAGTCTCTACTCAACAGTTGCCCACGTGTGCACCCCTACCTTTCCTTCTGACCCATACCTCCTGGGTCCCGACCATGACTTTCTTGAAAGTGTAGCCCCAAAAATTCTCCTTACCTCTGAATCTACTTCCTCCAATCCCTGCCTCCTAGGTACTAATGCTTCAGACTTTCATTTCCTCTCCCAAGTATTAGAGCAAGTTGTATCTCCAAAGAGATCTAAGGAAGCTCTATGCTGTGGCCTTAGATATCTAGGCTATGAACCCAGGGAGTCTTGCCCCTGGTGTCCCTCCCAATTTAGGTATATAGCTGTCAACATGGGCTGTTATGTGGGACCCATTCCCCACCACCCTTGCCAGGGCCCCAAGTTTGTAAATAGCTAGGAAGATCGCTCTCCCATTGTGTAAGATGCTCTCCTCCCCTAATTTCTACCCAGTTTACTACCCCCTGCAATACAATCTCCAAGCCTTGGCTCCTTGGCCAGGCCCTTAGAACTGATAACCCAGTATTTTAACAACTGGAACTGAGTCTACAACAACATAATAGATCAGGATGAAAACGAATTTGAGTAAATTAAAGGGAGGCACATGTTCCTATAGTGGCAAACTGGGGCAACAAGTGAACGTCCTTCCACTGCGTTTCCAAAATCCATCTAAAAAAAGACAGACAGAGAGAGGAAGAGGCAGAAAGTCAAAGAGAGAAAGAAAGAAAAAAGGGAAAGAGAGAGGTAGTAAAGAAAAAACAGTGTACCCTATTCCTTTAAAAGCCAAGGTAAATTTAGAACCTATAATTGATAATTAAAGGTCTTCTCCACGACCCTATAATACTCCAATACTACCTTGTTGTCAGTGTAAACAAGGGCGTAGCCCGAAAACACTGAGACCACTGACAACCCATAGCCTTCCTATCAAAAATCCTGAACCCAGTAACCCGTGGATGGCCCAAATGCATTCAATCTGTAGTGGCAACTGCTTTGCTAACAGAATAAAGTAGAAAAATAACCTTTAGAGGAAACCTCATTGTGAGCACACCTCACCAGTTCAGAACAATCCTAAGACCAAAAAAAAAAAAAAAAAAAGGTAGCTTACTAGCTCAAAATTCTTAAAGTATGGGGCTATTCTGTTAGAAAAAGGTGATTTAACACCAACCACTGATAATTCCCTTAACCCAGCAGATTTCCTAACAGGGGATTTAAATCTTAATTGCCATGCAAAGGTCCAACCAGACCTAGGAGGAACTTCCTTTAGGATAGGACGATAGATGGTTCCTCCCAGGCGATTGAGGAAAAAACCACAATGGGTATTCAGTAATTGATAAGGAAACTCTTGTGGAAGCAGAGTTAGGAGAATTGCCTCATAATTGGTCTGCACAAACTGCGAGCTGTTTGCACTCAGCCAAGCCTTAAAGTACTTACAAAAAGAGCAAGCCCATCTTTTTCTCCTCGCTCTCCTTCTCGTAGGAAAAAGGCACATAGGATAAACAGGAGCCATCTCTCATATTTCGTACCCAAAAGGACTTAATCCAGGGCAACAAAATCTTAAGTTCGATAATTAAGGCATATTCCTACAAAGGAAAAGGACAAAGGCCCTAGTGGGCAAAAACTCTATCTCAATCCTGACTCAAAAGGTTACCTACACCCTCTCTGAAACGAATTTGCATAAGAACTGTTGTTTATGAAAATGCATCTTGATGGGGCAACTGGGTTGTTATGAAATACTCAGAAACCCAGCCCAGCTCTAGAACTCACTCCTGAGTGCAAAGGCAATGTCAGGCACGCTGGTAAAGGACCACTAGAATCCAGCAGCCCAGACCCCTTTCTTTGTGGTCAAGAAGGGCAGGAAAACAGGTGCAGGACTGCTACATCGGTGAGTGTAACTAATCTGATAAGCAGAGGTCCGTGGGTGGTTACGCACCCTGAAAAGGAATAAGCATTAGGACCACAGAGGACGCTCTAGGACTAATGCTCATCAGAAAATGACTAGGGGTGCTGGCATCCCTATGTTCTTTTTAAACGTTCCCCCCTCCCAGGCAAAAACGCCCCTAAGATGTATTCTAGAGAATTAGGACCAATTTGACCCTCAGATGCTAAGAAAGAAACGACTTATATTCTTCTGCAGTACCCCTGGCCACAATATCCTCTTCAAGAGGGAGAAACATGCCCTCCAAGGGAAGTATAAATTATAACACCATCTTACAGCTAGACTTCTTTTGTAGAAAATAGGGCAAATGGAGCGAAGTGCCATATGTGCAAACTTTCTTTTCATTAAGAGACAACTCACAATTATGTTAAAAGTGTGATTTATGCCCTACAGGAAGCCCTCAGAATCTACCCCCCTGCCCCGGCGTTCCCCCGGCTCCTTCCCCAACTAATAATGACCCCCCTTCAACACAAACGGTGCCAAAGGAGATAGAGAAAGGGGTAAACAATGAACCAAAGAGTGCCAATATTCCCAGATTATGCCCCCTTGAAGTGGTGGGAGGAGGAGAATTCAGCCCAGAGTGTGTGTACCTTTTTCCCTCTCAGACTTGAAGCAAATTAAAATAGACCTAGGTAAATTCTCAAATAACCCTGATGGCTATATTGATGTTTTACAAGGGTTAGGACAATCCTTTGATCTGACATGGAGAGACATAATGTTACTGCTAGATCAGATACTAACCCCAAATGAGAGAAGTGCCGCTATAACTGCAGCCCAAGAGTTTGGCAATCTCTGGTATCTCAGTCAGGTCAATGATAGGATGACAACAGAGGAAAGAGAACGATTCCCCACAGGCCAGCAGGCAGTTCCCAGTGTAGACCCTCAATGGGACGCAGAATCAGAATGTGGAGATTGGTGCCGCAGACATTTGCTAACTTGCATGCTAGAAGGACTAAGAAAAACTAGGAAGAAGCCTATGAATTATTCAATGATGCCCACTATAACACAGGGAAAGGAAGAAAATCCTACTGCCTTTCTGGAGAGACTAAGGGAGGCATTGAGGAAGCATACCTCTCTGTCATCTGGATCTATTGAAGGCCAACTAATCTTAAAGGGTAAGTTTATCACTCAGCTGCAGACATTAGAAAAAAACTTCAAAATCCGCCTTAGGCCTGGAACAAAACTTAAACTAAGAACTTGGCCTCAGTTTTTATAATAGAGATCAGAAGGAGCAGGCAGAACTGGACAAACGGGATAAAAAGAAGGCCACCGCTTTAGTCATGGCCTTCAGGCAAGTGGACTTTGGAGGCTCTGGAAAAGTGAAAGGCTGGGCAAATCGAATGCCTAATAGGGATTTGATTCCAGTGCGGTCTACAAGGACACTTTAAAAAAGATTGTCCGAATAGAAATAAGCCACCCCCTCATCCATGCCCCTTATTTCAAGGGTATCACTGGAAGGCCCACTGCCCCAGGGGATGAAGGTCCTCTGAGTCAGAAGCCACTAACCAGATGATCCAGCAGCAGGACTGAGGGTGCCTGGGGCAAGCGCCAGCCCCTGGCATCACCCTCCCCAGGTATGCTTGACCACTGAGGGCCAGGAGGTTAACTGTCTGCTGGACACTAGCGCGGCCTTCTCAGTCTTACTCTCCTGTCCCAGACAACTGTCCTCCAGATCTGTCACTATCCGAGGGGTCCTAGGACAGGCAGTCACTAGATACTTCTCCCAGACACTAAGTTGTGACTAGGGAACTTTACCATTTTCACATACCTTTCTAATTATGCCTGAAAGCCCCATTCCCTTGTTAGGGAGAGACATTCTAGCAAAAACAGGGGCCATTATACACTAGAATTAGGAGAAGAAAAAAAGGTAAATATCTATACAGACTCTAAGTATGCTTACCTAGTCCTCCATGCCCACGCAGCAATATGGAGAGAAAG
Organism: Homo sapiens; assembly: GCF_000001405.40. Taxonomy (NCBI): domain Eukaryota; kingdom Metazoa; phylum Chordata; class Mammalia; order Primates; family Hominidae; genus Homo; species Homo sapiens. The sequence goes on along the minus strand of NC_000003.12, from coordinate 48,331,542 downwards.
AGAATTCCTAACTTCTGAGGGAACACCTATCAAATATCAGGAAGCCATTAGAAGATTATCATTGGCTGTACAGAAACCTAAAGAGGTGGCAGTCTTACACTGCAGGAGTCATCAGAAAGGAAAGGAAAGGGAAATAGAAAGGGAACCGCCAAGCAGATATTGAAGCCAAAGAGCCACAAGGCAGGACCCTCCATTAGAAAGGCTTATAGAAGGACCCCCTAGTATAGGGTAATCCCCTCCGTGCCGCTATACTACCAGTAGCTCCCCTTACCAAGAGCTTCTATGGAGAATGCGGCTTCCCGGAAATATTGAAGCCCCATCTTATAGGAGTTTTTCTAAAGGAAACCCCACTTTCAGCCCCACACCCATATGCCCCTGAACTTCAGGCCATACATTTCAATCCCTGTATCTTTAACCTCCTTGTTAAGTTTGTCTCTTCCAGAATCAAAGCTGTAAAACTACAAATGTTCTTCAAATGGAGCCCCAGATGCAGTCCCTGACTAAGATCTACCAGGGATCCTTGGACCGGCCTGCTAGCCCATGCTGTGATATTGATGACATCAAAGGCACCCCTCCCTAGGAAATCTCAACTGCACGACCCCTACTATGCCCCAGTTGAGCAGGAAGCAGTTAGAGCAGTTGTCAGCCAATCCCCCCAACAGCACTTGGGTTTTCCTGTTGAGAGCGGGGACTGAGAGACAGGACTAGCTGGATTTCTTAGGCTGACTAAGAATTTGTAAGCCTAGCTAGAGAAGGTGAACGCACCCACGTTTAAACAGGGGCTTGTAACTCAGCTCAAGCCCGACCAATCAGGTAGTAAAGAGGGCTCACTAAAATACAAAATAGGCTAAAAGCAGGAGGTAAAGAAATAGTCAAATCATATATCGCCTGAGAACACAGGGGAGGGACAATGATCGGGATATAAACCCAGGCATTCAAGCAGGGAGTGGCAACCCCCTTTGGGTCTCTTCCCATCATATGGGAGCTCTGTTTCCACTCTATTAAATCTTGCAACTGAAAAACAAAAAGACAGTTTTGCTCTGTCTCCCAAGCTAGAGTGCAGTGGCGCGATCTCGGCTTACTGCAACCTCTGCCTCTTGGGTTCAAGCGATTCTCATGCCTCAGCCTCATGAGTAGCTGGGATTACAGGCACGCACCACCACGCCCAGCTAATTTTTGCATTTTTAGTAGAGACAGGGTCTCACCATGTTGGCCAAGCCGGTCTCGAACTCCTAGCCTCAAGCGATCCGCCTGCCTCAGCTTCCCAAAGTGCTGAGATTACAGGCTTGAGCCACAGTACCCAGCCTATTAAAATTTCTGATGGAAAATTTTACATGTAACTTAAAAATATATATAAGCAGGCACCAAATTTAGAGGGATTAAAAGCAAAAATTCTGAAGACCACCATGGTAGACACTGTGGTTGATCAGAGCAGTGCTGAGAAAATACACTTGACCTCCCAGAACTATGTGGCATGTCCCCAGTTAAGGCCATTCATTTAGGACTTAGACCTGAGGAATTTATGATAACCAATAACTTCTGAACTTCTGCTTTAAAAAATGTTAGCGTTTTGAGAAATTTTTGTTCAAATGGTAGAACAAGCTATCATTTAAGGGAAATGAGCACTCTATCTCCAGATTTCTCAGCTCTGCTAAATAAGACTGAACTTGGAGGATTCCATATAAGGTAATTTTCTACTTTAAAACCCTGTGAGTCAGGCCAAATCAGTGGCTTACACCTGTAATCCCAATGCTTTGGGAGGCCAAGCAAGAGGGTCACTTGAGGCTAGGCGTTCAAGGCTGCAGTGAGCTGTGATTATGCCACTGTACTTCAGCCTGGGCAACAGAGAAAGACCTTGTCTCTAAAGAAATAAAAATAAATAGAACCTCTATAAGTCAATATAGAAATAATCTAAAGCAGATGCTTCAATAAAGTGAACACTTTTGACTTGATAAAATAACTGCACATGCAGATGTGGTACTTTATAATATTGTGTCAATATCTGAAGCCGTCTTGAATGTAATAATTATAATGCAAATTAAAATGTAGGAATTCAAAAATTGTCTATGACATATGTCTAAAATGGTAGGTTCAGCTTTGGCAAGAACAGCTAGATTTGGGAGTAGTACTGGACAGTACATATCACCCTCAGAAATTTGAAATATGAACTCACAAGATTTAGGCATTACAGAATTTAGAGTTGAAAGAAATAGATTTGAGTCATATCTACACTTCCTAATTTCAAAGCTCACTCTCTTCTACTTCCAGGCATTGGAACCTTGAAAAGACAAATAAGCTTTGCCTTCCTTCCTAGTTCATTATGAACAAACTATCAACAAAAACCATCCTGTTCAGCCAGTTTCTCAGAGCAACCATGGGAGTCACAGCAGGTAAAGTGGACTTCTTAATTTGCAAACTTTTAAGGGTTGTATTATTTATTACTTGGTTTTTTCCTCAGGGGAGGCCTTGGGTAGAAATTACCTCGATATAGAATGAAAAATGTTTGCCTGGAAAATGTGTAGGATGAAGAGAATAGAAACCAGTAATTAAAATATCAATTGGTATGTACTATAATAATTTCAATAATGCAAGTAAGCTGTTGGTAAATATACTATGGTTTTCCTTTCAGTAATTTTACTGGATACTAAGTATTAACACCAAGTAACAACATTAGGGAAGATTACAAGTAAAGGAGTGAGGTTTTGGTGTTTTGTCCCTTCTTGTTTCTTATTGCCTGTTGACTTACACATGTTGTTGAGTGACTGCTCTTCAGAAATGGGGTCCTGCTATGTTGCCCAGGCTGGTCTCGAACTCCTGGGCTCAAGTGATCCTCCTGCCTTGGCCTCCCAAAATGCTGGGATTACAGGCATGAGCCACCATGCCTGGCTACTTTTAAATATTTTATTGGAAAACTCTTAGTATTTATTCTTTCCCTTGGCAAGCATTCTTTACTAACTCTTTTTCTGGCATCTTCTAAAATTCTGTTTTTAAGATTTTTTTTTCAAATGTCCAAAGATTTTAGGGAAATGAATTAAACAATTGAGTTGCATCAGACACAATTCATTCCAAATGACCTGAGGAAAGAACAAAGTATTTAGACTTCATTTCCTGGTCAGTGAGGGATCTCTGTGAGAACTTGTACTTCGCATAGATGTTTGTCCTACATCAAAAGTTGCATATTTCCACAGTTCTTCTGTCACCATGAAGGGGATCTGCTCAGACGCCATCCTTGTTCTAGCTACCTCCATGTGGATGGCCTTTGCAATTGGTGAGTTATGTGTCCTTGCTCTGCCCACATTTTCTGCAGTAAATCTAGAATCATGGGAAGATTAGAGATGGAAGTGGAAGTGCTGTTCAGTTTTATTTAATCCTAATTTCTCATGTTACAAATGTAGAAATTAAAACCCAGAGAAAGGATTCATACAATGTTGCTACTATCAAAGCTGGGATTTGAATCCAAACCATCCAAGTCCAGGAACATTGAACTTCCCAAAATGCCAGGTTACTACCTAAGATATTTAAACCTCAGAAATGTACATTTCTAGAGTTTGTATATTTACATATCTCAAATCAAAAAAAGAAACTCATTAGACTATGTGGAAGTAGACTCAGATATTATTCTGGTTAATGGCGGGTTTTAGCAAAAGTCATGCTTATAGTTAACAGTAGGGAATCTCTGAAGGCCTCAACATGTTGTTTTTCTATTCGATTTCTGCAACTCTTTCCTACTTGTCTTCAATCTCTTACTTTCCATTGGTACGGCGTCTCACTTAAAACATTTTTTTCAAGGCTCTCACATCTTAGGAGAGTTCTGTAACAAGCTGAAAACTATTTTTCATGACTCTCATATCTTACGTAAAAAACAAATAAGCCTGGTCCCTCTCCTCCCCTTCCCTCTCCAATTTAATCATCTGTTGACAAATCTAGGTATATTTCTACACTTCCTCACCTTTCATTCAATCCTCACCCCCACTGCTACTGAGCATATCAGCCATTGGCATCAGCCTCCCTGCAAGCCTGCTGTGTTCCCTTCTGGCTGAGTCTCATCCTCTGTCGGGAACACACCATAACTCAACCAAAGTGGACCACTCCATCTTTCTTGCAAATCACCCTTTCCTTGTTCTTGTAGTTGTATGGCCTTATATTTTTGCCTCAAACCTATTTCTCCCCTGTATGCCCATAACCAGTGACTAAGTTCGGTTGATAGAACACTTCATATATCATGTAAATTCATGCTTTTCCACATTTCCACAACAGTGACTTCCTCAGTGAAGGTTCTCATCATTTCATGAAAATATTTTTATATTCTCCTTAACCGTTCCCTTTGCCTCTAACTTGACTTACTCTAACCCATGTACCACTGCTACAATAGTTGTCATTTTTAGTGCAAATCTTATCTTAGTTCTGCTGTAATAAACACAAAGCCTTTGTGATGTGGCCCTTACTACTATGCTGGGTTTCCCAGCACCCATTTATTTACATATCCAATAAATATATACTGTGTGTTGACCTTATGCCAGTAACTGGGCTAGACATGGGTTATGTGTCAGGAGTGGTACCTGAACACACCAGTGGTGGAAGATATATAGATATCATAGTTCATACCTAATATTAACACACTTTTTTTTTTTTTTGAGACAGAGTCTTGCTGTTACCCAGGCTGGAGTGCAGTGGTGTGATCTCAGCTCACTGCAACCTCCACCTCCTGGGTTCAAGCGAGTTTCCCACCTCAGCCCCCAAAGTGGCTGGAACTATATGCATGTGCCACCATGCCTGGCTAAATTTTTTTTATTTTTAGTAGAGACATGGTTTGACTATGTTGGCCAGGGTGGTCTCGAACACCTGACCTCGAATGATCCATCCGGCTTGGCCTCCTAAAGTGCTGAGATTACAGGCATGAGCCACCTCACCCGGCCACACCTTTTTTTTTTTTCTTGAGACAGAGTCTCCCTCAGCCACCCAGGATGGAGTGCAGTGGCACCATCTCAGATCACTGCAACCACTGCCTCCCAAGTTCAAGCGATTCTCCCATCTCAGCCTTCCAAGTAGCTAGGATTACAGGCATCTGCCATCATGCCCAGCTAATTTTTGTATTTTAGTAGAGACAGGGTTTCACCATGTTGGTCAGGCTGGTCTTGAACTCCTGACCTCAGGTGACCTGCCAGCCTTGGCCTCACAAAGTGCTGGGATTACAGGCGTGAGCCACCGCGCCCGGCCAGACCACACATTTTGATAAATGTTTCAAAAGGTAGGAACAGCAAGAATGTGTAGAACTTAAGCCACTGCCTATCTTTCCCCTTCCCTTCCCAGCGCAGTGTGAGGGAAGATCTACTCTGGACAGATATGGCCAAGATGAGTTTTTCTTCTCTCCCTAAGCTTACAGGGGGCAATGGTATATCTCCCTCAGAAGGACACGTCGTCAACATTTTTCATTCCCCCCATACCTTTGTGTTGCTGAGGCTAAATTCCAGGAAAGTGAGTCCCAGAGGCAGGGTTCTCTTTTTTCCCACCCATCTCCTACTTGTGAGACTGAGGCTCCATCCCAGGTGAGGCAGACTGAGAGTAGTGGGGCCCTGATGGCCCTCACCCTAGCTTAGGTCAGCCCAGTGTCTCAAAAAAAAAAAAAAGAAAAGAAAAGAAAGGACGGTTGGGCATGGTGGCTCATGCCTGTAATCCCAGCACTTTGGGAGGCCAAGGCGGGCAGATCACCTGAGGTCGGGAGTTTGAGACCAGCCTGACCAACTTGGAGAAACCCCATCTCTACTAAACATACAAAAGTTAGCCAGCCATGGTGGTGCATGCCTGTAATCCCAGCCTCCCATCTCAGGAGGCTGAAGCAGGAGAATCACTTGAACCTGGGAGGCAGAGGTTGCAGTGAGCTGAGTTCGCACCATTGCACTCCAGCTTGGGTGACAAGAGTGAAACTCACTCTCAAAAAAAAAAAAAAAAAATTAGCCAGGCATGGTGGTGCAGACCTATAGTCCCAGCTACTGGGGAGGCTGAGGCAGGAGAAGCACTTGAACTAGGGAGGTGGAGGTTGCAGTGAGCCAAGAATGTACCAGTGCACTACAGCCTGGGCAACAGAGTGAGCCGCTGTCTCAAAAAAAAAAAAAAATTACAACGTTACATTAAAAAAATACTTACTTACTTAGTGCAACACAAACCAGTGAAGGAGGACTTGAGAAAAAAGGAGACATACACAAAACAAAAAGTAAAATGGCAGGTGTAAGTCAATCCAACTATATCAATAAAAAAATTAAATGCGAATGAATTACACAATCCAATCAAAAGGCATAAACTGTCAGACTGAACAAAAAAAAACCAACATCCAACTATATGCTTTATATGGAGATACTCCTTAGATTCAAAAACACAAATAAGCTGAAAGTAAAATGATGAGAAAAATATATCATGCAAACTGCAACCATAAAAAGTTGGAATGGCTATACTAATATCAGACAAAATATACTTCAAAACAAAAATGTTACTACAAATGAAGAGAGACATGTTATGATAAAGGGTCAGTCTATCAGGAAGATAAAACAATTATGAACATATATGCACCTAAAAATAAAGCCCCAAATATATGAAGCAAAACTAACAGAATTGAAGGGAGAAATTGATAATACAACAATAATGGTTGGAGACATCACCTCAAACTTTCAATAATGGCTAAAACAACTAGACAGAAGACCAATAAGGAAATAGAAGACTAGAACAACACTATTAACCAACTAGACCCAACAGACATCTACAGACTACACCATCCAACAACATCAGAATACACATACTGCTCAGGTGCACATGCAGTGTTCTCCAGGATAGGCCATATCCTAGATCATAAAACAAGCCTCAATAAATCTAAAAGGATTGAAATCATGTAAAGTAATTTTTCTACTATATAGAAATGTTTATTTGAATGTATTCTATATGTTCTTTATGTTAGAGAACATATAGAAATGTAATATATTTGATAATAGCACAAAGGGGGTGAGTGGGAGCAACGTTGCTCTCACCACTACTATTTAACATTGTACTGGAGGTTCAAGCCAGGGTAATTAGGCAAGAGAAAATGAATAAAAGTTATCCAGATAGGATTGGAAGAAGTAAAATGATCTCTGTTTGTAGATGACATAATTTTGTGAATAGAAAGTCCTAAGGAATACTCTAAAAACTGTTAGTGTTAATAGCAAGTTTGCAGAATACAAGAGCAATATACAAAAATCATTTGTATATCTATACACTACTAATGAACATCCTGAAAATGAAATTAAGAAAACAATTTCACTTACAATAGCATCAAAAATAATAAAATACCTAAGGATAATTTACCAAAGGAGGTGAAAGACTTGCACACTGAAAACTACAAAACATTGATGAAAGAAATTAAAGAAGACCTAAACCAACATAAAGATATCCCATCTTCATGGATTGGAAGACTTAACATTGTTAAGATGGCAATATTCTAGAAATCAATCTACAGATTCCATGCAAATCCTATCAAAACCACAGCTGGCTTTTTTGCAGAAATGGAAAAGCTGATTCTAAAATTCATATGGAAAAGCAAAAGACTGACAATAGACAAAATAGACCTCAAAAAAAAAAAAAAAAGTTGAAGTACTCACACTTTTCAATTTCAAAGCTTACTACAAAGTTACAGACATCAAGACAGTTTGGTACTAGCATGAGAATAGAAATACAGGTCAATGTTTCAGTCATACGTTTTATGAAAAAGAAAAAGAAATACAGATCAATAAAATATAAGAGTCCAGGGGAAAAACACCTTACATTTGGAGTGAATTGATTTTAACAAGCTCTGAAGACAATTCAGTGGACAATAATCTTTTTAAACAAATGCTGCTAGGACAACTGGATATCTATATACAAAAGAATAAATGTGGACCTTTTCCTCACACCATGGACACAAATTATAATGCCTCAACATGGATCACAGAACTAAATGTAAGAGCTAAAATTATAAAACTATTAGAAGAAAACAATATGAGTGAATTTCGTGACCTTGAATTAGGCAAAGCCTTCTTAACGATGGCACCAAAGGCAGAAAGGAACAACAAAAACAAAAAGATCAATTGGACTTTTAAAAACTTTTGTGATTCAAATGATACCAATAAAGATACCAATATGGCCAGGAGTGGTGGCTCATGCCTGTAATCCCAGAACTTTAGGAGGCTGAGGCGGGCAGATCACCTGAGGTACTGAAAATACAAAAATTAGCTGGGTGTGGTGGTGCACACCTGTAATCCCAGCTACTCGGGTGGCTGAGTCACGAAAATTGCTTGAACCTGGGAGGTGGAGGTTGTAGTAAGCAGAGATCACGCCACTGCACTCCAGCCTGTGTGACAGAGCGAAACTCTGTCTCAAAAAACAAAACAAAACAAACAAAAACAACAGAGATACCACTTCACACCTACTAGGATGGCTATAAGAAAAAAGAAAGATAGTAACAAATGTTAGCAAAGATGTGAAGAAATTGAAGCCATCGTGCCTTGCTGATGGGAATGTAAAATGCAGCTGCTTTGGAAAATAGCCTGGCAAGTCCTTAAAAGGTTGGAATATGACTGGCAATTCCACACTTTGTATATACTTAAGGGAAATAAAAACACATGCCCACACAAAAATGTGTGCATAAATATTCATAGCAGCTTTATTCATAATAGCAAAAAAGTGAAAGCAACTCAAATGTCCATTAACTGATTAATGGATAAATAAAATGTGGAATATACATACATTGAATATTATTTAGTTATAAAAAAGAATGAAGTACTGATACAAGCTACAATATAGTTAGAACATTAAAACACAGACACAAAAAACCATATACTTCGTTGCATGACTCCATTTATATGAAATGTCCAGAAAAGCAAATCTACAGAAACAGAAAGTAGAGGCTGGGCTTGATGGCTCATGCCTGTAATCCCAGAAATTTAAGAGGCTGAGGTGGGCATATCACCTAAGGTCAGGAGTTCGAGACCAGCCTGGACAACACGGTGAAACCCCGTCTCTACTAAAAATACAAAAATTAGCTGGGCATGGTGGCATGCACCTGTAATCCCAGCTATTTGGAAGGCTGAGACAGGAGAATCACTTGAACCCAGGAGGCCGAGGTTGCAGTGAGCTGAGATCGCGCCACTGCACTCCAGCTTAGGCGACAGACCAAGATTCTGTCTAAAAAAAAAAAACAAAAAGAAACAGAAAGTGGATTATTGTTTTTCAGGGGCGAGGGTGGGGCAGGAGGGGAAATAGTTGGAAGAGGGGCATGATAAATGACTGCTAATGGTTACAGGGTTTCTTTTTGAGGTGATGATGGCATAACTGTGAATATACTAAAAACCATCAAACTGTAAACTTTAGGTGAATTATTTAAAAAGAAAAAAATCCTCTATATGATGGTAAAAATTGGTAAATTCAGCTGGGCATGGTGGCTTACATCTGTAATCCCAGCACTTTAGGAGGCTGAGTGGGAGAATTGCTTAAGCCCAGGAATTCCAGACCAGCCTGTACAACGTAGTGAGACCTCAGCTCCACCAAAAAAATCAAGAAAATAAGTTGGTCATAGTGGTGCATGCCTGTAGTCCCAGCCACTTGGGAGGCTGAGGTAGGAGGATTACTTGAGCCCAGGTAGTTGAGGCTTCAGTGAGCTGATATCGTGTCAATGCACTCCAGCCTGGGTGACAGAGCAAGACTCTGTCTGAAAACTTTTTTTTTTTTTAGACGGAGTCTTGCTCTTTCACCCACGCTGAAGTGTAATGGTGCGATCTTGGCTCACTGCAACCTCCACCTCCTGGGTTCAAGTCATTCTCCTCCCTCAACATCCCAAGTAGCTGGGACTACAGGCATGCACCACCATGCCTGGCTAATTTTTGTATTTTTAGTAGAGACAGGGTTTCACCATGTTGGCCAGGCAGGTCAAAGCATTTTTTAAAAATCTGGTAAAATTCTATGATATGTGAATTATACCCAAGAAAGCTGATATATATGAGAGTTGATAACATATTATACATATTATATACTATAAAATTATATCATGTGATTATAATATATACTTATATAAAATTTTATATACATATGTAATTGCAAAGACTGCTTTGAATTGAATATGTAAGCCTTAATGAAACTCAGCATCTTTTAGGGCATCTCAATATAATGAATTCATGGTAATTTGTAACTTAGAGCATGTTTACTAAAAAAAACTGACAAGGATTACAGAAGTTGTTACTTATGAAATGGAAGGGCTAGAATTAAGAACTCCATTTTACAAGAAGGTAAAGGCACGTATTTCCTGATTCTTTGCTCCTTTAGAGGGCAGCTTGCATCAAAGAGGAGCCCAGCCTCTTCTGATGGGGTTTGATGCTTCCTGTGTGCCAACTAGGGTTCCCCTCATCTTACCTTTTTCGCTGAGGGCAGAAGACAGAGAAGCAACTTTTCTGTATGTGCTTTTGTCTTCCAGACTTCCCCCTTCCTATGGCCTCTGAAAGAGGTCAGCTAGACAAAACAATAGTGAGTACTGCTTCCTTGGTTCCTAATAACAGGAATGGGGAGAGAGCCAGTTTGCCCAAAAGCCCCAGCTCTTTCTTCTGGGAGGTGGGCAGTGGAGGGGGCTTGCATGGGAATAACAGAACAATAAAAGCTGAGTCACCAAGTATGTGTAGCACATTTTATATGTTCCTGAGCCCTCTTCTCAAGGGTTCTCCCAATCAGTTTACATAACTCACCTGTGGGGTAGAAAGCAAGTATTTTGCACCAATAAATGGATGAGGATGTCGTGGCACAAATTCAGGTAGGTCCTATGCCACAGTGGATACTGTTTCCACCATGATATGCCAGGCATACCCCCTGCCTCCCTCACACCAAGGCCCTATGAGGTATTTCCTCCATCTCCTTCCTTTGGTGCCTTCAACCTGCTGTGACAAGTTTCAGCCCCTGCCATCTGAGGCACCACATATGATAATGTTCATCAGAATTTTTTTTTTTTTTGAGACGGAGTCTTGCTCTGTTGCCCAGGCTGGAGTGCAGTGGCGCGATCTCAGCTCACTGCAACCTCTGCCTCCTGGGTTCAAGTGATTCTTCTGCCTCAGCCTCCCGAGTAGCTTGGACTACAGGTACGTGCCACCACACCCAGCTAATTTTTGTATTTTTAGTAGAGATGGGGTTTCACCATGTTGGCCAGGCTGGTCTCAAACTCCTGACCTTATGGTCTGCCCACCTCGGCCTCCCAAAGTGCTGGGAGTGCAGGCGTGAGCCGCCATGCCTGGCCCTTCATCAGAAATTTTAACCTGGAAAGACATTTCCCTACTTCTGCTCTCTGTAACCTACCAATCACATTTTGGGGTTGGTACAAAAATATGATTGTTAGGTTACAGAGGGCAGGGATTTTTATCTTTTTTTTTTTTTGGAGACGGAGTCTTGCTCTGTCGCCCAGGCTGGAGTGCAGTGGCGCGATCTCGGCTCACTGCAAGCTCCGCCTCCCAGGTTCACATCATTCTCCTGCCTCAGCCTCCCCAGCAGCTGGGACTACAGGCGCCCACCACCACGCCCGGCTAATTTTTTGTATTTTTAGTAGAGATGGGGTTTACCGTGGTCTCGATCTCCTGACCTCGTGATCCACCCACCTCGGACTCCCAAAGTGCTGGGATTACAGGCATGAGCCACCGCGCCCGGCCGGTATTTTTATCTTAATAAAGAATTTATGGGAGTCTGGAGAGTGCACAGATTATATATTATTTTGCAATTATATACATATTGTGGGTGGTAACTGTTGGGGTCAAACACTGAGGCTTCTGAATCCTTTTCTCTGAACTCCTGATCTGGTGCTCGTATTCCATCCACCTCCCAAGCTATACATAATAACGGCCAAAGGACCTGGATGAAAGTGTCTGAAGCAGTTGTGTGTGTCTCACCTTCAGGTTGAATGCCTCAAGAATGTAAATAAGTGCTGGTTTTTATCCTACATCAAGCCCAGTGAACCTATTTGTGGCAGTGACCAGGTTACCTACAGTAGTGACTGCCATCTGTGCTCCAAAATTCTGTAAGTCCTAATTTTGTTCTCCCTTTCTTTCAAGTCAAGAGGTTAAGAGTGGTCAAAAGAGGGTGATGACCTCAGCCCACTTCCTACATCATCCAATGAGACCTTCTCTCCAGACATTCCTCCAGTATTTGTTCCTCCCTTTCTTCCATTCCTTTCTGTGACCTCAAAAGGTACATGTGATCCTATTCAGACAATGCAGAAACAGAAATCCACTAAGGTGAGGGCACTGTGTGTGACCTGGACAAGCCTCAAGTGGAGGCACTCAGAAACAAGCAGCCATAGCATGTAGATCATGTGACCCTACATGAAGGTCATCCTCATGCCCCCTCAGGCCAAAGAACAGAAACAAAGAACAAAAAGAAGAGGAAGAGGAAGCTGGGTGAAGAATCTTCCCAGCTAATAGTTTATTGGTCCTAAAATGGATATTATTTTCCAAAACAACTTTCTTTTGCTTTCAACTTAGTATGTGGTTTAGTCTCTGCACCCATCACATGTTAGAAGCTTTGAGTAACACACAAGTGAAACGCCCAATTGTTTAGCCCAAGGGGAATAGTGAGGAGCAGGGGTTTGTATGAAGGAAACTCCGTATACAGTTAGGAGGATTCTCTGACATCTGCCTTCTCCTTTAAGGAGAAAAGCCACACCCTTGTCTAACTAAGGCTTACAAGTTGAGTGCTATCTTAAGAGAGAAAAGCAAAAACACAAGAGTAGATCAGAATTAAGTCTCTCTCCCCTTCCTCTTCTTAGCTTCTCCTCCAGAGAAGGAATAAGAATCTTCTTGATCAGGATGAGAGATATTTGGCTGGGCAGGATCGGACTTTCTTGTATTCTTGGCTGAATAAACACTAAAGCTTACACTAGAACCCATACGAGAGTTGTAAGGTAAACAACTTTGGTGTCAGCCTCAATCACTGGCACAGACGCTGACACCTGACAATCAGAAAGCATCATCTGGGGAATGCGCAGCATGACAGAGTCAAACGATGCTGGAACCAGGAGACATCTGAGAGATGGCCTCTAAAGAGCTCCCTTTCAGTGTATCTTAGAAATTATTCTAGCTGGGCGCAGTGGCTCACGCCTGTAATCCCAGCACTTTGGGAGGCCGAGGTGGGCGGATCACCTGAGGTCAGGAGTTCGAGACCAGCCTGGCCAATATGATGAAATCCCGTCTCTACTAAAAATACAAAAATTAGCCGGGTGTGGTGGTGCATGCCTGTAATCCCAGCTACTCAGGAGGATGAGGCAGAAGAATCCCTCGAACCCAGGAGGCGGAGGTTGCAGTGAGCTGAGATTGCATCACTGCACTCCAGCCTGGGAGATAAAGCAAGACTCCGTCTCAAAAAAAAAGAAATTATTCTCTTAGCAGTTGCACTGGATATTACAAGTTAAATTCTAATTTATACCAATCTAATTTGGATTAATACCAACTTAATTACAAAAATTTTAAAAAATATTTTTGCCTGGAGGGGTGGCTCAAGCCTGTAATCCCAACACTTTGGGAAGCTGAGGCAGAAGGATTGCTTGAGCCTAGGGATTTGAGACATGAGCAACATAGCGAGACCCTGACTCTACAAAAAAAAATTAAAAAATTAGCCAGGCATGGTGGCACCTGCCTGTAGTCCTAGCTACTTGGAAGTCAGGATGATTGCTTGAGCCCAGGAGTTCAAGGCTGCAGTGAGCCATGATCGTGCCACTGCACTCTAGCCTGGGCAACAGAGCAAAGTTCTTTTGAGACGGGCAGATCAGGAGGTCAGGAGATAGAGACCATCCTGGCTAACATGGTGAAACCCCATCTCTACTAAAAATACAAAAAATTAGCCAGACGTGGTGGCGGGTGCCTGTAGTCCCAGCTACTCAGGAGGCTCAGGCAGGAGAATGGCATGAACCTGAGAGGTGGAGCTTGCAGTGAGCCAAGATCGCGCCACTGCACTCCAGCCTGGGTGACAAAGTGAGACTCCGTCTCAAATAAATAAATAAATAAATAAATGCTCCTTTTTTTTTATTTTTTGAGATGTAGTTTCACTTTTGTTGCGCATGCTGGAGTGCAATACTGTGGTCTCGGCTCACTGCAACCTCTGCCTCCTGGGTTCAAGTGATTCTCCTGCCTCAGCTTCCCGAGTAGCTGGGATTACAGGCGCACACCAACACACCTAGCTAATTTTTGTATTTTTGTAGAGATGGGGTTTCACCATGTTGGCCAGGCTGGTCTCAAACTCCTAACCTCAGGTGATCAGCCTGCCTCGGCCTCCCAAAGTGCTGGGATTACAGGCATGAGCCACTACACCCAGCCAAAAAATGCTGTTCTTAAATAGCTCCATTCTCCCCATCCTTCTTTGAACTGTTTTTGTTATACAAATTACAGCTTTATTCATTGTACACCCATTCACACAGATTTATAATTGTTTTATGCAGTTGCCTCTTAGGAGAGAAAGATTTACAAACAAAAATATGTTTATACTGTCTATTATTTTCCTATATAGTTACTTTAACTGGCTCTTTATTTCTTCACATGAATTCAAGTTTCTGCTTATGATCCTTTCATTTTAGCCTGAAGGACTATTTAGTATTTTGTAGGTCTGCTAGCAACAAATTGCCTCAATTCTTCTTTATCTAGACATATCTTAATTTCACCTTTCTTTCTGAAGAATAGTTTGGTGGGCATAGAATTCTTGGTTGACTGTCATTTTCTTTTTTTATTTTTCTTTTATTTATTCATTTATTTATGAGACCAGGTCTCACTCTGTCACCCAGGTTGGAGTGCAGTGGCATGATTGTGGCTCACTGCAGCCTCGACCTCCTGGGCTCAAGTGATCCTCCCACCTCAGCCTTCTGAGTAGCTAGGACTACAGGCACACCCCACCATGTTCAGCTAAATTTGTTTTTGTATTTTTGGTAGAGACAGGTTTTCACCATGTTGCCCAGGCTGGTCTTGAACTCCTGAGCTCAAGCAGTCCACCCTCCTCCACCTCCCAAAGTGCTGGGATTATAGGTGTGAGCCACCGTGCCTGGCCACCTCTCATTTTCTTTCAGCATTTTGACTGTCATCCCACTGCTTCCAGCTTCCATGACTCCTGATGGAGGAATCACATGAATTCATCAGAATTCATGGAGGCTAGAAGCAGTATGAGGATCATTTACATGTGATATTCACTTCTCCCTTTCTGCTTTTTGGATTCTCTCTTTGCCTTTGTCTTTTGGCAATTTTATAATGATTTGTCTATGTGTGGCTCTATTAGAATGCATCCTATTGTAAGTTTTTTGAACTTACTGGATGAAGTTTTTCATCAAACTTGGGGAATTTCAGCCATTATTTTTCCAAGTATTCTCCTCTCCTTGAGGGATTCCCTTTATGTATATGTTGATGCCCTTGACAGTGTCCCACACTTCTCTGTGGCTATATTCATTTTTTTCCCAATTTGAATTGAGTTTTATCTTATTGGTTATGTGAGGCATTTTAACCCATTTTGTTCTTTTTTCTTCATAATTATTTTTCTTTCTTTTCCTCAAACTGGTTACTATTCATTGGTCTATCTTCAAGCACATTTGACTCTTTCTTCTGTCTGCTCAAATCTTATATGAGCCCCTCCAGGGAATTTTTCATTCTAGGTCATTGTAATTTTCAACTTTAGAATTTTTATTCAGGTTCTTGGAAAATTTTTTCTGTCTCTTTATTGATATTCGCTATTTGGTGAGACATCATTCTCATACTTGCCTTTAGTTCTTTGTTCTTTACATACAGTTTCCTTCAGTTCTTTTTTTTTTTTTTTTTTTTTTTTGAGATGGAGTCTTACTCTGTTACCCAGGCTGGAGTGCAGTGGCATGATCTCGGCTCACTGCAACCTCTGCCTCCTGGATTCAAGCAACTATCCTATCTCAGCCTCCCAAGTAGCTGGGATTACAGGCTTGTGCCATCAAGCCCCACTAATTTTTGTAGTTTTAGTAAAGACAGGATTTCACCATGTTGGTCAGGCTGGTCTTGAACTCCTGACCACAAGTGATCCACCTGCCTCAGCCTCCCAAAGTGTTAGGATTACAGGAGTGAGCCACCACACCCGGCCCAGTTCTTTAAACATAAGTAAAATAGCTGATTTAAAATGTCTTGTAAGTCCAACATCTGGGCTTCCTCAGTGACAGATTCCATTGACTGACTTTTATCCTATATGCGAGCCATACTTTCTTTTCCTTTGTACGTGCCATGACTATTTTGTTGAAAATTGAATATTTTGAATAATATAATGTGGCAACTCTGGAAATCAGATTCTCACCTCTATCCAAGGTTTGTTGCTGTTATTTGTTGTTGTTGCCATGTGTTAGTTTAGTGACTTCTGAAATAATCCTGTAAAGTATGCATTTTTTGTCATGTATGGCCATTGATCTGGTCCTACTCATTATCTTATTATCAGCTAATGATTGGAAAAAAATTTCCTTAAATGGCTGGAACCAATAAATCTCCCAGTCTTTGACAACAAAAACTTTGTGTGTGCACTGAGGCATGTCTCTACTCAACCAGGCAGTTTAAAGCTACACTTTAGTGGTCACTGGATGTTTGCACAGACCCACAAGATTAGTTAGAGATGAGATGTTGGGACTTTCTCTGGTCTTTTCTGAGCATGCAGAAAGCCTTACACTGGCTGCAAGGCCTTCTGTATTTCCAGTAACATGTTAGAGCTTTTCAAAACCTCCTATGGACATCTCATTGCCTAACTTACTTTTAAGCTCTTGGTTAACCTATTGTTTTTCACAACTGTTACACACTGTGCAGCAGCCATGATGTTAAACAGTTGCCTCTGATTGTTTTCAACAAATTTTCCCAGGGAAAAGGCTGTTTGCACCAAGAGAGGTTTGAGTATGGTCAAATAAAAGCTTTGCAAATGGGTCTTTCAGAGAACCACCCAGACAGGTCAAATAATGACAATTCTCTGGTAATGGTGCATTGAAGGCATTCCAACACCAGTCTTCTCCCTCCAGATGCTGCCAGGCTGCTGGTTTTCACTATGATTGTGGGTGGTTGTTTTTCATTACTACCATGGAACTGGGAATGCTGCAGATGGGTCCAGAGCAAGATAAAATGCCATGAAACTCACTATTCTTACTGAGAAGCAGCAATTTTTCTTCAATAGATGTTCCTTGGATTGCTGCATGGTTTGATTTTTTTTTTTTTAATTCCCAGAATTCTGGAAAACTTGATTCTGACCATTTTTGCCAGTGTTCTTGTTGCTTTCGTGGAGGAAATTTTAA
The DNA here is from genome assembly GCF_000001405.40 of Homo sapiens. Taxonomy (NCBI): domain Eukaryota; kingdom Metazoa; phylum Chordata; class Mammalia; order Primates; family Hominidae; genus Homo; species Homo sapiens. The sequence goes on along the minus strand of NC_000003.12, from coordinate 48,314,258 downwards.
AGATTCTTACTTCTCCATTTTCACTGTCCAAGCAAAAGGGCTCACTTTTGAATGAAGACACTGAGACCTGAGGGGAGCAACTTATCAAAGTTCTTATAACTATAAATGGGTGCAAATGCATATTTTTAAAGATTGAGGTAAAATTCATATGACATAAAATGAACCATTTTAAAGTGAACAAATTGGTAGCATTTAGTACATTTACAATGTTATAAAACTGCCACCTTTATTACTTTCAAAACATTTTTGTCACTCCAGAATAAAACCTCATGTCCATTAAGCAGTTAACTTCCCATTCCCTCCTCCCCACAGTTCCTGGCAACTAGCAATAGACTTTCTGTTTTTACAGATTTACTATTCTGTATATTTCACATAACTGGAATTATACAACCTATGATCTTTTGTGTCTGGCTTCTTTCACTTACATAATCATTTTGAGGTTCATCCACAGTGTGGCATATATCTTCATTTCTTTTTGTATTACTGAATAGTTTTCCATTATGTGTATATACCACAATTTTTTTATTTATTCATTGAAGGAAATTTGGGTTGTTTCCATGTCTAACTATTGTGAAGAGTGCTCTTATAGACATTTGTGTACAAGTATTTATTTGAGTACCTGTTTTCAGCCTTCTGGTTATATACCTAGGGGTGGAATTTGCTGAGTTATATGGTAATTCTGTGTTTAACTTTTTGAGGAACCATCAAACTTTTCTATAGGGGCTGAACCATTTTACATTCTTCCAGAAATATGAGAGTTCCAATTTCTTCACATCCTTGCTAGTACTTTTTAAAAATATTATTATATCCATCCTTGTGGGTGTGAAAATGGTATCTCATCAAGTTTTCATTTACATTTCTCTAATGACTAATGAGGTTGGACATCTTCTTATGTACTTTTTGGCTATCCATATACTTTTTTGGAGAAATATCTACTCAAGTCCTTTGCCCATTTTTAAAAATTGTGTTGTCTTTATGTTTTAGTTGTAAGAATTCTTTATATATTTTGAATACTAAATACTATGATTTTCAAATATTTCTCCCCCGATTCTATAGGTTGCCTTTTACTTTCATGATAATGTCCTTTGATGCACAAAGTTTTTAATTTTGATGACATCAATTTATCTATTTTTTCTTTTGTTGTTCTTACGTTTGCTATTACACCCAAAAAACCACTGTAAAATCCAAAGGCATAAAGATTTACCTCTAATTTTTCTTCTAAGAGTTTAGTAGTTTTAGCCCATTGATCTTTTTTTTTTTTTGAGACAGAGTCTGACTCTGTTCCCAGGCTGGAGTGCAGTGGCATGATTTCAGCTCACTGCAACCTCTGCCTCCCAGGTTCAAGCAATTCTCCTGCCTCAGCCTCCGGAGTAGCTGGGACTACAGGTGTGCACCACCACGCCCAGCTAATTTTTTGTATTTTTAGTGGAGACGGGGTTTCACCATGCTGGCCAGGCTGGTCTCGAACTTCTGACCTTGTGATCCCCCTACCTCGGCCTCCCAAAGTGCTGGGATTACAGGCGTGAGCCACCACGCCCGGCCCCATTGATCCATTTTTGAATTAAATTTTATATATGGTGTGAGATAGAGGTCTAACTTTTTTCTTTTTTCTTTTTGAGACAGGGTCTCACTTTGTCACCCAAGCTGGAGTGAAGTGGCACGATCTTGGTTCACTGCAACCTCCACCTCCTGGGTTCAAGCAATTCTCCTGCCTCAGCATCCCCAGTGGCTGGGATTACAGGTGCCCACCACCAAGCCTGGGTAATTTTTGTATTTTTAATAGAGATTGGGTTTCACCATGTTGGCCAGGCTGGTCTCAAATTCTTGACCTCAGGTCATCTGCCTGACTCAGCCTCCCAAAGTGCTGGGATTATAGGTATCAGCCACCATGCCCACCCTGTCTAATGTTATTCTTTTGCATGTGGTTATCCAGTTGTCCCAGCTTTATTTGTTGAAGAAACTATCCTCTTCCCCCATTGAATGGCCTTGGTACCCTTGTTGAAAATCAATTGGCCATAGATATATGAGTTTATTTTTGGATCCTTGATTCTTTTCTTTTGTTCTGTATTTATATCCTAATACCAGTACCAGTACCACTGATTATTATACTTTTTTTTTTTTTTTGGAGACAGGGTCTTACTGCATCTCCCAGGTTGGAGAGCAGTGGTGTGGTCATAGCTCACTGCAGTCTTGAACTCCCAGGCCCACACAATCCTCCTGCCTCAGCCTCCCAAGTAGCTGACACTGCAAGATTATTGTAGTGTTATAGTAAGTTTTTGAAATTGGACATTTGGAGTTTTCCAATTTTGTTTCTTTTTCAAGATGATTTTGGCAACTCAGGGCCCTTTGCAATTCTATATGAATTTCAAGATTGGCTTTTCTATTTCCACAAAATATAAAGGCCACTGGAATTTTGATAAGGATTTCATTGAATCTGTAGATTGCTTTGGGAAGTATTGTCATCTTAAATTAATTCTTCCAGTCAGTGAGCATGGGATGTCATTCATTTATTTAGGCCTTCTTTATTTATTTTCAGCAGTTTCAATTTTGTAGTTTTGAGTGTACAAGTCTTTCACCTCCAGGATTCTTACTAAGTATTTTCTTTTTTGGATGCTGTTGTAAACTGAATTGTTTTCTTAATTTTATTTTGAAATTGTTCATTGCTGATTTATAGTTATAGAAACACAACTGATTTTTGTTTGTTAATCTTGTACTCTGCAACTTGCTGAATTTATTAGCTTTAGTCATTTTTATATTAATTATTTGGGATTTTCTACATATAGAATCATATCATCTTTGAATAGAGATCATTTTACTTCTTCCTTTCCAATTTGGATGCCTTTTATTTCTTTTTCTTGCCTAATTGCTCGCCTAGAATTTCCAGTCCAATGTTGAATCTCAGTGGTGAAAGCAGGTATTCATGTCTTGTTCCTGATCTTATACAGGTCTTTCAGTCTTTCACCATTGAGTACGATATTAGCTATGGGTTTTTCATAAGTGTTCTTTATCGTGTTGAAGAAGTTCTCTTCTATTCCTAGTTTTCTGGGTGTTTTATTATGAAATGGTGTTGGATTTTGTTGAATATTATGTGTGTATGTTTTGAATCAATTAGTATTATCATGCAGTGTTTTTCTGTCATTCTATTAATGTGATATTATTAAATTGGCTGATTTTTTTTTTGAAACGCTCTGAATTCTTGGGATAAAGGCCATTTTGTCATGGTGTATAATCCTTTTAATATGTGGTTGTATTCAATTTGTTGGTATTTTTCTGAGAATCTTTGCATCTGTATTCACAAGGGATATTGGTCTATAGTTTTCCTTTATGTGATGTCTTTGTCTGTCTTTGATAACATGGTAATGCTGTCCTCATAGAATGAAGTAGCAAGTGTTCCCTCCTCTTGTATTGTTTGGAAGAGTTTAAGAAAGATTGGTACTAAATCTTTTAAAAATATTTGGTAGGCCAGGTGCAGTGGCTCATGCCTGTAATCCCTGCACTTTGGGAGGCCGAAGCGGGTGGATCACCTGAGGTCAGGAGTTCAAGACCAGCCTGGCCTACATGATGAAACCCAGTCTCTACTAAAAATACAAAAAATTAGCTGGGCCTGGTGGCGCATGCCTGTAATCCCAGCTACTTGGAAGGCTGAGGCAGGAGAATTGCTTGAACCCAGGAGGCAGAGGTTGCAGTGAGCTGAGATCGTGCCACTGCACTCCAGCCTGGGCAACAAGAGCAAAACTCTGTCTCAAAAAAAAAAAAAAAAAATTTTTTTTTTGGTAGAATTCAGTACTAAAGCCATCTGGTGTTTGTCGGGACATTTTTTATTACTGATTCAGTATCTTTACTTGTCATAGGTCTGTTGAGACTTTTTATTTCTTATTAAGTTTTGATAATTTGTGTGTTTCTAGGAATTTGTTCATTTCATCCAGAATATCTAATCTATTGACATACAATTGTTCATAGTATTCTCTTTTAATCCTTTGTTTCTGTAAGGTCAGTAGCGATGTTTCAGCTTTCATTAAATGCATATTTTAACTTTAAGACACATTCTTTTTCTAATCCTCTGTATTTCTACTTGAATTTTCAAAGGCTATTTTGAATTTCTGTATTTTATTGTAGACTGAGTATGTTTTCTATACTCAATGTCTTTGACAAATAAAAATTCATATAGTAGAATTTTTAAATATTTGCCAAGAATTCATTATTAGCAGAATGTTTATTTCCCAAACTTAGCCAAAGATTATCAAGTAAAATTTAGTCAGAATTTATGATATACCATACAGCAAAAATAATTTTAAAATATAATTTCTTTCAGATTTGAAGGGCTTAACATAACTAAACTGTATGATGGACAATGTGTAAGTAAAGACACTTTTATTTTTTATTTTTAGAAGTAAACTAGATAAGTTAAGAGCTCACTGTTTTAGAGGGTTTTAAATGTTTTGTTATGAACATTTTCAAACATACATAAAAGTAGAGCCAATAATAGATCCCATAAGCCTATCATGTGTATTCAATAAATTGTAATGTTTTGCCACATTTCCTCCCTCTATTCTTTTATTTCTCTGTTTTCTTTGATGAAGTATATTAAAACAGGTCTCAGACATCATGTTATTCACTCCTACATACTTCAGAGTTCCTCTCTAATAAGTTTGGACATTTCCTTACATACTCAGAAGGTCTTATTACAACTAATTATTTCATTGTCATCTTCTAATACATACTTCATATTCAAATCTCCCCAACCAAAAATAACACCTTCTGGAGGAAGAAACATAATTTGGCCTGATAATTCAGCTTAAAGAACATCTATTTCACCCTTGCTCTTCCCTGTCATTTCCAATATCTAGGATATTAATGAAAGACACTAATTGAAATGTGAACAGTTATTCTGAGAGTGAATGGGCCAGGACTTGCCGGAGCCCTAGGTCTAGAGATTGTGTCCCTGACTTCCAGGTTATAGTCCAAAGCAAGAACTCAGCTGAAGCCATAGAGATCATTATTGCATTATGAGGCGTGGCAACAAGACTGGGAGAAATCAATGTAGAAGAGAAAATAAAGACAGTAGGAGGTAAAGCAGGTAAAACAGGACAATTGTATAATTTAGTAATAATTTTATGACAATGTCTTCTGACACCATCTCCATGACAAACTCACAGGGCTCATCTGATTTACAGACCAGCACACATATTACTCACTTAGGGACGGTCAATTACCTGAATGTTCTCTAGTTCCACTAAAGAGAAATCACAAGAACTTTTAGACACTTTCATGATTTGGGGTAACTATGAAAAGATCTCACATAATTTCTACTTCTGTCAGATTCTTGCTGAGCTGGGCTTACTCATTAAAAATCCTGCTAAATCCCTCCTTTTATATCTGGACCGTACCTCAGTCTATGACTCTTGTCAAATAAATCTCTGGTCTTATATCCATTTTAAACTTTTAACTTCAAAGGGGTGGTTTTAAATTTAAGGATATCTATAGAATGGTGTTCAAAGTGTTCTAAGAATCACTTATGTGCCAAAGTAAAGACTAATATTTAACAGGGGAGAAGAGTTTTAGGGACATGCAGAAAGAGGGATTGGTAAGGAAGATATCACATCAGTATAAAATGATAGAATTTTCCCTAAATCAGAGCGATCCAGAAAAGAATTGTGCGGCATCCAAATACAGTGAGCTTCCTTTCATCACATTTGGACTAGAAAATCCCAAATCTTCTAGGGGAGATCCCTGTATCATGTTGGGACCTCAACAGTCTATTTAAGACAAAAATGCATTTTATTCATTTATTTCAAATGTAAACATTAATTGTGCCATGGATGAAAAGTTAACTATAGGAGACCACCTGAAAATTTTACTGCAGAGCACAATTCTGTCTCTCTACCAAGGCTCTGATGAAATTGTTGATATAATTAATATTGCTTTTATAAAGTAATTCAGAAAGCTTGGATGCCAAGGATTTGCAGAGATTAAGAATGCAGACTGGGCCAGGCACGGTGGCTCATGCCTGTAATCCCAGCACTTTGGGAGGCCAAGGCAGGCGGATCACAAGGTCAGGAGATCGAGACCATCCTGGCTAACACGGTGAAACCCATCTCTACTAAAAATACAAAAAAAATTAGCCAGTCTTGGTGGCGGGCGCCTGTAGTCCCAGCTACTTGGGAGGCTGAGGCAGGTGAATGGCATGAACCCGGGAGGTGGAGCTTGCAGTAAGCCAAGATCACGCCACTGCACTCCAGCCTGGGCGCCAGAGTGAGACTCCGTCTCAAAAAAAAAAAAAAAAAAAAAAAAAAAAAAGAATGCAGACTGAAGTCAGAATTCATTGCACAAACTCAGTGATCTAGAGCTAGTACCACTGACAGCTTTAGTTATTCTTATGTATAGGTAGTAAGCCCAGGTATCCCAAGTACAGAATGTGATGTCTGGGGAAGAGCGTTGAAGAAAAAGTCACAAATCTTTCAGTTAATACCTCTGTGACTCAGCTAGAACTCATCTGTCTGGGTTATCATGAAACTCAAATGAGATGTACACTTGAATGAACTCAAATGAGATATAGGCTTAATAAAGATATGTACTCATATATATGAGTATATAATTGCATTAAGAGCCAACCATAATGATGAACTACAATGAGCTATTGGCACCTTCCCCTAAATCAGTCCTTAGAGAATCAATTGGAGTTTGAGGAAACTAATAATTCCAGAAGAGGTGGGGGGGTGGGGGGCAGATAGGGAGGGAGAGAGAGAGAGTAGGAAGAGAAAGAAGAAAAGAAGACATGAAAATGGAGAAAGAAGAGGGATAGGGAGGAAGAGGAAGTGGAAGAAGGAAGGGAGGAAAGGAAGGAAGGAAAGAAGGAAGGAAGGAAGGGGAAAGAGAAGGGAAAGGAAAGGGAAAAGAGGGGAAGGGGAAACCTGAGACACTCTTAGGGAGATGGAAAGCTCCATATCCTCCAACAGGCCTCTGCCAGGACCCTGCTTCATGTCAACTCCACTGCCTCTATCCCCTCAGGAGTTCCCAGAGGCTCTCCTGGAGTCCAAAGTCTCACCCAGACATCCCCATCCTTTGCCTCTTTTCCACCGACTTTCACTCTGCTTTTTCCTTCTCCAGTGAAATTAGAATGTCTCTAACCTGCCTTAATTCAGAGAATAATTGTTTAGCATTTCCCCTGCTGAACTATGGTTGTGTTTACCAGTGTGGTGGCTTTTCTCTTAACTTCCTCAAATTTGATTTCTCTAAGCAGATACTTCTCTTGCAGGAAAACTCTTGAACGTACGACAAAGAATTATAAAACCTACTGAATCTCCAGATTGCCAAGTGAAACACAATGGTTGCCTCTTCAAATATATCCCCTTTAATTACTAATGGTTGGATCAAACTCGTTGATTTATGTCTTCAATAAATGATTCTTAGCAGAAAACCTGGCTGGCAAACATTTCTCTTGATTAATAAGAATCTTTAAAAAATATCAGATATTCTATTTTCTCATCCCCAAACTACTTGACTCATGCCATGGGTTCCCTCTGTTCTTACACAGATTGTAAGCAAATGACCACAAAAATCTAAAATCTTAGTAAGAAAAGCAAGCTTTCTGGTGTTTTTAACTTGCCCTGTACCCATTCTCCCTACCCCAACTCTGCTGTAGGCTTAAATTAAACCAGCCTTGAAATCATGGTGGAAACCAGCCTGCGAAAAGACATTCAAAGGGGAAGAACAGGTTTGGAGGTCCCCAAAAACACCATTTCCAGAAAATGATCGTTATTTGATTTGCCTGGCAGTTCCCTAGAGACCTCCTCCAGCTGGGTTGCTTTTTGGCTTTTTGTTTTGTTTTTTGTTTTGTTTTAACCTGACTGAGAGTTCTCTCACTGAGAACTTTTTCCCTGGGGCATCTGTCAAAAACAAACAGCCTCAATTTTTAAAATTTGCAACAACCTTAAGCAGTGATAACATTTGGGACAAACAAATAACAACAACAAAAAAAAAGTAAAAGAAAAAGCTGAGAATAGAATGTCCATGGAGCTTTTGAAAAGCTCTGGCATATTTCTAGGAATCTAGAAGACCAAGAGCATGAGCAGGTCTGTAATATGTCCAGGAGAATCTTTAGAAGGCCCTATGTGCTCACCTTGGCTGACTTTAATGCTCTAAATAGCAAGAAATGAAGTCTAAAGCAGAGTTGTAAACTGCCTGCCTGACCATTGAAGGCATGGCTCAATACATACAGAATACCTCGGCAAAGGCAGAAAGACTTATTGGTTCCAAGTATTTAAAAACACTATGTCCAATCATTAGATGACCACTAAACTAATGGAACAGAGTCTTCAATGGTTACACACTACCAAGAATACATACTTTAAAAAATTAATTGATAAAAATCACTACACAAATGAATAGCAACAACAAACCTGGGGGAAGGGGAGAATCTGATTTCCAAAGTTGCCACATTATGTTGTTTAAAACATCCAATTTTCAATGAAATATTGTGACACATACAAAGAAACAAGAAAGTCTGGCCCATACACAAGAAAAAAAGATCAGTCAATAGGAATTGTTGCCAAGAAAGCTCCAATGTTGGACTTACTAGACAAAGACTTTAAATCAGCCCAGGCAGGTGACTCATGGCTATAATCCCAACACTTTGGGGGCCTGAGGTGAAAGGATCACTTGAGGCCAGGAATTCAAGACCAGCCTGGACAACATAGTTGTCCTATCTCTACAAAAAAATTAAAAATTATCAGGCATGCTGGCACGTGCCTGTAGTCCTAGCTACTTGGGAAGCTGAGGTGGGAGGATTGATTGCTTGAGCCCAGGAGGTTTAGGCTACAATGAGCTATGATTGTGCCACTGCATTCTAGCCTGGGTAACAGCGAGGCCTTATTAAAAAAAAATACACATACATACATGTATACATATTTTTTCAAAGAGATAAACTATGTCTAAAGAAATAAAGTATAAGAATGATGTGTGAACAAGTAGAGAACATCATAAAGAAATTATTTTTTTAAATATAACTTTCTTGAGGTGATAAGTACAATAACTAAAGTGACAAATTCACTAGAGAGGCTCAATAGCAAAGTTGAACAGGTAGAAGAAAGAACAAGTGAACTTGAAGAAAGATTGACATTAACCAGTGCGAGGAGCAGAAAGAAAAAGGAACAGAGCCCTGGAAGCCTTTGGGATATAATTAAGCATAACAACATAAAGATAATGGTAGTCCAGGAAGGAGAAGGAAGAAAGAAAAGGGCAGAAAGATATTTGAAGAAATAATGACTGAAAATATCTCAAATTTTTCAAAGAATGTTAACATATGCATCCAAGCAACTCAGCAAACTCCAAGTAGGACAAACTCAAAGAAATCCACACCTATACACATCATAATCTCTGTCAAAAGCCAAAGACCAAGAGAGAATTTTGAAAGCAGCAAAAGAGAAGCAAATCATTAAGTACAGATGACCCTCAGTAAGATTAACATCTAGTTTCTCGTCAGAAATCATGGAGGCCAGAAAGCAGTAGGATAACATATTCAAAGTGCTAACAGAAAAAAAACATCAGCCAAGAATTCTATATCCATAAAGAAAATCCTTCAGAAATGAAGAAGAGTGGTGACTCACTCCTGTAATCCCAGCACTTAGGGAGGCTGAGGCGGGTGGATCATCTGAGGTCAGAAGTTCAAGACCAGCCTGGCCAACACAGTGAAACCCTCTCTACTAAATATAATTACAAAATTAGCTGAGTGTGGTGTTGCATGCCTGTAATCCCAGCTGCTTGGGAGGCTGAGGCAGGAGAATTGCTTGAACCTAGGACGCAGAGGTTGCAGTGAGCCAAGATTGCACCATTGCACTCCAGTGTGGGCAACAAGAGCAAAACTCCATCTCAAAAAAAAAAAAAAAGAAAAAAAGAAAAGAAAAGAAAAAAAAAGAAATGAAGGAGAAAGTAAGATGACCAACAAAACTAATAAAAACCGAAATAATTTGTCTCCAGCAGATCCACCCTGCAGGAAATACTAAAGGGAATACTTTAGGCTGAAGCGAAAGGACACTTAAATCCACAAGGGGAAATAAAGAGAACTGGTAGAGGTAACTACACAGTTAAAGACAGTATAAATATATGGTTTTGTTTGTAAATCTTTTATTCTCCTATATGATTTAAAAGACAATTGCATAAAGCAATAGTTAATAATAAATAATAACAGCCAGGCGCAGTGGCTCATGCCTGTAATTCCAGCACTTTGGGAGGCCGAGGCGGGCGATCCATCGCCTGAGGTCAGGAGTTCAAGACCAGCCTGGCCAGCATGGTGAAACCCCATCTCTACTGAAAATACAAAAATCAGCCAGGCGTGGTGGCAGGTGCCTGTAATCCCAGCTACTTAGGAGGCTGAAGCAGGAGAATCGCTTGAACCCGGGAGGCAGAGGTTGCAGTGAGCCAAGATCACGCCATTGCACTCCAGCCTGGGCAACAGAGCGAGACTCTGTCTCAAAATAATAATAATAAATAATAATAACAAATTATACGCTTGATGATGTGTCACAGGTTTCTGAGGCTCTGTTCCTCTTTTTCTAACTTGTTGAGATGGAGGCTTACTGAATTTCCAGTCTTTCTTCTTTTCTAATATATGTATTTTAGGCTACAAATTTCCATCTAAGCAAGGCTTTAGCAGTATCAATTTTTAAAAAATTGTATCTAAGTACAGTATACATACAGAATTCACATAAGCGTAGCATTGAATGAGGCACCTGGTCAGTACTGTTTCTAAGTGTTTAGTAAATGTTTTTTATTACTACTGTGAATTGTCCTTTGCCTCTTATGCCATAGCATCCTGGCAATGGGGAGGGGTTTGAGGGTGGGATGGTGAAGAGATTCTGGGATTCCATTTTATTGGAGCATTTTTTTCCCCTTGCTTCTCATAAGGTGTCTGTCGGGGAGAGATCTGTGTCACTTATTGCAGTTTGTTGCATGCTGGAATGCTGCAGATTCTGGAATGCCATCTGTATCAGTTGTCTGGAATTTGGTTTCACATAAGGTTCTTGTCTTCTGTTTAACTGGTTTGCTGGGACTTCTGAAGTCCTGATGATCATACTGGGAAGGCAGACTCAGGGGTGGCGATGCTGGCTGTGGCCCTCATCTGCTGGGCCATGGTGGTTATTGTGTTGCTTCTTTTGCTGTGTCCTAGAACAGGGGCTTTACTGAGCCACCCATGTCCTCTGAGAGCTTTGCAACTTACAAGGACTGTTCTCTTCCTTCAGGGGCTGGGATGACTTGCTGATTTAAGCCCCTTTGTTGAGATACAGAGGTATTGTCATAATGACTGGGACTTGTGTTGCTCATCTTTGAGGAAGATTTGTTTAGGCTTGCTGTTATCCACCATATCTTTTATTTAGAGTAGTTTGCTGGCTAACTCACTGGGTCCTTTGGCCTACTGCAGATTCAGTTGCTACAACTCCGTCAGTGATTCCGTGTAGGGAGAAGTAATGGGTTGTCATTTTTGGAGTCAGGGTTGGGGGCCTGGGGTTTGAGAATCAGGTCAGAATTCATGGGTTGAGGTTTAGGGATTTGAGGTTGGGATTAGGAGGTTAGAAGATAAGCATCAAGGGCTCAGGATCTAGAGACCAGGTCTAGGATTAAAGGATTATAAATTTAGGGACTAGGGCTTGGGTTAGGATTGGAACTGAGTAGCAGAGGAGTTAAGATTAGAATAGGGGGTGGTGGTCAAGGGTCTAAACAAAAAGAGAAGAGATGCAAGGGTCTGCGGAGAGACTGGAAAAACTTTCCTCGTAAGTTCCCAAAGGTGACTGGGTATCAGGAAACTATTGGGAAGTGGCTTCTTATTGCTGCAGGGACAGAAGCCATGAGTTGGGGATAAACCTTCCAAGAGGGCAACACCTGTGTAGGCAGACACCGAAGTCAGTTAAATGTGCAAGTAAGTCTTTACATTGATGACAGTTATCGTTTATTTTCATTCTTCTCATTCTCAGTGATTTCCCTCAAAAAAAAAAAAAAAAACCCAAGAAACCAAAACACTTTTTTTTTTTTTAACCATCTTTATTCAACCTGTCACCAAGTTTCTGGTCACCTGCCACAGCTGACCCCCGATCCATTCTCCCTGTCCCCATCCTCTCCATACATCACAGTACACACCAGGAATACCCCCAGTTCTCATCTCCTCACCCTGGGCTGCGTCAATAGACTCCAGAGTAACCCAAACCACACCCTGCTGCCCAGATTCCTAATGACACGTGAAAGGCCGTTATGACTTGCTTTCCTCATGCCCTATGCACACCTGGGCTCCAGCCAAGGATCCTCCTTCATCAACCCCCATATTAGCTACGATCCTTCATGCTAATGTATCGCTCAGAGCTCAAAAGACTTTGAAGGGCCTGTGCCTTCGCTATCGAGCGCTTAAGTTCTTTGCCCTCCGCGTACTTTTGACAAATACTGGGCATCAACCATGTTCCAGGAACTACCCTGGGCAAAGAAAATAACTGGGCAAGGTTTCCATCGGTGTCTCTGCTGGCGGGCATCGCCCCCGCCGGGCCGCCACCCTGAACGAGCCCGTCCGGTCCTCTGGGTTCCGCCACCCTGCGTAGCGCTGCGCCAGCACCCGGCCCAGCACTCCCTCCCGCCGAGGGCGCCCAGGCCGGCTTCCGAGGGCGCCCAGGCCGGCTTCCGAGGGGCGGTTCCCACAAGCGAGTTCCGGCGCCCAGAACGGCTTCATCCTCTCGTCCCGTCCGCGGCAAATGCATGCGCCTGGAAAACCCGCCACCCTCCAGGGCAACTCACACCTCACCTCACGCCGCGGCGCAACCGGACTAGGACCCCGAGCAGGGCTGCCCAGGGAGCGCCTGAAGGACCCTGCGAGGGCCGCAGGCTATCCAGCGTGGCGCCTGGTGGCCGGGCCCTGTGCCGGAGGACAAGGTGAACCCGCAGCCGGACTTCTGCTGCACTGGGGCTCCGAATGACCCAGAATCTGGGGTGGGCTTAGGCCCCGGGTACGAGGGGTGAGGGCTGCGCGGTTGCAGGCCTAGAGAAGTAGGGGGCTGGGTCGAGAGTTGAGGCCGTGAGCCCGGGGGGCTGGAGGGCGTGGCCACGGGGGTAGGGGCGCAGGTCCCGGCCGCGCGTGGGTGGACCAGGGCTGGGCCGCCGCCCTCCAGGAAGCGAGTGGTGGCCCCCTCGAGTGCTGGGGTGGCAGTGTACCGACAGCTTTACTTTTTTTTTGTTTTGGAGACGGAGTCTGGTTCTGTCGCCAGGCTGGAGTGCAGTGGCGCGATCTCGGCTCACTGCAGCCTCCGCCTCCAGAGTTCAAGTAATGCTCCTGCCTCAGCCTCCCTAGTAGCTGTGACTGTAGGCGCGCGCCGTTATGCCTGGCTAATTTTTTTGTATTTTTAGTAGAGACGGGCTTTCACCATGTTGGCCAGGATGGTCTTGATCTCCTGACTTCGTGATCCGCCCGCCTCGGTCTTTCAAAGTGCTGGGATTACAGGCGTGAGACACCGCGCCCTGCCTAAAATTTTTAATTCTCATGGAGTCACCTTTAAGTCTAACAGGATTCTCGACTTGTCAGTTTGTTGTAAACCAAGAGTCAAGACAGCCACAACTTAGCTGCGTTAGTAAAGGAACCATGTCCTCCCTACAGGCCGCGTGTTCTTGCCACGAGAACCCCTAGCAGCCTGGCCTTGGAATGGCTGGATGAGGTGCATTCGTTGGTTCATTCAGATACTGTTAAGAGCCAGCTGTGTGCTAGGTACTGCTTACACCTTCTGGTGGTGAAGACGGAACTGAAGGGAACTTGCAAGGAGCTGTGAGAAAGTGTAACGGGAAGTGAGCTAAGATCACTAAGGTGGGCAGGAGGCAACCAGAGAAAGCACATTCAGGACTGCGAAAACTACTCACACAAAGGCTGTCAAGCCAGAAATTCTTTCAAAACTGAAAGGCCCATGAGGTTGGAGCTAGAGAAACTTAAGGAGTGTGGGGTTCCAGATGAGGCTAGAGAGGTACGTGGGGAACCACAAGATCATGCAGAGCCTGGGAGGCCGTGATAAGGATTTTGGTTTTTATTCTAAGAACAGGGTGCCCTTTAAAGGGTTAAGGAGGGGAACCATATGATTAGATTTTCATGTGTGGTTCACTTTGGCTGCTGTGTGGAGATTGTAGAGGTTGGCAGGACAGAAACTGGGAGACCAAAGAGGAGGCTGTCAAGATGTCCAGAGGGGAATGATGATGTCTTAGAGTTATGGTGGTAGCAGTTGAGGATGGGAGAATGGTATGGGTTTTGAGATATATTAGGTAGGGAAAATTGCCAGAAGTTGGTGATCGTGTGGATATGAAGAGTGAGGGAGGGGAGGTGTCATGGATGTCTCTGTAGACAGTTGCTGAAAATGACGTGTTACCACCTGTGGCATTAGGGAGAGTGGGTTAGCTGATCTTGTACTGGTTAGATTGGGTGTGGCTTTATGGTTTGAGTGGAAAATCAGGTTGAAAGCTGTAGAAAGGACATGAATAGGAGCGACCATGGCAGTTTCTTTGCTTGGGCCAGATTCTAATACCACCTTTAACATGATTGACAGTTTTTAGGATAAGATAAATGAGAATGTTGTCTAGACTCTGTCCCTGCCTATGTTAATGGAAGCCTTCTCTGTATTTGTCGACAAATGATTTTATATATATACACACATATATATTATATATATATACACACACACACATACACACATATGTAGTAGAGTCAGGGTCTTGCTTTGTTGCCCAGGTCAAACTCCTGGCCTCAAGTACTGATATTACAGGTGTGAGCCACTACACATGGCCAAATGAGAGATAATATTGAGATAAGATTTTGAGACAAAGTCTTTACTCCTGCAGAGGTGATAAATTTCTCACGTATAACTCGGATTTCACAATTGGAAAAGACCTCAAAATTCCCTTAGTCCAGTTTATAAAATGCTTTTATGTCCATTATATCATTTCTACAATATTGAGCTCTTACACCATGCTAGACATTAGGAATACAAAGATGAATAGAAATAAGACTATATAGGTTTATTTAGTAAATAAAATTGATCAAGCACCTTTGTGTCAGGCACTGTTTCAGATGCAAAATGGTTATGACTTGTTCCTGATGTTGGAGTTGTGTGTTGACCTCAGTGTTACCACTGAGGACAGCTGAGTGTATTAACAGGTTTGATTTGGGCACAGGAGATCCTGATCTCTCCATAATATTAGAATAGAGATGGTGTTTATCCAGCAGACTTTTTGGTATCCTGGTAGCACCTCAGTTGCTGTCCATCAATCTTCCAATTCTAGATTTGATAGGAGAGCACTATGGGATGGAAGATTTTAAGAGATGAATTCATCATTATGAATAGGCCTTGTGGATAGGCTGTTTAGGAGTATAAATTGTAAATCCTCTGTAAAATACAAAAGGAAGTTAGGAAGGGATATTGGCAGAGACAGGTAGTATTTAAACTTGAGTTTCTTTTAATGGGTAATTCCCTCATAGGCTTACAGTTGCACTAGATTGTATACTCCACGGGGGAACTTGAATGCTCCCTCTACAACTCCCCTCCCTTGATCCCATGAGCCCAAATGGGCAATTAAAATAATGTATATGGCCTTAAGATGAAACTGTCAGGTTCTTTATGAGTGTCAGGAGTGAGAGCACTCGTTGGCTTGCAAGGCTGCGTGGCTCCAATGTAGGGAAGGCTGGGAGTGCCGTCCTGAAGGGTTCCTAATACAGCTCTCTAATGGCAGGAGTGAGATGGCCTCAATCTTGCGAAGCCCTCAGGCTCTCCAGCTCACTCTAGCCCTGATCAAGCCTGACGCAGTCGCCCATCCACTGATTCTGGAGGTAAGAATGAATCCTAAGTCTCTACCGCATGCCCTGGGAATTGCTACTGCTTCAGGTGCCATTGGGCCATTTATGGTGACTGACAACACAGACTTGTGCTGGATGCTGTGGAGGCAAAGCTAGAAGCCATGAACTCTGACCTAAGGAGACTAAGAATCCATTGGAGACTTGAGGCAGACCTAAAATGTAAGAAAGGACCCAAAGCAATAATAGAACCGAATATCAAGACAATGTGTATTTGTTAGTTTCTATTGCTACATAACACATTACTCCAGACTTGAGAGCTTAAAACAACACTTATTTGTTATTTCACAGTTCAGTAGTTTAGAGGTCCAGTAGGCTTGGCTGAGTTGTTTGCTTAAGGTCTCACAAGGCCAAAGTCAAGGTATTGGCTGACCAGGTCCTTATCTGGAGGGTCTGGGGGAAGAATTCACTTCCAGACTCATTCAGGTTGTTGGCAGAGTTGATTTCTTATGATGGTAGGACTGAGGCTGCCATTTCCCTGTTGGCCTTCAGGCAGGAACTCCTTTCAGTTTCTAGATACCACTCACATCCCTCATCACATGGCCCAGTCTGTCTTCAAGACAGCTGCAGTGCATTGAATCCTTCTCATGCTTTGAATCTCTCTGACTTCTTCAGCCTCTAGCCAGAGAAAATGCCTGGCATTGAGAAGCCTTCACAATTCTAATCCCACAGGGCTCATGTGATTAATTAGGCCCACCTGGATAATCTCCCTTTTGATTACAGCAGAATCAACTGATTAGTAACCTTAATTTCCCTCAAAATCCCTGTTGTTATGTAATGTAACATAATCATATTGCATCATATTCACAGTCCTGGAGATTAGGGTGGGAAATCTTGGTGGGGCTCGGGGTCATTTTCACATTCTGTGTACCATAGTTTGATAAATACTAACTGAGTAGCACTGCTAAGTAAGCCCACTATGGTGCAGAGGAAGATCTAAGCAGTCAGGAGTGGGGGCCTGGAAGTGGCAGGACTCAGCTGGGCCTCAAAGGAATGGTAAACTTTGGTTAGTGCCAGGAGAAGGACAGGTGTTGCACAGAAGGGAGACGCTGAGGCAGGAATGCATGTGATGGGTCTGAGGGCCGCAGGCAGCCTGCGATGGTGAGACTAGAGAATTGGTACAGAGTAAGGAAAGTATAACCTTGAGCACTGGGCTAAAGTGGTTGTACTTCATTCCTTGAATAACAGGAACTACTTAACACCTTCTGACCAGAGTGTGACGTGTCAATTATAGAGTTTCTCATCTATCAAGTGTGATGGTTTGGAGGGAGTGAGAGAAACCCAAGGCAGGACCACTAACAAGACTTTTATGGTGGTCTGAGTGGTGGGTCCTGTGGTCTTGAGCTCAAGGGGTTATAGGTATGGAAGAGCAGAGACAGCGCATCCTATCCCCTTTCACCCAAGGTGCACACTCTGGCTGTGTGACTGAAGGTCTTCACCTCACCCCACCTCGTCTTCTCACCCTTCAATGGGACAAACCCTCAGGTCCTGAGCAACAAGTGGTCCTCATGGTTTCTTTTGGTCAGTTTCAGTCTCCTGATTGATTTTTATTTTGGGGATGGTCTTTATTCAGGCTGTTCATCAGCAGATTCTAAGCAACAAGTTCCTGATTGTACGAATGAGAGAACTACTGTGGAGAAAGGAAGATTGCCAGAGGTTTTACCGAGAGCATGAAGGTAGGATCAGTAGTCCTCTGAATGGAAGGTGCCTCAATCCCAAGAGGCCATAAGAGAGATTTTACCTGGAACACAATGGCAGGCTCTCTGACCTACCAACCGTGTACAGTTGCAGCCAGTTTTCTAAAATCTTGGTTTAAAACACACACTTTTCATGATTATCCATCTTTTCCCAAGGAGGGTTCTACCTTGTAGTCCCAACCAGAAACTTAGTTTTATGTCTTGATAATATCAGTAGTTAACATATAGTGAATGAATGTTTACCATCAGACATTGTCCTAATGCTCATTTTTTCATTCAATTTTCCCAACAACCCTAAAAAGTAGGTGTTGTTATATCCCTCGTACGCAGATTAGGAAGCCAAGTTTAGGAGGTTAATGATTTACCCAAAACTACGCAGGTTGTAAGTGGCAGACCCTGGATTCAGACCCAGGTTTGTCAGACTCCAAGGTCCTTGTTCTTTTCTCTGAAACAATTTTTATTATTCTAGGTAAGGAGGTAGAAGTACAGAAAGTTGCCTTGGGCACCAGGATGAAGGTATCTTGATGAAGGTCCTCTCTCTTTGCAGGGCGTTTTTTCTATCAGAGGCTGGTGGAGTTCATGGCCAGGTACTTCAAATTTGGTTCCAGCATCTTTATCCACTGAGGCTAATCTCCCCTGCCCCTAAATGGATTTGTTCATTTCACTGCCATTCTTTAAAGTTGTAATCAGGCCAGGCACGGTGGCTCATGCCTGTAATCCCAGCACTTTGGGAGGCTGAGGCGGGTGGATCACTTGAGGTCAGGAGTTTGAGACCAGCCTGGCCAATGTGGTGAAACACCGTCTCTACTAAAAATACAAAAAATTAGCCCGGCATGGTGGCAGGTGCCTGTAATCCCAGCTACTCGGGAGGCTGAGGCAGGAGAATCGCTTGAACCTGGGAGGTGGAGGTTGAAGTGAGCCAAGATCGTGGCACTGCACTCTAGCCTGGGCAACAAGAGTGAAACTTCGTCTCAAAAACAACAACAACAGCAAAAAATTAGCCAGGCATGGTGGCGGGTGCCTGTAATCCCAACTACTCGGGAAGCTGAGGCAGGAGAATCACTTGAATTCAGGAAGCAGAGGTTGCAGTGAGCCGAGATTGAACCATTGTACTCTAGCCTGGGCAACAGAGTGAGACTCCATCTCAAAAAATAAAGTTGTAAACAATGTCAAATCTGAAGAAACACGGGTTTGGGGCTGTCACTGAGCCGATGCTGACCTGTTAGGCACCTGTCCTCTGGTGGTTAGAAGAGTCCCCTTGAATGCTGCATAGCCACCCTGCTGATCTCTGCAGGCTTGATGTACACCAGCAGGGGCCCTGCATCACCTATTTGAAGCAGCATTGGTACTCAGCTGGAAAGGCAGGAAAACTCTCAGAACGTAGAGTGTGTTTTTATTCAGGCCCTGCTCACAGCACACCCTCCTAGTCTAGATGGCCAGGTTCTTTACATGTGCTTGTTTTGTTCACAGCGGGCCAATCCGAGCCTACATCCTTGCCCACAAGGATGCCATCCAGCTCTGGAGGACGCTCATGGGACCCACCAGAGTGTTCCGAGCACGCCATGTGGCCCCAGATTCTATCCGTGGGAGTTTCGGCCTCACTGACACCCGCAACACCACCCATGGTTCGGGTGAGTCCCCTGTCCATAGCCATAGGATATTTTGGGGTTAGCGGGCAGGCTGTGTGGTAGAGTTGACAGCCAGGTCCCTCCAGTGAGCTTTCTTCCATTTGTGTTTCTGGTCTTTGTAGCCATGTTGGCAGATGTGGCCTGTGGACTTTCTTTACATGCCCCAGGACTGAAGGGGCAGGCAGAGTAGAGGCTCAGGATTCTGAACCTGATTATGACTGCCTCTTGCTTCTACCATGTGAGAACCCCTTCTCTGTCTTATCTCCCCTTACAGACTCTGTGGTTTCAGCCAGCAGAGAGATTGCAGCCTTCTTCCCTGACTTCAGTGAACAGCGCTGGTATGAGGAGGAAGAGCCCCAGTTGCGCTGTGGCCCTGTGTGCTATAGCCCAGAGGGAGGTGTCCACTATGTAGCTGGAACAGGAGGCCTAGGACCAGCCTGATGCAGGTCTATGAAGACCAGTGGTAGTGCCCAGACTTCTCCTAGACATCTAGTCTAAAACATTCTCCTAGGACCAGGGAAGCCTGGCTTACAGTGCCATTTCTGCTGGGCACCACCACCTGCCTGAGGGCCTAGCTCACCACAGCACATCCTCCAGGATCTAGCCTTCTATCTACCTCTTCTCTGGAATGTTTATGGTGGTTCAGAAGAATGATGACTCCTCTTTGCTGAGAACTGTTCATCCTTCTTCAAGAAGAAGCTTGCCAGGCCGGGCACGGTGGCTCACGCCTATAATCCCAGCACTTTGGGAGGCCGAGGCAGGCGGATCACAAGGTCAGGAATTCGAGACCAGCCTGACCAACATGGTGAAACCCCATCTCTACTAAAAATACAACAATTAGCCAGGCATGGTGGTGCATGCCTGTAATCCCAGCTACTCAGAGGCTGAGGCAGGAGAATTGCTTGAACCTGGGAGGCAGAGGGTGCAGTGAGCCGAGATCGTGCCATTGCACTCCAGCCTGGGCGACATTCTGTCTCAAAAAAAAAAAAAAAGAAGCTTGTCTAATTGACTTGCCTAAAAAATGCAGTGACTCCAAACAACATTTGACCTGTCTTCCTCAATAAAAGTCAGTGTTCTCCTGAATCCTTTATGCTGCCACATTTAGGGGAAACTTTTCAGGCTTCATCATTCTGACTTCTCAGCAGCATTCAGTTATTGCTTCATTCTCCAGAAACACTCTCTTCTCTTGGATTTTCTGATCCCACACCCTTGGTTTTCTCCTTCTGTGTGTTTTTCTTCATCTCCTTTATCAGCTTATGCAAACATTTATTTTCATAAATTCTCTATTCAAGACATACTGAAAAATGCAAAGATGGTTAAGACATGATTGGGTCCTCAAGTTGCTAATTATGAATTTGGGTGGTCAGCCAGCTATAACGTGGCAGAGATGGAGAAGTGCCCTAACAGAGGTATAAAGTCCTGTGGGAGAACAGAGGAAAGAAGGTTTCCTTTGGCTGGGTGAGGAGGTGAAGGAGATAGGGTGGAAAGTCTTTTATAAAAGATATAGCTGGCTTTGGAACTAAGCCTGAAGGTCAAATAGGGTATCCATAGCAGGGGTCTGGGGCACTAGACAGTCTGTTCATTTTCAGGAATATATGGGTCAGTTTTGTATGTGTGACCTAAGAAACCTGTGACACTTCTTACAGGTCTTGACTTTTCTTTCTCAGTACATGTGTATTTCTCTTTTTGGTGGCCTTGAAACCTTTGAGTTGAAAATTGCCTTCACCATCTGCCACTTTCACTAATGGTAGACCAGGAAATTTGGACCCACTGAACATAGAGAACAACTAGAAAAGCTGTGCAAAATATAAACAGCATCTATCTGAAAGCATCAGCTGGCAATATAGAACCAAAATTCAGGACACGAAGGAAACTCAAGAGAAGTGAGCCTGGGACTTAGAGCTACTTTTCCCATAAGGGCACCTGCTGATTCTGGAAGAGGCAGCTAAGAAGCTGAGTAGAACTTTCAACAACTTCTTGTGTTAGGGAGCCAGCTTCATGAATGCTGGCAGAAAACACAGGATTACTTGGGCAGAGACTACTGCTCAGGGCACAGCAGGCAGTGTGTTAGCCTTGGTCTCCCTTGCCCTCCAAGTCCCACAGGGCAATACTGGCAGGCCCAGGAAAGTGTTACACACTGCAGGTTTGCATGACGGCTAAGGAACCACAATCTTAGGGAGATACTATCTCTGTCTTCTAAGGCCATTTGCTGTACAAAAATCCTTGAAATACCTGGGCACAGTGGCACACCTATAATCCTAGCACTTTGGGAGGCTGAGGCAGGCGGATCACCTGAGGTTGGGAGTTCCAGACCAGCCTGACCAACATGGAGAAATCCCGTCTCTACTAAAAATACAAAAATTAGCCAAGCGTGGTGGCGCGAGCCTGTAATCCAGCTACTCGGGAGGCTGAGGCAGGAGAATCGCTTGAACCCAGGAGGCGGAGGTTGTGGTGAGCCAAGATCACGCCGTTGCACTCCAGCCTGGGCAACAAGAGTGAAACTCCATCTCAAGAAAAAAAAAATCCTTGAAATAGTCTGGAACAAAATCTGTCAACATCTCAGCCCACAAAGTATCAACAAAATTGATATTTTGTTGCATTTAAAAAATTTAAATGGTGGTCAAAGCGTACAAAATCTGACAATTAAGACACCCACAAGAGACACAGAATTATCTCCCAATAAAATTGTCTCATAAAAACCTGGCTCCCACAAATATGGAAAGGGAGAAAACTAGAATAAACCCTGTGGTGTCGAATTGGAGATATCAGTGTGAACTCGTGTATTTCAGTCTATAGAGATAGATGTAAATATGTTTTTGTATGTATAGTCCTTTGCACTGATGTGAGAGCAATGACACTCCAATAGTAATGACCACACCCAGCACCCAGGTCCACCAAAAGACAAAGTGCTATGGACTGAATTATATCCCCCTAAAATTCATATGTTGAAGCCCTAACCCCCAATGTGATGATATTTGGAAATGGGACATTTGGGAGATAATTAAGTTTAGATGGCCAGGTATGGTGGCTCACGCCTGTAATCCCAGCACTTTGGGAGGCCAAGGCGGGCGGATCACAAGGTCAGGAGATCGAGACCATCCTGGCTAACACGGTGAAACCCCGTCTCTTCTAAAAATACAAAAATTAGCTGGGTGTGGTGGCACGCACCTGTAGTCCCAGCTACTTGGGAGGCTGAGGCAGAAGAATTGCTTGAACCCAGGAGGTAGAGTTTGCAGTGAGCCAAGGTAGTGCTACTGCACTCCAGCCTGGGTGAAAGAGCGAGACTCCGTCTCAAAACAAAATGAAACAAAACAAAACAAACTATTGCCTATAGCAAACCAATTGTAGCCTGGGCAACATAGTGAGACCCTGTCTCTATAAAAACTAAAAATAGGCTGGGCGCAGTGGCTCATTCCTGTAATTCCAACACTTTGGGAGGCTGAGGGGGGAGGATCACTTAAGTCCAGGAGTTTGAGACCAGCCTGGGCAACATGGTGAGACCCCTGTGTCTACAAAAATAAAAATAAAAAACTTAGCTGGGTGTGGTGGTGCATGCTTGTGTCCCAGCTACTTGGGAGGCAAAGTGGGAGGATTGCTTGAGCCTGAGAGATTGAGGCTTCAGTGCAGTTTGAGCCACTGCACACACTCCAGCCTGGGTGACAGTGAGACCCTGTCTTAAAAAAATAAGAGTATGACATGAGCATGTGAGAGCAAAAGAAAACAAGGAAGTCTGCGACCATGAAGCGAATGCTTAGTCTCTGATATCACAGGCTTAAAGAAAATGATAAAGACCTAAAAAGAAAAGAAATATCCCAGCATGCTGAAGGAAAGAAAAGTTCCCCAATACCCTTCCTGCTTATTTTTCCAATATATTACACAGCTGGGTCCACCTTACCACGTCCTGTTTGATTCCAGCGTTACCAACTTTTCTATTGGAGCCAAATAAGACATACTGCAATCAGTGATGAACTGTCTATATGCCAAGTGTATCCCTTGTGTAACTGTGTAATGGCTGAAACTGAGAAATTGGGGCGAAGTATCAAGTGGCTTAAAGGATTGCCAAGGATCCAAAATTTGAACGATTACCAAATTACCACGCACAGGAAGGAATCTATGCAGATGACTGCTTAGCACAGAGAGTTACTCAGCATAAGTGTTGTAGCCACGAACCTGGGACCTTAAAAGAAGAATCCTAAGATTCTTGGAGTTCCTATCATGTACATTTCTAACCATAGATACAACATGGGAACTGATGTCAGATGATTATGGAGCCCCTTGGTTCTAATTCTTGCCCAAGTTCCTCTGCCTTTCTTCCACCAACTTTCTCTTGTTGCCAGTTCATTAAACATGGAATAGAATGTTATTCTGTTCAATTCATTTGCCCTGTTATCAGCTGAATATGGTTAAACACACTCAATTTTTCATGCTGTTTTGAAATTGATATTTTGTTGCATTTAAAAAATTTAAATGATGGTCAAAGGGTACAAAATCTCCGACAGGAAGAATCCATTTTATAATTTTTTTGAGGTCTGTTGCACAGTGTGGTGAATATAGTTAGTAGAGTATTATACATTTCAAAATTGCTAAGAGTAAATTTCAAATGTTCTCACTACAAAATGCTAAGTATTTGAAGTGATGGATATGTTAACTAGCTCGATTTAATTATTCTACATTGTATCCACAGATTATGACATCATTTTGTAACCCATAAATTTATACAATTATAAATTGTCATTTACAGTAAGAAATAATTTGTTGCATCTTTTTAGAAAAATAAAATAATTTTTTACATCTGTGTAGTTCAGGTAAAAAAAAATTTTTTTTTAATTTTAATAAAATAAAATTTAAAATAAAATAAAAATGGTGGCACATGCCTGTAGTCCCAGCTACTTGGGAGGCTGAGGCAGGAGGATCACTTGAGCCTGGAAGGTGGAGGCTGCAGTGAGCCGTGATTGTGCCACTGCTCTCCAGCCTGGGTGACAGCGAGATCCCGTCTCAAAAAAAAAAACAAAAAACCATTGTATTTGTTTCTGGTTTACTCTTCTTACATTTCTTTTTGAAAAAATGTGTTTCCCCTTCCTCCTCACACAAAAGATAACATACTTCATGATACTCCTTTGCATTTTGTCTTTTCTTTAACCCTGAAATATAATCTAGAAGTCACTTCATATAAGCTCATAACAGTCTTCTTTATTCTGTGTTTTACAGCTGTGTAATATTCCATGTGTGGGCATACCATAATCTGTTCAATAACAGGCATTTAAATGGTCTCCAAAATTTTCCTATTACAATTAATTTCACATTGAACAATCGTGAACATGTGTTGGTTTTCCCCCATCTTTAGCTGTGCACACTAGTTACCTATTGCTACAGTATTGCTGTGTAGCCACTCCAAAATTTAGACTTAATCATCTTTTCTCACAGGTTTTCAGATGAAGACTAGGTGTGGGGCATCTGTGAGCTCAGGCGGGAGCTGTAAGGGAGGAGCAGCCAGGAGAAAAGAGGGAAGGAAACACCGAGTCTTGCACCCATGTCTGAAATCATTCTCCGGTGTGTCTGCGGCTCTCCACATCCACTGCTCCATCCTGGCCCAAGCGACCTTCATCTCTTACTGGATCTCAAGCCTCCCAACTTGTCTCTTCCACTCTCACCATCCACCCCCTCCCTCAATCCACCTTTCCACACACATTAAAAAAGTGTTATTTTTTAGGCGGGGTGTGGTGGCTCACGCCTGTAATCCTGGCACTTTGGGAGGCCGAGGTGGGCAGGGCAGATCACCTGAGGTCGGGAGTTCGAGACCAGCCTGACCAACATGGTGAAACCCTGTCTCTACTAAAAATACAAAATTAACTGGGCATGGTGGTGCCTGCCTATAATCCCAGCTACTCGGGAGGCTGAGGCAGAAGAATTGCTTGAACCCAGGAGACGGAGGTTGCGGTGAGCTGAGATCACGCCATTGCACTCCAGCCTGGGCAACAAGAGCGAAACTCCGTCTCAAAAAAAAAAAATTATTTTTAAATGTCCATCTCTTCAGGTCACCCCCATTTAAAACTCTCCACTGCACACTGAATACTAAGACCGGCACTCCCCCACAGCACTCTTCAGTGTCCTCTCTCACCACTCACCCACTCCTAGTGCTGGAGCTTGATGGACGTTCTCTACCTGCTAGGGTCTTTACCCATGAGGTCCCCCTACTTCCTGCCTGGCTCATTCCTGTTTCTCCTTTAGGTCCCAACTTAAATGTACTTTCCATAGGAAGGCCTTCCTACATCCTGCAGTCCAACTAGGTTCTCCTAGTAATTTACTCTGTCATGCAGTGTATCATGCTCTTCATAACATGTACCACCATTGTAATTAAGTCATGATTCCTATCTTTTTTTTTTTAAAGACTGGTCAAGTGCAGCAGTGAGAAAGGGGAAAGAGTAGAACAAGGCATTCAACCTGTAACTAACTGTGAACAATTGAGATAACTCACTACCTTCAGACCAGCCTCATAGCTTATTTGTTTAAAATCTGGCTTTCTGAAGGGAAAACAAATTTCATTAGTGCAAAGGCTGTTTTCTTCATGCCTGTATCCCTGTCACCCAGCACAGTACCAGGCATATTGCTCCTTTATTAATGGTAATGAATAGTATCCATACTCTAATCTTTGACATTATTAGAATTCTTCCATCTCTAAATTTTTTTTTTCTTTTTTTTTTTTGAGACAGGGTCTCACTCTGTCACCTAGGCTGGAATGCAGTGGCGTGATCTCTGCTCACTGCCACCTCCCCGACTCAGGTGATCTTCCCACCTGAGCCTCCCAAGTAGCTGGGACTACGGGCATGCTCCATTATGCTGGACGAATTTTTGTATTTTTTGTAGAGATGGAGTTTTGCCATGTTGCCCAGGCTAGTCTTGAACTCCTGGGCTCAAGCGATTCACCCATCTCGGCCTCTCAAAGTGCTAGGATTACAGGCATGAGCCACCACGCTCTTACTTTTAAGCTAAAAAAGAAAATCTTAAATCAGTAAATCTTACTCTGAAGTCATAGTCCCTTCTACATCCCTGTCTTATGTCTCCCACGTCTTCCTAGACCGTCCACTCCTCCACTTTCCTAGATATATTCATGTATTCTCCTTTCTCTTCAAACCTCCAACACCTCCTCCCCCTTCCTCACTCTCCAGCTGTTAACCTTACTTCCTATTTCAGGAAAGTAACAAAAACAGCCAGAAGAGAAACTTTTCAGACTCCCAAGACCACATTGAGCCACCTATCTCCATCTGTGCTTATGTACTCTGCTTCCTTCTTGTTAGGATGAACAATGGGCGAACCTTCCAAGTTCCTATTTAAAGTTACCCCAATCTGTGCAGAAGATCCTGTCTCCTCCCACCTACTCAAGGCATTACTCTGGCAATTATTTCCTGTCTTTCTTGGATCATCAAGAGACAGATCTTACAAACATGCTGTATTTTCTCTTATTTATTTATTTATTTTTTATTTTTTTTTCTTGAGACAGAGTCTCACTCTGTCCTCCAGGCTGGAGTGCAGCTGTACAAGCTCAGCTCACTGCAACCTCTGCCTCCTGGGCCCAAGTGAACCTCCTGCCTCAGCCTCCTGAGTACCTGGAACTACAGGTGTGTGCCACCAAGCCTGGCTAATTTTTTTATTTTTTGTAGAGCCAGGTTTTCACCATGTTCCCCAGGCTGGTCTTGAATTCCTGAGCTCAAGTGATCCACCTGCCTCAGCTTTCCACCCAAAGTGCTGGGATTACAGATGTGAGCCACTGTGCCTGGCCCACAGTCTACATTTGAGGCTCATATTCAAGGTTGAGTTACAAGGCCCAAAGTCCACTTCCAAAGTCCAGGCTCAGGCACATAAGTCCAAGGTCTAATTCTAGGTCCACTTCTAGATCTTAAATCATCCCAAGGCCCAGATTAAATCCATGTCTGAAGTCCAAGGTTAAATATCCAGTACCAGGTCAAGTATCAGCTCTAAGATCCAGATCTAAGTTCTAAGTCCAAGGTTATGCATAATCATTCTGAGTTATAGGACTGGGGACCAGGAATTTAGGTTCAACTCTAAGGTCTGATGGTCACGTCTAAGGTCTAAATCCATGACTGAAGCCTAGGTCCAAGGACTACAGGAGCAAAGGAAAATTTCATTACCAAAATTTGCAAGTGAGGTCCAAATCTTATCCCTGGGTCCAGATCCAGGTCCAAGTCAAAGGTCCAAATCCAGGTACAATTTCCATGTTTAAGGTATAAGATCCATGGCCCAATAAAAAGCAAGGTCTGAGATCCAGGTCCAAGATCCAGGTAGAGATTGAATTTCCAGTTATAAAGTCAAATACAAGAAATGAAGGTCACCTCCCTGTTTAAATTTCAGATCCAAGGTCCAAGATGCAGTTCCAAAGACGCGGGTGTTGGGCCATGTGCAAGGACCAAGTCCATGTTCCAAATCAAATCAAGGCCTGCATCTAGGTCCAACATCCAAGACCAGGTCCAGATCCAGATCCAAAGACGAGGTCCACAGCCAGGGACAAATTCTAGTCCAAGGTCCAAGTCCAAAGTCCAAGTCAATTTACAAGGTCCAGATCATGGTCCTAAGTCCAAGATACACATGGAGGTCCAAGTCCCATGTCCAAGACCCAAGAATGATTCAGATCCATTTCATGACCAAGGTTCAGGTCTAAGGTGAGTTCCAAAATGCAGAACAAATCCAAGTCAGAGGTTTAGTTCCAAGGTGCAGGTTCAAAGTTCATATCCACACACAAGGTCCAACATCAAAGCCAAAGATCCAGGTTCAGGTCCAGGGGCAGGAGCCCTGATCTTGGACTTCCCAGTTCCAGAACTGTGAAAAAAGAAATTTCTGCTTGGTACAGTGGCACATGCCTGGAGTCCCAGCTGCTCAGGAGGCTGAGACAAGATGATTGCTTGAGCCCTGCCTGGAGTTTAAGGCCAGCCTGAGTAACATAGCAAGACCCTGTCTTTAAAAAAAAAAAAAAAAAAGGGGAAAAAAAAAACCCAGAAAAGAAAGAAACTTCTGTTGTTCTTTGTAAATTATCCAGTTTCAAGTATTTTGTTACAGCAGCACCCCAGTAGAGTATTTTGTTACTCTTACCCCCGACCCCAGGGAGTGTAGACCACAGCCACAGCACCATAGCCAAAGCATACCATTGCTGTTTTATAAGATTGACTGTAATATTAGACTAGCAGAAAGGGAGACTTTGAGTCATCAAATCCCCTAATAAAATAGGTTCTTTAGGCTGGGTGCCATGGCTCACACCTGTAAACCCAGTGCTTTGGGAGGCTGAAGCAAAAGGACACTCAAGGCCAGCAGTTTGAGATCAACCTGGGCAACATAGTGAGACCCTGTCTCTACCAAAAAAAAAAAAAAAAAAAAAAAAAAAAAATTAGCCAGGTGTAGTGGTGTATACCTGTAGTCCTAGCTACTCAGGAGGCTGAAGTAGGAGGATTGCTTGAGCCCAGGAGTTTTAGGCTATAGTGAGCTATGATCATGCCTCTGAACTCTGGGTGACAGAGCGAAACCCTATTTCTAAAAAATTAAAATACAATAGGCCCTTGACTGCTAAGATGGAAAGCCCAGCTCAATAGCGTGCACAGCTACAATATGGGATTAGAGGCCCAGGATTGCCTGAGTCTCTCAGAGTGAGAAGCCAGGGACTAAGGAGAATTTCCAAAGGGGCAGAGGGCAGGGTAAGGCAGGGAGGGTGTGCAGCTCAAGAGAGCTGGGGCTGGAGGCTTGAGTCAAACCAAGAATGATTAAAATTGAGAAATTCCAACAGTTCCCCCACCCCCAAAAGTAGAGGCCAGAATTCTCATGCAATTGAGTCAGAGAATTCTGGCATTGGGAGTGAGAAGGGTAAGATATAATCTCTCTGAAAAGCATTTCAGTCATTTATAAACCTCTGTGATTCAAAGTTTTCTCATTATAAATGGGGATGTCAGTGTCTTCCTAAGGCTTCACACTTCTCATTTTAGGTCCTGGGAGAGAAGATAGCTCCTCCCATCCCTCTTAGAGCATTTTACAGAAGCAGGTAGTTTGTGTTGGTTTGTCTTCTGGTTAGCCATTGAAGATTTGTAACTCATGGGACTGGGAACTGTGAGCCAAGACTGGTATTTTAGGTTTCCTATAGGTTTGCCTGTCCCTACAAAGGTAATACAGATGCTCCTCAGCTTAACAATGAGGTTACATCCGGATAAACCCATCTTAAATTGAAAATACTATAAGACAAAAATGCATTTAATACACCTAAACTACTGGACATCATAGCTTAGCCTCGCCTACCTAAACGTGCTTAGAACACTTACATTAGGCCAGGCACGGTGGCTCATGCCTATAATCCCAGCACTTTGGGAGGCTGAGATGGGCAGATCACTTGAGGCCAGGAGTTCGAGACCAGCCTGGGCAACATGGTGAAACCCTGTCTCTACCAAAAATATATATATAAGCTGGGTGTGGTGGCACGTTCCTGTAGTCCCAGCTACTTGGGAGGCTGAGGTGGGAGGATTGCTTCAGCCCTGGAGAAGGTTGCAGTGAGCCAAGATTGCACCACTGCACTCCAGCCTGAGTGACAGAGTGAGACACTGCCACAAAAGCAAACAAACAAACAAAATACTAGTCTATGGTTGGGCAAAATTATCGGGCAGCACAGTGAACTGTAGCGTCCATCGTTTACCCTTGTAACGTGTGGCTGCCTGGGAGCTATGGCTCACTGCCACTGCCCAGCATCATGAGAGTATCACATTGCATATTGCTAGCCTGGGAAAAGATCAAAATTCAAAATTCTAAGTACAGTTTCTACTGAGTACTATAATTTTCATACCATCATAAAGTTGAAAAATGGAAGTCAAACCACTGTAAGTGGGGGACTTTCTGTGCTATGGATGACTGGGTGGTAACCGGGTCTCTGGCAGTGCAACCACAGTTGAGTGGCTTTTTTCTCTCTCAAAATAACATCTCTTCCCAGATACTAGACATGTTTTTCCTAAATAGTCTCAATCTGGGACGTTCGTATCTTATCCATGGCTCTGACCCCCAACTCTTTCCCATCTTTGGATGTTCCAGGTGGGGTTTCCCTACAAATTTCCAATGTAAAGAAACCTCACCCACAAATTTTAGATGATCCTGTAAGTGAAAAATGGCAAGAAAATGGAGAACTTGGATTTAAGGAAACAAAGACAATGAGTATAGACTGTTAAGTTTAATTATGACTTAAGGAGAAATATGTCAAGTTTAGGGAAATTTGGCAACTTATGGACATTTTGAAGGACTGGTAAAATACAAATTGATTTATAGGCTCTAGTTCTTTGCCAAAAGAGAGGAACAGAGGATACAGGAGAGTAAGAAGACAACTGAGATTATGAGTTCCCACAGAATATAAATTTGAAAGGGAACCCTCCCAACACAAATTATAATTCAGGTGAGAGCTCTTCCTCTGGTTTAGTGGTCCCAGGAGTCACAGGCTTACACTTGTCTCAATAGCTCTTGTGTCTATGTGATATGGTTTGGCTGTGTCCCCACCCAAATCTCATCTTGAATTGTAGCTCCCATAATTCCTACATGTTGTGGGAGGGACCTGGTGGGAGGTAATTGAATCTTGGGTTGGGTCTTTCCTGTGCTATTCTTGTGACAGTAAGTAAGTCTCATAAGACCTGATGGTTTTATAAACGGAATTTCCCCTATGCAAGCTCTCTTGCCTGCCACCATGTAAGACATGACTTTGCTCCTCATTTGCCTTCAGCCATGATTGTGAGGCCTCCCCAGCCATGTGAACTGTGAGTCAATTCAACTTCTTTTCTTTATAAATTGCCCAGTCTCAGGTATGCTTTACTAGCAGCATGAGAACAGACTAATACACTACGCTTCAAGGCCTCCCAAAAGCAGAGCATGAGATGGCGACTTGTGTGCAAGTAGTTTATTTTAGGAAGGGGTCTCAGAAAACAGGCATCAGGACACTAAGAGAGTAAAAGAAAGGAGAAGGGAAGGCCATCCCAAGCATAGGGTATTGAGCTGGTTACCACTGTGGACAATGGGCTTCAATCTAGTTGGTGGTCCTCTGTCTCCCACCAAAGCCTAGGAGGCTGGTTGTTTGTCCAATGGTTTCATCATCCGTTGTCAGTGATTTGCCAGGGAGACCTAACCCATTTGCAGTCCCAGACTTGCATATGCCAGAAAGGCTGAGGGGCTCTTGCAGGCTTCCCACACTGCATCAGCAGAGAAGCTCCTAGAAGGAGCATGAGAGAAACGGTGAGGAGGTCTTTGATTTCACCTGAGTGCAGCTACGGTCAGGGTAGGAATGTGGGCCAAGAGGACGTGAGATGGGGCATAAAAGTTGTTCAGTGCCATCCTCCCCTGCCTGTGTTTGGGTCTGCCCATGCGCCAGCTCTGCATGTAGCTCAGCATATCAGAGAGTCAGGCAAGAACCTAGTGAGCCGCGATCTCTACTTAAGACTCAATATAAGTGGATTAGTGGAAAAGATAACATTTCCCACCATTACAACTGGGCCTGAAGCCATAATTGATTCTTATTACCTCCCTCCTTTATCAACCATATTATAGTTCCTGCCCCCAGAGCCAACCTTTACAGGTCGAAGATGCTTACCTACTGGGAAAACAGACTTTCACTTCCAAGAGGTCAGATCCCTTAGCTGACTTACCCTGATAGAGAGCTGCGATTGCTGCAAGTGCCCACTGATGGTTATGCCTGGGTATGGAAGCATTCACAGAACCTCCTGGGTTCAGATATACTTGAGTAGCAACATCACCAATGCATGATAATCAGGGTCAATGACCTACGTAAGTATAATGGCTCCTCCCTTTTCCTGCCAGCCTACCATCGTGGGAAAGCCAGAATGACCAAGTTAGTAACAACATTAGTTTAGCAGACACTGCCTGTGCTCTTTGGTAGAAACATCTCCCCACTCTGCCCCCACTAACAAGGAATTCTAAGCTGGAAGGATCCAATGTTCCAGGGATAAGAAGTACAAATGTTTACCAGGTACTATTTCTGCAGTGCCTTATCATAGAGGTTTCCAGCTTGGAAAATGTCAATAGGCCACGTTGTAATCCTCACCTGAGAGGTCTCTGGAGATGGGTCTGGTGTAGCAGACACCTAAATCTTGCTTGTATCAGAATTCGAATTTTTTTTTTTTTTTGAGACAGAGTCTTGCTCTGTCGCCAAGGCTGGAGTGCAGTGGCATGATCTCGGCTCACTGCAACCTCTGCCTCCTGAGTAGTGATTCTCCTGCCTCAGCCTCCTGAGTAGCTGGGATTACAGGTGCCAGCCACCTCGCCTGGCTAATTTTTGTATTTTTAGTAGAGATAGGGTTTCACCATGTTGGCCAGGCTGGTCTCGAACTCCTGATCTCAGGTGATCGACCCACATCAGCCTTCCAAAGTGCTGGGATTACAGGCATGAGCCACCACACCAGGCCAGAATTAGTCAGATTTTAGGAGACCAGAGGAATTTGAAGAACCAGGCTGCCTGGGGGCAAGGAATTGAACAGAACAGCCTCTCAGACCCAGACTCCAGATGTTTCCAGAATCCCAGGCTATAGCCAAGTACCATTACTTATTAGCTGTGTGAACATGGCCAAGTTATCTACATTTGTTTTTATTTGCTCATCTATAAGATAGGCATGCTATTGTTACCAGCATCATATATTTGGTAGTCTCTCTTCTTTGCTTGGGAACAGATCAGCTGGCAGAGATGGGGTTTCACTATGTTGGCCAGGCTGGTCTCGAACTCCTGACCTCAAGTGATCCGCCCACCTTGGCCTCCCAAAGTGCTGGGATTACAGATGTGAGCCACTGTGCCCAGCCAAGTGGGGCTTTTGAGCCAATCCAGAGTCCTGTTATGGCTCCCACTGCAGACTGTATAACGGTTCACGGATGTTTTACATGCTTGTACTGAGAATGCTCATGTATGTCACAGGATTCTCCCTTTCAGGGTTTTTCACATAAAGAGATCTCAGTTCCCTTCTGGCCGGCTCAACAGAAACAATATAGACTCCCAGGAGAAGGAGAAATCACAGCTTTAATGACTTAATGACTGTCAAAGACCTGATTGGACAAGGTTAATGAGGCAGAAAGGAAAAAGCCTGGATTGGGAGCTGGGCTTCAAGGACTGGTTCATCTTCCAAAGGTAGGTTTGGTAGTGAAAAAAAAAAAAAAAATACAAGCCGTTATGCAACTACTATCTGCCAGACACAAAACTAGCTTCCATATGATCATTATTTCCTATAAGAGAATAACTTCCAACATTTAAAAATGTTATTTATACCCATATGAAATGACATAAGATGGTTAGATGTATTTGTTTTAACAAATTTGTGATTTACTACTAAATAGTAAATTCATTTTCTATTTCTTCATTTGTGTACATTTTACTTAAAATTACATAAAACACTTATTAAGATTAAAGAAACAAAAATTTTTTTTTGAGACAGAGTCTTGCTTTGTCACCCAGGCTGGAGTGCAGTGGTGCAATCTTGGCTCACTGCAACCTCTGCCTCTTAAGTTCAAGCTATTCTCATGCCTCAGCCTCCAAGTATCTGGGATTACAGGCGTGTGTACCACGCCCAGCTAATTTTTAGTAGAGACGGGGTTTCACCATGTTGGCCAGGCTGGTCTCAAATTCCTGACCTCAAGTAATCCGCCAGCCTCAGCCTCTCAAAGTGCTGGGATTACAGATGTGAGCCACTGTACCTGGCCCAGATATACCAGATTTTTTAAATCTTCAGTATAGATTCAGCTTGAGAACAAGAGGTAATATAGAAATCCATAAAAGCTTGGATATTTCAAAAGACAGATACCTCTTCCCAGTATCTATTAGAACATTTCACAGTTCTCACTTGTCAGCCTCCCACCACACAAAATTCTCCCCCATGGAATTGGAATCTCCAAGTTCAAACCCTCATCTAACCATCTCCCTCCCACGCATTCATCATTCCACAGCCTCTCCTTTGGGCTTACTCCCTTCTTAATCAAACATGGCCCTGGGGAATCAGGGCCCTTGAATCACCCGAATCAGGGTGAACAGTGGGATTCATTTCCCCCAGTGGCGAGCAGCCCCAGATTCCTAATCTGAGCCCAGCATTATCTCAGTTCCCCAGGAGCTATGCAGGATTCACAAGTCCTGAGTTTTACAGTTCTGAGAGCCCATGATCCCTTGAAGACTCATTATAAATGCCCAAGTCTCACTCCACCCTTGCCTGTTCCTTTCCTGGAGAGGTTTACCATAGGGCCCAGCATCTGAATCACAGGAGCCAGTTGTGGAGATCTTGATTCTCACCTCACTCCAAGGCCTAAAAAGAGGAATTCCTGAGGCCAGGACATGAAGGGACCCCTCAAGATGGGAAAGGAGGGTTAACAAGGCAGGGGAGAGAAGAGAGTGATGTTGGAAAGGACCAGCTGCGGAAAACCAAGACCCCTGGGATTGCACTGAGCGAGCACTCCTGCAAAGGCTTATGGGAAAGTGGCCCCTAAATGCAGACCACTAAGATGCTAAAACTGGTAAAGTGAGGTGGAGCCATTCCTCAGAGAGGGAGAAGGTAGGGGATCAGTGACAGCTGGAACCGATCTTGGGAAGTCCTATCCTCATTCCCCAAATGTTGGGCAAGCAGCAGAGGTCACAAGTAGCCCCTCCAGAGCCCTCTGTGGCTCCTCCCAAAGCACTCTTCCCCACCATCCTACCCTGCAGGCACCACTTCAATAAAATTTGGGAAACAAAGGGAGAATTCAGTGCTGAAGAACAAGTCCACAGGGAGGGATAAAGAGCAGTCCCTAGGTGTGTGCTGAGAGAGAAACTGCACTGAGGGACAAAGCTCAAGGAAAGGGGATGAAGGATTTGGAGGGCCAAATACAATAACCGAAAAATGGGCAGAGCCAGGGAACCTTAGGGGTAGGGTTGAAGGATGAGGTTGACAGGGAGACAGCCTGCCTTGATCTCAGTTTGACTTACTGGGCCTTGCAGTCATTTGAATGAGGCCCCCTATCATCCTTCAGAAATGAGCTGTCAGCCCCTACACCAGAGACTCAGCTACTCCTTTCCCCACCCCTCCTTCCCCTGCAACCCTTTATTGTGAAGATCTCACAACACCTCGAGCTTGTTACTGCACAGATGAGGCCATTACAGCCCTGATTTCATCCTCTTTTCGAAGAGACAAAGGAAGGGGTGATTCTTGACTAGAAGGCACCCAAAGCCATCTGCCCTGGCCGGACAGAGGTCCCCTCTGCGTCTTGTTGGATATAAAATGCTCTAGGAATAAATGCTTGGTACCATGAAAACCAGCACTCAGGCAAATTATTTCAGCAAGGCAATTTACTTCTGCAAAAGGGTGCCACTTGTGTCAATCAAGATCACAAGAGCACACAGAACAAAGGAGACCGGGGCGGGGGGGTTTATCTTTAACGCAGTCCCTATCTCTGTGTCACTCCCCCATGGGCTGTGGCTGGACCGCACAATCTGAGCTGACCCGATTGGCTACTTGTACATATTTTCCCAAATATAAAAGGGGAGGGGGACATGAGGTACAGAGGTGGAGCATGTGAGATGTGCAGTTTCAGGGAAACAAAGGATACAGGTAACCAAGGGAACAGATGTGAATTATTGATTAGAGCTGATGGGAAGGGGGATAGGCTGTTTACGGTAACTAGGGGCAAGGAAGAACAAGAAAGTTGAGTTTGAGAACAAGGATAAGGAAGTTAATAGGCTAAACCCTTTGAAGAGAAACTCAGATTTATTGCATCTTACAATTCCTCCCTTTTAATTTTCTTACGATCCTTTCTCTTCAAACTTTTTAAACATGTCTTGGCTTTGCCATTCGATTTGATCTTTTAAAAGGAAAAGCGTACTTGAATAAGGTAGAGGAGAACTAAGGGAGGCTTTAGTAAGTGGTGTTTGTACAATTCTTTGTATTAGCCCACAGATGCATAGTATGACACAACACCCAATGAGAACGAGGATGCCTACTACAACTGCAAGGGAAATAAAAATTGAGACCGTGATTCCTTTCCATTTACCGAACCACTTTCCTAGCCATCCTTAAATGGGGTCATTGACTCCAGAATTTTTAGCTAATTCATTGGATAAAGCGGTAAGTCTCTGCAAGGCCTTTGTTATGCTCCCATCGGGGGCAGTGTTGTTTGGGATGAAGGTACAACATTGGGTTTTAATCATAACACAGACTCCACCTTTTTCGGCTAATAACATGTCTAGAGCTATTCTGTTTTCCCAAGCCATTTGGCTAGTAGGCCCTAATTGGTCAGCTATTCCTTTGATAGCATCCCTGGTGTAATTAATAAACCACTGCTGGTTATAATAGATGTAATTTATCCAAGCTACATTTTTATTAATAGTTACCCCTGGAAATATGGATTCAAATCCTGCAGCTCTTTGGTCTCAGGCTTTGAACCTGTCAGGCACTCCCTGTGGGACTCCAATGGCATCTATGTAAACTTGAGAGTCAAAAGACCCATAAGGAGCTTCTCTTATTTTTTAGTGTTGTGGTTTTTCTTTCTCTGGTTGATGAAATGCCAGGGTGAAAGGGATAGCCAATTGGACAATTGCACAAGTGCCGCTCCAGTTACTTGGCAGTGTCCAGTAAGGGTCCACCGCAATACCACCATACATCCGCTCGAGGATGACTAAGGGCAGACTGACGGGTAAGCTCTTGGAAGGGCTTAAGCTCACTCCATCCCATTAAGCTTCCGAGGAATGCCAAATTCTCCCCCTGTTGTGAGAGACATGAGGTGAAACTGACATTGGGAGATGGAAGCTGGATGGACCTCAGGGGCTGACCCATAGGGTGTTGGACTTCAGGATATAGCAGAGAGAGTGCTTGGCATGATTTGTTGCCCCAGGCTGTGGAATCCTGGAAAAAAAGCTACCATACAGCCCATGCCTGGTTGATTGAAGGACCATCCTAGTGGAAAGGGGACAATCTGGGCCTCTGGTCTGCAGTGCACATAAGCATAACAATTGCTTTTGTTTAACATGCAGACAGAATCCATTCCAACCAGGCATTTACATCTTGATATCCTGTTTCAATTGTTAGGGTTTGTCTTAAATCTTTTACTTCTACAATATTTACTTTGGCATTGTTGTTAGGTAGAGTAGAAGATTCAGATGGAGAAGAAGGGGGGTCGATAAAGCATATTTTAAAGAAGCCTTATGGTCATATCCATTGACCTCTGCTCCTAATCCATACAAGCATTCTAAAGGGGGCACAGGGTTGGTGGAGGTAGGGGCATTAATAGAGATTGTTACTGGGTTACAGTGGTGAAGTTGATAATTAGAGGGGATGATTCCTTTGGTAAGGCAGAGGCAAAATTTTAGGTTGGTACAGCTTTCTGGGGAGGTCCCGCCGTGTTCTCTGGTAGTTAGGATGACATCTGCCCATTGAGAACATATCTCCCAACTTGGGGTGCCTTGGTACCCCCGCCATAAGCAAGGCACGGGGTCAGTGGCTTCTCTGAAGGGGCAGAGGTATTTTTCTGAAGTAGAGACATATCTTTGCCAGTATTCATCCTTTTGACAAGGCATGACAAGGCAAGCATCAAAGGTAATGATTTGGGGTGAGTCTGACCTAGTTACATTGATAACAAGGTCAGCAAGAGAATGAGGAAAGAAGAAAGGGGAATAGAATAGATAAAAGAGTGTTAAATGTTTCTTAACCTTAGGTTTGAGGGGTTTTTTCCCTTGGATAATGACCCACAACTTCAGGGATGGCGGTGCTTTCTTGACTTGGGTGTGATGGGTCTATCTTTTCTTGCTGTTTGGACTGCAGTTTCAGTGGTTAGAAGCACTAGGCTGGCTCCTCAGGCTGGTGTCGAGGTACTGGAAACTCTAGGGGTGGCGCCTGTACTGGAAAATTGTGAGTTCTGAGGGAAGAGAAAGTGGAAGATAAACCAAGTATGTAGGAATGTTGGATTGCTTTGAGAGGTAGTTTGGATTCTTAGTAGAGTAATAAGAAGTCAGAAGACATTTGATTTATGGCAACCAAGTCTCTAGACTTGTTTGGCTCAGGGTATAAATTCCTATACACATATAAACTTTGTGCTATACATGGCTTGGGGTCTTTAATGAGTCCTCTAATGTAGGTGGAGAAAGGACTTCCTTCATAAGAGGTCTGAATAACATTTCTCTGAGTTCCCTTTAGCACCTACAGGAGAAATGCTCCTGTAGCGTTATCTGATTTGCTAGGTTATTTTCTGGCTTATCTGATTTGCTAGGTTATTTTCTTGACTCTTGAAAGACAGGCTTTTTGGTGCCTGGGGACATGGACAATAGCTATTTTTTTCTTTTCTGGTAACTGAAGGTTATTTAATACTTGGGTGACTAACTCCTCATAAACAAGGCTTTAACTTTTACTATTAATTCAGTATGAAATTTTCTAAATGTATGAGCCACTGTAAAGGCGTATTTACAATTAGTATATATGGTTCTTTCGGGTCCTGCAGGTACTTTAAAGCTTGACTAAGTGCAGACAGCTTATAAATTTGAATAGACTAATTATTAAACACTTTGATTTTCTCTAGGAACTTTCATTAACCACTGAACACTTGTTGCATTCTTTTTCCCTTAATCACTTTTGAAGGGGGTTTCTCTTAAGTTTGGCCAGACGTTTGTACGGTAATCAGTTAAATCTAAACATGTGTGCTTTCTTTTTGATTTGGATCTC
Organism: Homo sapiens; assembly: GCF_000001405.40. NCBI lineage: Eukaryota > Metazoa > Chordata > Mammalia > Primates > Hominidae > Homo > Homo sapiens. The sequence goes on along the minus strand of NC_000003.12, from coordinate 48,275,389 downwards.
TCGTTAAGAAACTTGCTAGGTTACGCGAATTATCAGTAGTTAATGTTAAACCATCCTTTTTAACAGAATAGCCTCATACTTATACACATGTAATTATTTTCTGGTAGCACATTTTAATATAAGTGACTTTAAGAGGTCGGGCGTGGTGGCTCATGCGTGTAATCCCAGCACTTTGGGAGGCCGAGGCGGGCGGATCACGAGATCAGGAGATCGAGACCATCCTGACTAACATGGTGAAACCCCGTCTCTACTAAAAAATACAAAAAAATTAGCCAGGCGTGGTGGTGGGTGCCTGTAGTCCCAGCTACTGGGGAGGCTGAGGCAGGAGAATGGCGTGAACCTGGGAGGCAGAGCTTGCAGTGAGCCGAGATGGTGCCACTGCACTCCAGCCTGGGCGACAGAGTGAGACTCCGTCTCAAACAACAACAACAACAAAAAAGCGACTTTAAAGAATCAAAGTTCTTTTCTGGTGGATATTTTTACTTTTAACACTGGCCTGACCACAATAAATGCTAGCGGATATATCAGCTGAAAGATTATTTACCACTTGCTCAGGAGACTTAGCCGCAGGGATGCCTAGGTGCTTGGAGCTGCGGCTGAGGCCCCATATTACTTGGCCTTGGCAAAAGTAAGGCAGATATCCCATAATGTAGTCTGCTTGGGGCATAGGCTGGGGCCTGGCCCATGGGTCTTGCAGAGCCGCCGTCAATATGGTGCTGGGATGTTGGACCAGCGGGGGGGCAGGAGCATGGGCTTTGCCTGCCGCTGGGGTGTACTATGGGAGGGACGATGCAGACATGTTGCGGTGGATCCTTGATGTTACTAGCCCAGCAAAAGCGACCTGGTGAATTAGGAGCTTGGAGTTTTTCCGGGGAGGGGGACTTAGGCTGGGCCTGAGGGGAAGGGTTGGGTGTATTAGGAGGGGGACTAGGGGTATTAGGTGGAGGATGGTCTAGGGGATCCCATGTGCTGTTCTCTTTGCCAGGATCCCCCCTTCTCTCACTGGTTCTACAGTAGGGGCAGGTGCATAAGGGAAAAGGGAGGACAGGTCTTTGCTTCCAACAAAGAGCATAGTTCAGTTCTTCTTGAGAAACTGGGCTTTTATTACTTACATGTTGAATTAAAAGTTGATATAGTATATCCTTAGTCGACCCAAACTTTGGCCAGAAGATTGAGGGACTGAGGATAGGTCTTTGAGACCAAATAGAACAGCAATATTTTATCATTTGTTCCTTTGTCTTATGTTTAGTTCTCTTGTTATCTTTCCAACCTTTTAGCCTGAGACCTAAGGGGCTATCAGGTGGTATATCTTTGAGACCTTGGGGACTATCAGTGGTATATCTTTGTTGCTAACTTTATCTTTTTTGCTTGTATTATTTACCATACTGGGTCCTGGCTAGGCTCAATCCCTCGTATTAGGAATCTCTTGCCTAGTGGGGGCTTTCTGTGGCTCAACCCCTCATATTAGGGATCTCCTGCCTATTTGGGGGGTTCCTTCTGGCTCAACCCCTCGTATTAGGGGTCTCTTGCCTGTCCTTCACTGGAAGCTTTGCTAAGGCACAATTCGCCTATCCTTTAGCTCCACCTGCTGGAGATTCCTTGCACCCTTCTTTCACTGCAACCTTCACGCTCTGGCCGCTTCCCTTGAGGGAATGTTCCAGGTCACTTTTAGCATTCATGGGGGGTCAGTATAAACCCCTGACGGGACCCCCAAAGGGCCGCCCTAAGCCATATGAGATGACCACGGAACTGCAGATTGGTCTCACTCCGCACAGCAGTAGTGCTTGTTACCATTCATGCACTTTCAACCTCCAGAATGCCCCGACCCCCGCAAAACCACTAAAGAAGTAATTTGTTGCCCCTGCGACGTTTTCTACCTTGGTCTGTGCAGTTTACCTGGTCGCCGCAGTATTGCAAGTCTCTCTTCCCCGCGTTGCTGAGAGTCCAGGTTTATTCGTCACAACAGGTGGGTCTCGATCTCCCATCCCTGAGGGCCACCGCAACAGGGCAGTGGGAAGTGTCTCCCCTGGGTAGGGTGACTGAAGACCCCTTCCCGAAGGAGAATGGGAATCCCAGACGAGCCCCCAGAATTGTTGGATATAAAATGCTCTAGGATGAAATGCTCGGTGCCATGAAGTAAAACCAGCACTCAGGCAAAAGTTTAATTTCTCTCAGCAAGGTAATTTACTTCTGCGGAACGGTGCCACTTGTGTCAATCAAGATCACAAGAGCACAGAGAACAAAGGAGACCAGGGGATTTTTATCCTTAACACAGTCCCTATCTCTGTGTCACTCCCCCCATGGGCTGGGGTCAGACTGCACAATCTGAGCTGACCCAATTGGCCACTTGTACATATTTTCCTAACTATAGAAGGGGAGGGGGACATGAGTTACAGAGGTGGAGTGTGAGGCGTGCAGTTTCGGGGGAACAATGGGTACAGGTAACCAAGGGAACAGATGTGAATTATTGATTAAAGCTGACGAGAATGGGGTAGGCTGTTTACAGTAACTAGGGGTAAGGAAGAACAAGAAAGTTGAATTTGAGAACAAGGATAAGGAAGTTAGCAGGCTAAACCCTTTGAAGAGAGACTCAGATTTACTGCAGCTTACAATCTCTTCCTATGACTGCCTGGACCTGACAGTCCTCTTGCCGGACCAGATCTGTGTGGTATCTCGACAGTGCCTACATGGATTTTAATAGAAAATGAACACTTTTTTCTCCCTCTCATGTTTAAAGTAGATGTATGATCACTAATTTTTCCACTTTCATTTTTCTATGGGAGGAGTAACTTCGAGGTCTTGTGGAATGATGGTGTCCCACCCTTCCCCTGCCCAGCAACCCCTAAACACACACACATACACACACTTTCTATGGCTTTTAGCTCAGGCCATGGGAAAGGGGCAGCAATAGTGAGAGGTGACAACGTGTTAGCAGCCCTCGCTCACTCTCAGCGCCTCCCCGGCCTCAGCGTCCGCTCTGGCCACGCTTGAGGAGCCCTTTAGCCAGCCGCTGCACTGTGGGAGCCCCTCTCTGGGTTGGTCGAGGCCGGAGCCAGCTCCCTTGGCTGGCAGAGAGGTGTGGAGGGAGAGGCGCAGGTGGGAACCAGGGCTGCGCATGGGGCTCGCAGGCCAGCATGAGTTCCGGGTGGGCGCAGGCTCGGGGGCCCCCACACTCGGAGCGGCCGGCCGGCACCACAGGCCCCAGGCATTAAGGGGCTTAGCACCCGGGCCAGCAGCTGCAGAGGGTGCACCGGGTCCCCCAGCACTGACAGCCTGCCCACGCCGCACTTGAATTCTCACCGGGCCTCAGCCGCCTCCCCATGAGGCAGGGCTTGGGACCTGCGGCCTGCCATGCCCAAGCCACCCCCGACCGCCATGGGCTCGCATGCAGCCCGAGACTCCCCGACAGGCGCTGCCCGTCCCATCGACCGCCCAAGGGCTGAGGTGTGCAGGTGTGAGGCACAGGACTAGCAGGCAGCTCCACCCACAGCCCCAGTGCGGGATCCACTAGGGGAAGTCAGCTGGGCTCCTGAGTTGGGTGGGGTCTTGGAGAACTTTTGTCTAGCTGGAGGATTGTATATGCACCAAGCAGCACTCTCTGTCTAGCTCGGGGTTTGTGGATGCACCAATCAGCACTCTGTATCTAACTAACCTGGTGGGGACTTGGAAAACTTTTATGTCTAGCTAGAGGATTGTAAATGCACCAATCAGCACTCTGTGTCTAGCTCAAGGTTTGTAAACGCACCAATCAGTGCTCTGTGTCTAGCTAATCTAGCGGGGACTTGGAGAACTTGTGTCTAGCTAAAGGATTGTAAACGCACCAATCAGCACTGTGTCTAGCTAAAGGTTTGTAAACGCGTGTCTAGCTAATCTAGTGGGGACTTGGAAAATTTTTGTCTAGCTAGAGGCTTGTAAATGCACCAATCAGCACTCTGTGTCTAGCTCAGGGATTGTAAATGCACCAATCAGCACCCTGTCAAAACGGACCAATATGCTCTCTGTAAAATGGACCAATCAGCAGGATGTGGGTGGGGCCGGATAAGGGGATAAAAGCAGGCTACCCGAGCCAGCAGCGGCAAGCCACTCAGGTCCCCTTCCATGCTGTGGAAGCTTTGTTTTTTCACTCTTCACAATAAATCTTCCTGCTGGTCACTCTTTGGGTCCGCGCCGCCTTTAAGAGCTGTAACACTAACCGCAAAGGTCCGCAGCTTCACTCCTGAAACCAGCAAGACCACGAACCCACCGGAAGGAACTAACAACTCCAGATGCGCTGCCTTTAAGAGCCGTAACACTGCTAAGGTCTGCAGCTTCACTCCTAAGCGAGACCACAAACCCACCAGAAGTTAGAAACTCTGGACACGTCCGAACATCAGAAGGAACAAACTCCAGACACACCATGTTTAAGAATTGTAACACTCACCGTGAGGGTCCACGGCTTCATTCTTGAAGTCAGCAAGACCAAGAACCCACCAATTCCAGACACATTAGGGTGGTAGGCCAGGCATGGGGGAGATCCTACATTCCAGGTACCCCTAGCCCTTCCCCTAAGCAGGCTAACCTTGGGGATTCCCTGGAGATCAACCACTTCCAGTGAGAGGGAGTGGACAAAAGCCTCTGGACCAGCCATTCCTTCTCTCTCTCCAAGTCCTTTTTCCTCTCTAGCATCAAAACCAAGCCTAAGTATTTTGAGGTTACATGAACATCTCTCCCCTTCTTTTCTGTGGCAGAGTCCCTTAGCAAATAGAGGCACTGGGGCCTGAGTGGATAGCTCTCCAAGGTACACTCATTGACACAGGGTATCAGGTAGGGCTAGCCCCAGCCCAAGGGAGTAAGGCAAACTGTCAGAACCTGGGCCATATGGGCCCTGGAGTGTGAGGAGAGACAAATGGCTAAAGGCCCTGGCACCATTCCTGGATGTAATTTAGCCACCCGAGCATGGCTAAAACACTGGGTACTGAGATTGGAGGATTTAAGAGGAGCTGTGTTTAAAATACCCTTAAACCTGGTATTGGAAGGCTGATGATGCAGCATTGCTAGATCCCTGTCATTGAAGGCCAAGGTGGCGTGGCTATGTTTAAGTCCTGAGTCTGAAGAACTTTTAGAGTGTGGTTAAAGAATCTTGGATTTGGGACTGGAGGGTTAGGAAGGGGACCTGGTAAAGGTGTCCCTCAGATTGTAGGGCTGGAGACTGAACTCTGAGTAAAATCTAAAGGTGGGGTAGGAGAGGAAACAGCAAAGGCTAGAGATGTAGAAAAAAATAAAGCAGGAGAGTGTCATGGAAGCTAATGGAAGAACACAGTTGCAGAAGGAAGTAGTCAGATGCAAAGACCATTCCTCCAAGGGGACCGTCACTTGACACCTCTGCTCTCAGAAGTTAGATCTCTGTCATCTTCACATCTAAAGGAATGTAAGGGGTCAAAAGACTGTCCCCAAAGCTCTTAGAACAAGAGTGGGGTGGGCGTACAGTGGATAGATTTGACTCCAAGTATCTCTTAAGGGGCCACTTCCAGCCAACACCTTACTCTCACTCCATGAAGGTTTCTCCCGAGTGTGTCCTCTGACACGTGACAAGTAATGATGTCCACGTACAGCTCTGTCCACATTACCTTACAAACAAGGCTTCTCCCTAAGCATTTCCGCTGGTGTGGCTGATGGCTGACTTGTTGCTAAAATCACATCCTCACTCCTTGCACCTCTAAAGCTTTTCCCCGAGTGTATCTTCTGGTGTATGATGAGCTGTGACTTTCTCCTAAAGCTTTGCCCACACTCCACGCATGCATAAGGCTTCTCCCCCGAGTGTATCCTCTGATGTAAGCTGAGAGTGGACTTGTGGCTAAAGTTTCGCCCACACTCGATGCATGCGTAAGGTTTCTCTCCTGTGTGTGTCCTCCAGTGTCTGTTGAGGAGTATCTTCCGGCCAAATCCCCGCCCACATTCCCCACACACATAAGGCTTCTCCCCTGAATGTGTCTGCTCGTGTGCGAGGAGAGTTGATTTATCACAAAAGCCTCGCCCACACTGGCTGCACACATAAGGTTTTTCCTTGGAGTGTGTACTCCGGTGGTAGTGGAGGGTTGACTGAGCTATAAAGCCTCGCCCACACTCTCCGCAGACATAAGGCTTTTCTCCTGTGTGTGTCCTCTGGTGTCTGATGAGCTGTGATTTCGTGATAAAGCCTTGCCCACACTCCGTGCATGCATAAGGCTTCTCCCCAGAGTGTATCCTCTGATGTACACTAAGAGCGGACTTGAGGCTAAAGTTTCGCCCACACTCAAAGCACGTGTAAGGCTTCTCTCCCGTGTGTGTCCTCCAGTGTCCATTGAGGACTATCCTCCGGCTAAATCCCCGCCCACATTCCCCACACACATAAGGCTTCTCCCCTGAGTGTGTTCTCCGATGTGATTTGAGCGACGACTTCTGGCTAAATCCATGCCCACACTCCTCACACACGTGAGGTTTCACCTCTGAATGTGTCCACTGGTGTAGGAGGAGAGTTGATTTAGCACGAAAGCCTCGCCCACACTCTCTGCAAACAAAAGGCTTCTCATCTGAATGTATCCTCTGGTGTGTGTTGAGACATGATCTCCTTACAAAGCCTCGGCCTCAATCTCTGCACACATAAGGCTTATCCCCCGTGTGAATTCTCTGGTGCTTAATGAGCTCTGACTTTTCACGAAAGCCTCGCCCACACACTGTGCACATAAACGATTTCTCCCTTGTGTGTGTCCTCTGATGTCTGATGAGGTATGGCTTGCAGCTAAAGCCTCGCCCACAATGGCTGCACACATAAGGTTTCTCCCCGGAGTGTGTACTCAGGTGGTTGCGGAGGACTGACTCAACTATAAAGCCTCGCCCACACTCTCCGCAGACATAAGGCTTTTCTCCTGTGTGTGTCCTCTGGTGTATGATGAGCTGTGACTTCCTGCTAAAGCCTCGCCCACACTCCCTGCACACCTGTGACTGCCTTTTGTCTGAAGATTTTTCTGCTGTGACTGCCTTCTGTCTGAACAGGTTTGACTTCTGGTTAAAAGCTAGTGCACACTCCCCAAACGTGACTGCTCCAAACCCTGGGGTTTCTGCCCTCTTGGAAATTCTGTCTACTTCCTCAGAGCTTGCATTCTGGGCTGGACTGAGCTGTATCTCTAATATTCTGTTGCCTCCCCAAGAGCTTATTGGTGGTCTCTGGAACAGGCTAGAGAAACCCACTAAAGCCCCCCTTTCATTTGTACTCCAAAACAAGGGTCTGACGCCTCCTTCCACTCGTTGATCTTCTGCTTCAGCCCCCCTGTGATTTTTATCAGAAGGATGTTGTGACTGTGGCTGATCCTCTGGGCAGGGATTTCCTGGGTGGAGTTGATTTCCTGCATGGAAACCTGGAATAGGATGATTGTGTAGCTCATCTTGGCTGAGGAACTGCTGACTGCCAAAGGCCAGAGGGCAAGAAGGGCAGGTATGGACTTCTGGCTTTGATTCTGCTGAAGAAAGAAAGTTTCCAGTCAGAAGAGTCATAGGAAGGGCTGACTGGGCTCTTGTTTTATGATAAGACCTGGCCCATTAATCATTCTCAATGATTAAAGTCTTTCTCCCCAAGATGTGCTGTGCAGGACCTATATTTTCATTCAACCTCTTCAAACTTTTGATTTGGAAATCATTTCAAATATACAGAAAAGTTGCAAGAATATGAATAATACAAAGGGCTGGGCACAGTGGCTCACGCCTGTAATCCCAGCACTTTGGGAGGCGGAGGCGGGCAGATCACGAGGTCAAGAGATTGAGACCATACTGCCCAACATGGTGAAACCCTGTCTCTACTAAAAATACAAAAATTAGCTGGGTGGAGTGACGGGCGCCTGTAGTCCCAGCTACTCGGGAGGCTGAGACAGGAGAATCACTTGAACCCGGGAGGCAGAGGTTGCAGTGAGCCAAGATCATGCCACTGTACTCCAGCCTGGCGACAGAGTGAGACTCCGTCTCAAAAAAAAAAAAAAATTCTTCTATTTATTAGTTAGGCAAGGGTCTTCAGTTAGGCTGATAAAGGGTCTGGCCTCCTGGATTACAAAAAGTTCATGGTTGTTTGTTATCTTCAGCTGGTTAGAAACAGTTGCAATTTAATTTTGATATTTCTTAGGAAAGTGCAGCTAAATGGTAACATTACTGTATTTGCCGACTTGTGGAAAACAGGGAAGAGCAGGTCTTGGATTGGAGGACCAAGAGCCAGCCTTCTTTAAGTCAGTTGTGCCTGTCTTCTCCACTGATGAATCCTCACTTCTGGTAGAACTTGGCATGTAATCTTCCTCTAGTAAATATCTACTTATGAGTGGGGAAACTCAAATGAAGGCTTCCTATGCACATTCTTCAATACTATTCTGTACTGCATTCTACATTGGGGGACATCGAGACTAAGTGACTCCTATCTCAATCCATCCTTTCTTCTCAAAGGAAAAGTCACAAAGAGCATTCCCGTATAGGTCATAAAGACTGTTCTCTCAGTGGAAACAAATGCTTATGGCATTATGTGATTATGGTAGAGGATAATTTTAGTATAATTGTAGATATTTACAACACTGAGGATGTCTGGATGCCTACTTGGAAGATTCTCTGTTGCGATAATATATAGAATAGATTCGGCTGTGGGTTTTTTTGGATTAAAGTAAAATATGTAATAAGTAAAAATGGAGTGCAGTGTATAATCTGAATCTAATCATGGGAAACAACAGGAACTTTTTTGTGACGGCGTTCACCATGTTGCCCAGGCTAGTCTTGAAGTCCTGAGCTCAGGCAATCTGCCCGCCTTGGTTGGCCTCCCAAAGTGCTGGGATTACAGGCGTGAGCCACGGCGCCCGGCCCTATTTGGCTTTAGTCACCCACTCCCACCACCACATTCTTCGATTCCTGATTCTAGGGCAGCACTCTATGATTCCAGGGCTTCATTTCTTCTGGATGGATGGGGGTCCTGGTTTCAGTAGCTCCTCTGGAGCAGCATAGCTTAGCTAGTCCTCATCCCTCTTCCTGTCCTGAGAGAGTTGGAGCAGTTGGGCTGGGTGTCTGGGAATCTGATGATCAGGATGTCTGGATGGCAGCTTTGCAAGCCTAGAGTAGTCAAAGCCTGGAACACTCCTGGCCCTAGATGTAGTTCAAAGGCCAAAGGTGGTTAGCTTTCCCAAGAGGTATTGCATCTATGTCAGGGGGCTTAATTCTCACTGGCTTCTTTTCTTCAAAGGCCTAGTCAAAGTAGCAAGGATCTCATTATTTATAGAACATAGACCTTTAAAAAGTTCAGAGTTATTTGTGGTGTATTTAGAGTATTTAGGAACACATATTTTGGCATCCTGAACCCTGTCTTGTCTTTTCTTACTTTATGACTGTGGACACAAAGTTACTAATCCTTCTAAACTTCAATTTCCCGATCTATGAAATAATACCAGCATTACATTTGGTCTTTATGTAAAGCCCTACAGAGCACAAAGCGCAATGCTGGGCCCATAGTGAGTGATATTTATTATGGGGTCTATTATTATTATTAAGGATAATAATAATAATAATAGAGCTTAGAATCCAAATTCAGGTAATAAAGACCATCAGAACTTAATACAAGTGAATAAATAAATAAAAATTTTGAGTTTATTTAATCGTCAGGCAAGGGAATGAATAGTAAAGAAACTTTAGTGAATAGTTCACAGGGAGAACTACTAAATAGTAGGAAGGCAGTTTTATGGCATTTGTGCTAATTAAATATGGAAGACCAGGACTCTGCATAGGATGGAATGAATCCATGGGTCTACACATTTGGTTAAAATTCTTCTGGCCAGCACAGTGACTCACACTTGTAATCCCAGCACTTTGGGAGAACAATGAGGGTGGGATCACCTGAGATCAGGAGTTCGAAACCAGCCTGGCCAACATAGTGAAACCCCGTCTCTACTAAAAATACAAAAATTAATCGGTCATGGTGGCGCCGGCCTGTAATCCCAGCTACTCAGGAGGCTGAGGCAGGAGAATTGCTTCAATTCCAGGAGGTGGAGGTTGCAGTGAGCCGAGATCCCATCATTGCACTCCAGCCTGGGCCACAAGAGTGAAACTCTGTCTCCAAAAAAAAAAAAAAAAAAAAAAAAAAAAAAGGCCGGGCACAGTGGCTCATGCCTGTAATCCCAGCACTTTGGGAGGCCAAGGTGGGTGGATCACATGAGGTCAGGAGTTCAAGACCAGCCTGGCAAATATGGCGAAACCTCATCTCTACTAAAGATACAAAAATTAGCAGGGCATGGTGGCGGGTGCCTGTAATCCCAGCTACTCGGGAGGCTGAGGCAGGACAATCACTTGAACCCAGGAGGCGGAGGTTGCAGTGAGCAGGGATCACACCATCGCACTCCAGCCTGGGTGACAGAACAAGACTCTGTCTCAAAAAAATTTAAATATTAAAGCCAACTGGACCCCCATCCATCCAAAAGACACTAAGCCCTGGAACCACAGAGTTCTGCCCTAGAAGCAGGAACAGAAGAATGGAATGGGAGTGAGTGACTAAAGCCAATTCTTTCTCTTATTTTATTTTATTTATTTATTTTTTTGAGACAGAGTCTCTGTTGCCCAGGCTGCAGTGCAGTGGCGTGATCCTGGCTCACTGCAACCTCTGCTTCCCAGGTTCAAGCAATTCTTTTGCCTCAGCCTCCCAAGTAGCTGGGACTACAGGCGTGTGCCACCATGCCCAGCTAATTTTTGTATTTTTAGTAGTGACGGGGTTTCACCATGTTGCCCAGGCTGGTCTCGAACTCCTGAGCTCAGGCAATCCACCCGCCTCAGCCTCCCAAAGAGCAAGGATTACAGGTGTGAGCCACCGCGCCCGGCCTTTTTATTTTTTTTTAGACATAGTCTTGCTCTGTCACCCAGGCTGGAGTGCAGTGGTGCGATCTTGCCTCATTGCAACTTCCGCCTCCCAAGTTCAAGTGATTCTCCTGCCTCAGACTCCTGAGTAGCTGGGATTACAGGCACGTGCCACCTCGCCCAGCTAACTTTTGTATTTTTAGTAGGGACAGGGTTTCACCATGTTGGTCATGCCGGTCTCGAAATCCTGACCTCATGATCTGCCTGCCTCGGCCTCCCAGTGTGCTGGGATTACAAGTGTGAGCCACCATGCCCGGCCTCTTCCTTCTTTATTCTACATTTCTAATAAACAAGACCCTTCAACTTAAAAAAAAGAAAGTCCATAATGTTCAGAGTAAAAGCCAAGCTGCTTAGAGGGCCCACTGGGTTCCACCTACTGCTTCTTTGACTCAACCTATTCTCCAGCCTTCATTTGCTCCATCTGAGCCACACTGTCCTCCCCTCCTGATGATGTACACTGGCTGGTTTCTATGTCTACAGAACCCTTCTCCCATACATATCACTGGTATATTCTAAGAATGCAGAACTAGACCCAGTGTTTAATAGTCAATACATACTTTTGAGTAAATGAGTGATAGGAGCCAAGTTAATTAAAAAAGGACTAGAGGGTTAGGCAGAAGATGTTCTCTAATACTGTCAGAACAAAAGCCTCCTTTTTATAACCTATATTTTGTAACATCTCACTTACTGTCCTGAAACAAAATTCATATTTAATTAAATGTACTCATAATGTTTTGTGTTTTTTTTCTCTCCAAGATGGAGTCTTGCTCTGTTGCCCAGGTTGGAGTGCAGTGGCGCAATTTCAGCTCACTGCAACCTCCGCCTCCGGGGTTCAAGCGATTCTCCTCCCTCAGCCTCCTGCGTAGCTGGGATTACAGGTGCACATCACCATGCCGGCCTGTTTTTTTGTTTTTGTTTTTGTTTTGTATTTTTAGTAGAGGCAAAGTTACACCATGTTGGCCAGGCTTGTCTTGAACTCCTGACCTCATGATCTGCCCGCCTTGGCCTCCCAAAGTGCTGGGATTACAGGCATGAGCCACCGCACCCAGCTGCAGAATGTTTTAATAATGTAATGCCCTATCCGAAACATAAAAAAGAAAGGAGCCGGGCGTGGCGGCTCACGCCGGTAATCCCAACACTTTGGGAGGCGGAGGCAGGCGGATCATCTGAGGTCAGTAGTTTGAGACCAGCCTGACCAACATGGTGAAATCCTGTCTCCACTAAAAATAAAAAAATTTGCTGGGCGTGGTGGCACGTGCCTGTAATCCCAGCTACTCAGGAGGCTGAGGCAGGAGAATCACTTGAACCAGGGAGGCAGAGGTTGCAGTGAGCTGAGATTGCACCATTGCACTCCAGCCTGGGCAACAAGAGCAAAACTCCGTCTCAAAAAAAAAAAGAAAAAAAGAAAGTAATTTACAATAAAAATATTCATTTCAATATGTAATCTCTTGACAAGGCTACATTATGAGACATACCAGAGCAATCAAGTGCTTACAGGAAGATCATTGTGGACATGATAGCTACAAATGCAGACACACATGGATATGCCTTATTGATGACTACATGTGTTCTAGTGGTGACAGACCTAAGTGTGCTACGCAAGCGGTTACTCAAACACCACAACCAGCACTGCCATGAGTGATGTATTTTTTTTTCATATTGGTGAACACCTCTTGGTAAAGCTCAAAACTATTTTCTCTTGATTTACAACCTACCATGCAAAAATTACGATATTATCTAAAATAGATTTATATTCTAGAGTCAGAACATTACAAACAAATCCGTGGGCTACAGGGAAGAAAAAAAGAAGGAGAGAGAGAAGGAATTGATATAAATTAAGAGAAGTTTTTAGAAGATGGAATGTGTGGATCTCATCTGAATCCTGATTCAAATTTGCAAAAAAACTTTTTTGAGATGATCAGGTAAATTTGAACATGGACTAGGTGTTGGATGATACTGAAGCACTACTGATAACTTTGTGAGTTCTGATCATGATACTGTGGTTATATAAGAAAATGTGAAGCCGGGCACAGTGGCTCATACCTGTAATCCCAGCACTTTGGGAGGCTGAGGCGGGCAGATCACCTGAGGTCAGGAGTTCGAGACCAGACTGGCTAACATGGTGAAACCCCGTTTCTACTAAAAATACAAAAAATTAGCCGGCTGTGGTGATGCGCGCCTGTAATCCCAGCTACTCGGGAGGCTGAGGCAGGAGAATCACTTGAACCCAGAAGGTAAAGGTTGCAGTGAGCCAAGATCGCATCACTGCACTCCAGCTTGGGCAATGAGAATGAAACTCCATCTCAAAAAAAATAAATAAAATAAAATGTCCTTATTTATTGGAGTTGCACTGTGATATAAAGGAGTGGTATGTCATGATATTTGAGATTTGCTTTAAATAATTCAGCAATAAGAGAAAAAGTGATGTAGAGAGAAAGGGAAAGATGGATCAAGGATGAAAACAGTTTAACACCTGAAATGGATACAGTGAGATCCAAAGTTTCAGGGTCAAGATTAATTTGAATCAGATTATTTTAAGGCAATTTTAACATATTCTTCAGAATCAACAAAATGTATGAGCATAAAGATAAAGAGTAACAAGACCAGATGAAACAAGACCAAATCAGATTGGCCAATTGAAAGCTAACTTAAATGGATGAACCTACACTGAAACAGAAATAGGCAACTAGGATTGAAATGAGGCCAATTCAAATTAGATTAAAGCAGTGCAAAATAGGTCTAAGCAGATGCAAAGAGAACAAATCAGAACTATGTAATTCATAGCTATGCCAGATGAAGACAAACCTTGAGAAAGATGCTGAGAGAAATGTGAGGAACTTTGAAAATCTGACTCTCATCAAGAACTCAGGAATATCCAGAATAATTTTGTATTTGCTAACCTAGTAATCAGTTTTAGTTTTTAAATAAGTGAATAAAAACATGATGTATGATATCCAGTAATCTATAAAACATCAAACTGACAGATTTATACCTTAAACGTTAAACATTTCCAACTTCTAGGTCATAGAAGGCATCTCTTACTATTCTCCTCCTTGTTCTCTGTACTCCAACCACCTTGGCCTCCTTGCTTTTCCTCCAAAGGACTAGATATGCTCCTGCCTCCAGGGCCTTGGCACTGCTTTCCCCTTGTCTGGAGCAGTTTCCCACCTGACCCACATATCCAACCTCCTCACCTCCTTCAAGCCTTTGCTCAAATGTACTTCCTCATAGAGGCCTACCTTGATCATGCAATTTAAAAGTTCAGCCAGTTGCCTCCACACCCGGCACTTCAGATCTCCCTTAATCTACTCTACTTATATTTATATATATCTTATACATTTTTTTTTAGCTATGTAGCACTTATTATCCTTTGACATATATAATTTACCTATATATGCTGCTTATTGTATATTGTCAGTCTACCTATACTAGAATATAAGCTCCACGAGAGAAGAAATGCTTTATTATTCTATTCACTGATATGTTCTAAGAGATTAAAACATTGGCTGGCACACTGAATATGGTCAGTAAATACTTGAATGGAAAAATGAAGGAAGAGAACATGTCCTTACCCAATGAGACCAGATTCCTGAGATTTTCCAGCATCACTTCTTTGTATAGGTTCCTCTGCTCAAGGCTCAGTCTCTTCCACTCTGCCTCAGTGAAAAGCACAGCCACATCCTCGAAAGTCACTGGTCCCTAAATCAACCGATAAATTCATATTCATCAAGTCACCATTAAGATTCACAGTGAAAATGGAACTGGTGGTCTTGGAGCATCTAGCTACATAAGAAATTGATCTAGGCCGGGCACGGTGGCTCACACCTGCAATCCTAGCACTTTGGGAGGCCGAGGTGGGAGGTTATCTTGAGGTCAGGAGTTCGAGACCAGACTGGCCAATATGGTGAAACGCTGTCTCCACTAAAAATACAAAAATTAGCTGGGCGTGGTAGCACACGCCTGTAGTCCCAGCTACTTGGGAGGCTGAGGCAGGAGAATCACTTGAACCTGAGAGGCAGAGGTGGCAGTAAACCAAGATCACTCCATTGCACTCCAGCGTGGGTGACAGAGTGAGACTCCGCCTCAAAAAGAAAAAAATGGATCTGCTACTTGGGAGGCTGACATGAGAGGATTGCTTGAGCCCAAGAGTTCAAGACTAGCCTGAGCAACACAGTGAGACCCTGTCTCTATGAAAAATAAACAAAAATTAGCCAAGTATGGTGGTGTGCACCTGTAGTTCCAGCTACCCAGGAGGCTGAGGTAGGAGGATTGCCTGATCCCAGGAGGTCAGGGCTACAGTGAGCTGAGATCGCACCATTGCACTCCAGCCTGGGTGACCAGAGCGAGACCCTGTCTCAAAAAAACATACACCATATGCTTTTTCATCTTCAAGTCTCTTCTCTTCTAAATGAGTATTCAGTGGTGTTCTATCTTTAGTTACACTTGAAAGGTGGCATTGCCCTCAGATACCAAGGGAGTCACCAATCAACTTCTACTGAATTCAAGCATTATTTGCTCAGTGACCAACTGCTTCAGCCTATGGGTATTCCATGACACTCCTAACTTGCCCTAGATTTTTTTTTTTTTTTTTTTGATACGGAGTCTCACTCTGTCACCCAGGCCGAACTGCAGTGGCGTGATCTTGGCTCACTGCAGCCCCTGCCTACCGGGTTCAAGCAATTCTCCTGCCTCAGCCTCCCAAGTAGCTGGGACCACAGGTGCATACCACCACACCTGGCTAATTTTTTTTGTATTTTGTTTTTAGTAGCGATGGGATTTCACCATGTTGGCCAGGCTAGTCTCCAATTCCCGACCTCAAGTGATCTGCCGGCCTCGGACTTGCTTTAGAATTTTAACTTCACTCTGCAGACTTTGGGAACAGTTGCACATTATTCCCAGCTGCCTCTGATTACCCTGAGTACCTCTTCTCTGACTCAGCTTCTTCCTCCTATTCTCAGGTATACATCAATCTTCTTGTCCACCTTCCAAGTGGTCCTTGGCACTCTAGGAGTTGGTAATGTATATTCCAGGTTCTAAAGCTAAACTAATTAAGCTTCTAGCAAATCAAAGATGACAGTAGGGGCTGAAGGAAACACAGTGCAAGGCTACCAAGCCAGAGCTTCCTAGCATCCTCCCCTGAGAGCTGGACTATAAAAGAGATTTAATAAAACCCAGCACAGAAGTGCAGAAGCAGTAGAGAATAATAATGATGCTGAGCTAAGAGTAGGAAACTAGGTGTAGATACTGAAATCCTTGAGTGTGTGAGAAGTTTTGGGAGGGATGTCACATCTATAGCCAGCAGCCCAGGCAGTCAGGCCGCGTGGCACAGTGTACGAGGGAGGACAAAAAGTCTAGACAGCAGGCCAGGACCCAGGATTAGGCAGCCAAGGCCTGAGCGGGCAGTGGTGTGGGCTGCTGTCCCTTACATGCTTTCCATGACCTGCTGCTTCAGGCACATCCTGGTTCTCATATTCTCAGTGATCTTTCCCCTTTTCTTTTTATACCCCAGGTCTCATAATTTCTCTTGTTCAAGCCTTGTGTCTCTCATGTTCCAATATCCTCTCCATTTCTCTCTTGACTCCTCTTCCCCCTCTAGTTTTTCCACTGAAACATAAAACAACAGGCTCAGCTACAATGGAAGCTAGGCTTTTTGCTCAGTGGATGTAGTAGGAGCCCAATCTATGGAGTCAGACCGCACAAGTCCAAATCCCAGCTTTGCCACTTATACAATACATGACCTTTGGAAGCTTACATAACCTCTCTGTGTCTTAGTTTCCACATCTATAAAATGGGCTTGATAATGACACCTACTGTCTTAATAAAGATAAAGCACTGACATCAATGCCTCACATGCAGTAAACACTTGCTATTACAATTTGCTATAACTAAGCAATAGAATGTTTTATATTTAAGTGAAAACTGATTTTTAAAATAAGTAAATAATTTTTGGTTCTCAAAAAGTAATCAAACATTCTGTCCAGTACAAGGCAAGAAGAGGAAGTAAAAAGCACAGAGACTGGTAAGGAAGAGATAAAATTACCCCTATTTGCCAAGGACACGGTTTTCTATGTAGGAAATGCAAAGGAATCTATAAAAATGATCATATAACTAATAAGTGAGTCCAGGAGGACTGAAAGATACAAGATGAACACATAAAAATCCATCGTATTCATATAGATTAACAACGACCATGTGGAAACTGAAATTAAAAACATACCATTTACAATCACTCCCGCAAAAAAGAGGTGCCTAACATAACTCCAGCAAAACAACTATAACATCTGTACACTGAAAACTACAAAATGCCAATGGAAAAAAAAATCAAAGATCTAGATAAATGGGGAGGCAAAGCACGTTCATGGGTTGGAAGGCTCAACATAGTAAAGATGTCAATCTTCCCCAAAATGATCTATAGATTTAACACAATTCCCATCAAAATCCCAACCAGATTTTTTTGTAGATATAGACAACTTATCCTAATATATATGATAAGGCAAAGAAACTAGAAGAACAAAGTAAGAGAGATCACGCTACCTGATATTAAACTTACTATTTGATCACCACAATACTTGAGACAGGGTATCTATGGAAGAATAGACACACAGATCAATAGAAGAGAACCGAAAACCCAGAAAGAGATCAACACAAATACCCCAAAGTGGATTTTTGTAAAAGTAATTCAATGAAGAATAGACTTTGCAACAAATGGCACTGGACCAACTGGATATTCACAGACAAAAAAATTAACCTCAACCTAAAACCTCACACTTTATTAAAAACAAAAAACAAAAAAAATCAAAATGAATCACGAATTTAAATATAAAAATACTAGAAAAAATACAGGAGAAGATCTATATTGGGACCTAGTGCTTGGCAAAGAGTTCTTAGACATGACACCAAAACCACAATCCATTAAAAAAAATAATAATAAACCAGACTTCACCAAAATTAAAACTTTTTTCGGTGGCTCACGTCTGTAATCCTAGCACTTTGGGAGGCTGAGGCAGGCAGATCACCTGAGGTCAGGAGTTAGAGACCAGTCTGGCCAACATGGTGAAATCCCGTCTCTACTAAAAATGCAAAAATTAGCTGGGTGTGGTGGCACACGCCTGTAATTCCAGCTACTCGGGAGGCTGAGGCAGGAGAATCGCTTGAACCCAGGAGGCAGGGGTTGCAGTGAGCCAAGATCATGCCACTGCACTCCAGCCTGGGAGACAGAGCAAGACTCTGTCTCAAAACAAAAAACAAAAAACAAAACAAAAACAAAAACAAAAACTTTTTACTATAGAAGACCCCCATCTCTTCCAGAACACAAAGCAGAGGGAACATTTCCTAACCCATCCTATGAATCCAGCATTATCCTAATAGCAAATCTAGATAAAGACATTAGAAATTAAAACTACAGATCAATATATCTCACAGAGATACAATACCCCCTCCCAAAATATAAGAAAATCAAATCCAGAAATGCCCAAGAAGAATTACATACCACACTTGGGTTTATTATAGTTCTGCAAAGCTGGTTCAACATTTGAAAATCAATCATTGTGGAGGTCAGGGTTGGTTTTTCAAGATGGCGGCCTTTGAGGCTCTGGTGTCTGGCTGTGGGCAGCTTCCGTGTGGGCTCCTAGCAGGCCCAGCAGTGACCAGCTGGTCTCAGCTTCCAGCTCGTGGTTTCAGGGAAGTGGTGGAAATCCAAGAAGGAAAGACAACTATAATTGAAGGCCGTATCACAGCGACTCCCAAGGAGAGTCCAAATCCTCCTAACCCCTCTGGCCAGTGCCCCATCTGCCACTGGAACCTGAACCACAAGTAAAACTATGATGATGTTTTGCTGCTTAGCCAGTTCATCCAGCCCCATGGAGGCATGCTGCCCCGAAAGATCACAGGCCTATGACGGGAAGAGAACTGCAAGATTGAGGGGTGTGTGAAGATGGCCTACCGAGCAGGTCTGTTACCAAATCACAGGCCTCAGCTTCCTGAAGGAGTTGTTCCAAAGGGCAAACCCCAATTCAACCAGTACCTGACCCACTGGGGTCCCCGCACCCTCATGCCCATCTACAAAAAAAGGCCTCCCCTGGAACAGGGCGTTCATGGCCTTGGGGTCAACCCTCCTGAGGGACAATGTCTGCTACTCAAGGACACCTTGGAAGCTGTATCACTCACAGACAGAAGAGCTTCCAGAGTTCCTCCTGCACCTGCGCTGTGGAGTAGGAGGCGTACTCACAAGCCCTGGGCCACAACTATACTCCTGCCCCACCCCACCATGACGGCCTGGCCCCTCTGACATGTATGGACAGGGGACAGTGGGATGAACTTCAGTACCCTTGGCCTCCCCAGTAGCAATGCTGGGAGCTAGAGGCAGGCAGGGCAGTTGGGTCCCTTGGCAATTGCTGTGGGGCTTGGGCCATACTCAGTGCTGGGGACAGGAGTTTTGCCCAGTGGAATGTCATAAACTAGGCTCATGGGCTTGAAAAAAAAAAGAAAAGAAAATCAATCATTGTAATCCACCATGTTAACAGGCTAAAGAAACAAAATCATATGATCATATCATTTGATACAGAAAATACAAAACCCAACATCTAGTGATTATAAAAATTCTTAGCTGCCAGGCGTGGTGGCTTGTGCCTGTAATCCCAACAGTTTGGGAGGTCAAGGCAGGAGGATTGCTTGAGCCCAGGAGTTTGAGACCAGCCTGGGCAACATGGCAAGACCCCGTCTCTGGCCAGGCATGGTGGCTCTTGCCTATAATCACAGCACTTTGGGGGGCTAAGGCAGGCAGATCACCTGAGGTTACAAGTTCGGGACCAGCCAACGTGGCAAAACCATGTCTGTACTGAAAACACAAAAGCTAGCCAGGCGTGGTTGGTAGCACCTGTAATACCGGCTACTCGGGAGGCTGAGGCAGGAGAATCACTTGAACCCGGGAGGCGGAGGTTGCGGTGAGCCAAGATCGCACTACTGCACTCCAGCCTGGAGAAAGAGCGAGACTTTGTCTCAAAAAAAAAAAAAAAAAAAAAAAAAGTAAAAACTCTTGGCCAGGCATGGTGGCTCACGCCTGTAATATCAGCACTTTGGGAGGCCAAGGTAGGCAGATCACTTGAGGTCAGGAGCTTGAGACCAGCCTGGCCAACATGGTGAAACCCCGTCTCCACTAAAAATACAAAAATTAGCTGGGCGTGGTGGCGCACACCTGTAATCCCAGCTACTTGGGAGGCTGAGGCACAAGAATCACTTGAACCCAAGAGGCAGAAGTTGCAATGCACCAAGATGGCGCTGCTGCACTCCAGCCTGACAGGTAGAGTGAGACTGTCTTAAAAAAAAAAAAAAAAGAAGTAATAGCTCTCAGCAAACTAGAAATACAGCAGAACTTCCTCAATTGACAAAGAACATCTACAAAAAACCTACAACAAATATCCTACTTTATAGCAAGAAACTAGATGTTTTTCCTAGATAACTGGAAACAAGGCAAGGATGTCTTCTCTCACCACTCCTGTTCAACATTGTACTGAAAGTCCTAGCTATTGCAATGAGACAAGAAAAAGAAAATGTACACATATTTGAAAAGAAGTAAAGCTGTCTTTGTTCACAGATGACATGACTGTCTACATAGGAAATTCCAG
The DNA here is from genome assembly GCF_000001405.40 of Homo sapiens. Taxonomy (NCBI): domain Eukaryota; kingdom Metazoa; phylum Chordata; class Mammalia; order Primates; family Hominidae; genus Homo; species Homo sapiens. The sequence goes on along the minus strand of NC_000003.12, from coordinate 48,254,888 downwards.
AGAATCTACAAAAAGAAATAAAAAAAAAAAACCTTGGAACTAATAAGCAAACATAGAAAGGTTGCAGGATATAAGATCATCTGCTTTCCTATATGTCAACTGCTTTCCTATATACCAGCAATGAACAATTAGAATTTTAAATTTTACACACACACATACACACAGAGCACCAAAAAAATTAAATACTTAGGTTCAACTCTAACAAAACATGTACATAGTCTACATGTGAAAAACTACAAACAATGATGAAAGAAATCAAAGATGATCTAAACAAATGGTAAGACAGTCTATCTTCATGGATAGTTAGACTCAGTATTATGATATCAGCTCTTCCGATCTCAATGTATAGATTCAATGCAAACCCAGTCAAAAACTCAGCAAGCTATTTTGTACCTATCGAGAAACTGATTGTAGAGTTTACATGGAAAGACAAAAGACCTGGAATAGCTAACAAAATACTGAAGAATAAAGTTGAAGGATTCATATTACCCAATTCCAAGACTTATTATAAAGCTACATTTATCAAGACAGTGTGGTATGGGCAAAAACAAAGGCAAGTAGATCAGTGGAACAGAATAGAGTCCAGAAATGACCGACACAAACATCGACTGATTTTTTGTTTAGTTTTTTTTTTGAGACAGAGTTTCACTCGTTGCCCAGGCTGGAGTGCAATGGCACGATCTCAGCTCACCGCAACCTCCACTTCCTGGGTTCAAGCAATTCTCCTGCCTCAGCCTCCCAAGTAGCTGGGATTACAGGCATGAGCCACCACGCCCAGCTTGTTTTGTTTGTTTTTTAAGAGATAAGGTCTCGCTCTGTCACCCAGGCTGGAGTACAGTGGCATAATAATAGCTCAATGTAGCCTTAAACTCCTGAGCTCAAGTGATCCTCCCACGGCAGCCTCCCAAGTAGCTAGGATACAGGTACATGCCACCAATCCCAGCAAATTTCTTAATTTTTTATAGAGATGGGTTCTTGCTGTGTTGCTCAGACTAGTCTTGAACTCCTGGGCTCAAGCAATCCTCTCACTTGAGGAAAACATCAAACAAATCCCAAGTAAGGGACAATCTACAAAATATCTGACTAGCGCCGGGCACGGTGGCTCACGCCTGTAATCCCAGCACTTTGGGAGGCCGAGGTGGGTGGATCACGAGGTCAGGAGATCGAGACCATCCTGGCTAACACGGTGAAACCCCGTCTCTACTAAAAATACAAAAAAAAATTAGCCTAGCGTGGTGGCAGCCGCCTGTAGTCCCAGCTACTCGGGAGGCTGAGACAGGAGAATGGCGTGGACCCGGGAGGCAGAGCTTGCAGCGAGCCGAGATGGTGCCACTGCACTCCAGCCTGGGCGACAGAGCGAGACTCCGTCTCAAAAAAAAAAAAAAAAAAAGAAAAATATGACTAGTACTACCTTGGAGACGTGACAACTAAGTGTAACATGATAACCTGGATGGGATTTTGGGACAGAAAATGGTCATTAAAACTAAAGAAATCTGAATAAAGTTGGACTTTAGTTAATAACCACCATTATTATTGGTTCATTAATACTAACGGTGATGGCCGGGCATGGTGGCCCACACCTGTAGTCCAAGCACTTTGGGAAGCCAAGGCAGGTGGATCACTTGAGGTCAGAAATTTGGGACCAGCCTGGCCAACGTGGCAAAAGCCCATCTACTAAAAATACAAAAAATAGCTATGTGTAGTGGTGCACGCCTGTAATCCCAGCTACTCAGGAGGCTGAGGCAAGAGAATCACTTGAACCTAGGAAGTAGAGGCTGCAGTGAGCTGAGATTGCACCACTGCACTCCAGCCTGGGAAACAGAGGGATCTTCTGTCTCAAAAAATAAAAATAAAAAACGCCCAGATTATTAAGATAAAGATCTACATAAATGAGGAAAAAATTGTCTAAATAAATGGAGAGATACTGCGCTGATGGACCAGAAAACTCAATAATGTTAAGATATTATTCTCATGGCTGGGCGCAGTGGCTCACGCCTGTAATCCCAGCACTCTGGGAGGCGTGTGGATCACGAGGTCAGGAGATTGAGACCATCCTGGATAACATGGTGAAACCCCGTCTCCACTAAAAATATAAAAAATTAGCCGGGCAAGGTGGCAGTGGCCTGTAGTCCCAGCTACTTGGGAGGCTGAGGCAAGAGAATGGCGTGAACCCCAGGGGGCGGAGCCTGCAGTGAGCCGAGATCCTGCCACTGCACTCCAGCCTGGGCGACAGCGAGACTCCGTTTCAAAAAAAAAAAAAAAAAAAAAAAAGATATTATTCTCCCCCAAACTAATATAAAAATTCAAAGCAATTCAATCAAAATCCCATTGTACAAATTGATAAGACTTTCAATTTCAAATTGATAGATTTCAATATTTATATAAAAATGCAAAAGACAGCTGGGCATGGTGGCTCATGCCTGTAATCCCAGCACTTTGGGAGGCCGAGGCGGGTGGATCACAAGGTCAGGAGATCGAGACCATCCTGGCTAACACGGTGAAACCCCATCTCTACTAAAAATACAAAAAATTAGCCGTGCATGGCAGCCTGTGCCTGTAGTTCCAGCTACTAGGGAGGCTGAGGCAGGAGAATCGCTTGAACCCAGGAGGTGGAGGTTGCAGTGAGCCAAGATTATGCCACTGCACTTTAGCCTGGGAGACAGAGCGAGAATCTGTCTCAAAAAAAAAATAATAATAATAATAAAATTTAAGGACTTACACTACCTGATTTTAAGACTCACCATAAAGCTACTACATTAGTGAGGAGCACAATACAAATGTGAGAAGAGTTCAATGGAGCAGAACAGAGCACCGAGAAAACAGACCCACAATTGATTTTTCTTTTTTTTTGAGACAGGGTCTCACTCCATCACCCAGGCTGGAGTGCAGTGGTGTGAACATGGCTCACTGCAGCCTCAACCTCCCAGGCTCAAGAGATCCTCCTACCTCAGCCTCCCACATAGCTGGGACTACAGGTGAGTAACTCCAGCTAATTTTTTTGTACTTTTCGTAAAGATGAGGTTTCGCCACGTTGCCCAGGCTGGTCTCGAACTCCTGGGCTCAAGCGATCCACCTGCCTTGACCTCCCAGAGTGCTAGGATTACAGGTATGAGCCACTGTGCCTGGCCCCACAATTGATTTTTAACAAAAGTATCAAAGGAATTCAATGAAGGAAGGAAAGTCTTTTCAAAAAAACAGTGTTGGAAGAACTGAACGCCCAAATTTAAAAATAAAGAACGCCAATCCCTATCTCATACCACACCAAAAAAAAACTAAAAATCACCGCAACTTAAAGGTGATCTTAAATTAAACAGTTTCTTTTTTTTTTTGAGATGGAGTTTCACTCTGTTGCCCAGGCTGGAGTACATTGGTGCAATCTCAGCTCACTGCAACCTCTGCCTCCCAGGTTCAAGTGATTCTCCTGCCTCAGCCTCCCAAGTAGCTGGGATTACAGGTACGCATCGCCACGCCCAGCTAATTTTTTTTTTTTTTGAGATGGAGTCTTGCTCTGTCACCCAGGCTAGAGTGCAGTGGTGTGATCTCAGCTCACTGCAACCTCCGCCTCCCAGGTTCAAGTGATTCTCCTGTCTCAGCCTCCCGAGTAGCTGGAACTACAGTTGCGTGCTGAGATTTTCCAGCATCACTTCTTTGTATAGGTTCCTCTGCTCAAGGCTCAGTCTCTTCCACTCTGCCTCAATGAAAAGCACAGCCACATCCTCAAAAGTCACTGGTCCCTAAATCAACCGATAAATTCATATTCATCAAGTCACCATTAAGATTCACAGGGAGAATGGAACTGGTGGTCTTGGAGAATCTAGCTACATAAGAAATTGATCTAGGCCGGGCACGGTGGCTCACACCTGCAATCCCAGCACTTTGGGAGGCCGAGGTGGGAGGTTACCTTGAGGTCAGGAACTTGAGACCAGCCTGGCCAACATGGTGAAACCCCGTCTCCACTAAAAACACAAAAATTTCATATTTAAAAAACCATTTTATAGTTTTAACAAACATCATCAAAATTTTAAAACTCTTGCTCATCAAAAGACGTTAAGAAAACGAATAGGCAGGCTCTAGGCTAGAACAAAATATTCACAAAACAAATATAAGACAAAAGACGGGGCAGGTGTGGTGGCTCACGCCTGTAATCCCAGCACTTCGGGAGGCCGAGGAGGGCGGATCACCTGAGGTCAGGAGTTCGAGACCAGCCTGGCCAACACGATGAAACCAAGTCTCTAATAAAAATACAAAAATTAGCCAGGCGTGGTGTCGCATGCTTGTAATCCCAGCTTCTCAGGAGGCTGAAGCAGGAGAATCACTTGAACCCAGGAGACGGAGATTGCAGTGAGCCAAGATCGTATCACTGTACTCCAGCGTGGGCAACAGAGGGAGATTCTGTCTCAAAAAAAAAAAAAGTTGTTCTCAAAGAAGCAGAGAGTAGGCCAAGTGCAATGGATCACACATGTAATCCCAGCACTTTGAGAGTCCAAGAGGGGAGGACTGCTTGAGTCCAGGAGTTTGAGACCAGCCTGGGCAACATAGTGAGACCCGTCTCTATTTAATTAAAAAAAAAAAAAAAAAAAAAGAAAGTAGAGAGTAAAATAGTAGTTACCAGAGGTTGGAGAGGAGAGGGGAGAGGAAAGCAGGAGAGAGATTCGTCAACAGATACAGAACCACATTATACAGGATGAATAAGTTCTGGCATTCTATTGCAAAGTAGGAAGCTTAGAGTTAACAATAATAAATTGTATTTTTTTTTTTTTTGAAATGGAGTCTTGCTCTGTCACCTGGGCTGGAGTGCAGTGGCTCGATCTCGGCTCACTGCAACCTCCACCTCCCAAGCTCAAGTAATTCTCCTGCCTCAGCCTCCTGAGTAACTGGGATTATAGGCACCCGCCACCACACACAGCTAATTTTTGTATTTTTAGTAGTGATGGGTTTTCACCATGTTGGCCAGGTTGGTCTCGAACTACTGACCTCAGGTGATTCGCCCATCTTGGCCTCCCAAAGTGCTGGCATTACAGGTATGAGCCACTGTTCCCAGCCAGAATTGTATATTTCAAAATAGCTAGAAAAGAGGCTTTTGGATGTTCTCATCACAAAGAAACGATAAATGTTTAAGGTGATGGATATGCTAATTACCCCGATTTGATCATTACGCAAGGTATACATGTGTGAAAACATCACATTGTACCCCATAAAAAGGTACAAACATTATATGTCAATCATAAATTGTTTTAAATGTGTCAAAACTTTGAACAGACACATCAAAAAAAGGAAGCTATGTGAATGCCTAACGAATAGCTATAGAAGTGCTGAACTCAAAAGGTAAACTCAAAATTTGTGCATTTCACTGTATGTACATTTTACCTCAGAAAAAAATCAGAAACGATATTGAATTCTACTTAATAATATGCATGCTGAAGTATTCAGAGGTGAAATGTATTGAGATCTGCAACTTACTCTGAAGCGCATGAAAACATAAGATGGGCCGGGCGCAGTGGCTCATGCCTATAATCCCAGCACTGTGGGAGGCCGAGGCAGGCAGATCACCTGAGGTCAGGAGTTCGAGACCAGCCTGGCTAACATGGTGAAACCCTGTTTCTACTAAAAATACAAAAATTAGCTGTGTGTGGTGGTGCGTGCCTGTAATCCCAGCTACTCAGGAGGCTGAGGCAGGAGAATCGCTTGAATCCAGGAGGCGGAGGTTGCAGTGAGCCGAGATCATGCCATTGCACTCCAGCCTGGGCGACAAGAGCGAAACTCTGTCTCAAAAAAAAAAAAGAAAAAAAAAGGTTGGGGCAGAGAAGGGAATACGGGAAAATAAAGGATAAAGGCAGCTGCTTCCCTGATAATGAAGTAATTTGCTCCCAAGTCACCCTCATCTGTATCAATCAAGCTTGGCCCCTATGGCCTGGAAGCTGCCCTAGAGACTGGTACAAAACCTCCTGAGAAGAATGGTGTGCCTACTATGTCTCCTATACTCTATCCCTTCATGAAGCTACGCGAATTTAATGCAGGGTTAAAGTACATTGCATACCATGAATTTGATTATCAATCCAAACCTAAGACCATTCTTTGTGGCTGTGCATTGTTTTAACAGCTACAGGCTAACACTTAGTCTTTCCCTGTACTATTTTACAGTTTTAGCTGTCTTCATCATAATTATTACCAGTGTCATTATTTCCTGTCTCTATGCATCATTTCCTAAAGAATCTTGGATCTTTGAGAATAAGGACAGTGAATTTAACAACTCTATTTGGCTAGCTCCCAGAATCTCACACAGTCCTGTGCCCAGAAACCAATAAATTAAATTTCTGGTATAGCAAAGATCACAGGGGTTGGGGGAGAGGGATATGCAACATCAGAACAAGGGGGTGAACTCTATGAGGCTCTTCATCCAAAACATAACCCCATTTCGTAGAGTTGGAAAGTGTGTTCTTTTATCATTGGGTAGTTTTCTAGGAGAAAAAAACAGTCAAGAAGGCATCACAGAAAATTCATGGTTTGAGATCAGAGAAATCTGGATTTAATTCCTGACTCTACCATTTGGCCATCCACGTGTCCCTGTGCATAAATCACGTAATCCCTCTAAGCCAGATGATCTCATCTCGAAAATGGGGATGTCACCACCCATCTCCTACAGCTGTTAATGATTTAAACACAGGACTGAAATATTTATGGATTAAATGGTATGATGCCTTGGATTTTCTTTAATCCAGTGGGAATGGAGATGAAATAAAATTGGCCATGAGTTGATAACTGCTGAAGTGGGATGATGGATACAGAAGAGTTAACTCTTTTTCTACTTTTGCATCTTTGTTTTCTAAAACAAAATGTGAAAAAGAGGTCCAATGTACAAGATCAGACTATTAGATACTATTAAAGTGTTATAACTATTTGTGCAAATGTTGATGTAGGGAACTTTAATAGTGCATTTTAGGATCTTAATAACCCAAGGTTTTTATAAAAAGTTACCATTATATTTTAGAATACTCTGAATTAAAATTAAACTTGGTCATGTTTTTGTATAAGCTCAAAAAATAGAAAGACTAAGTGCAAAAACCATTATAATAAGCCTAGAACAATGGCTAACACAAGGCATAAACCACTTAAATGTTAATCACTTCCTCCCTTCCCAAGAAAGACAGATGAGCCCATTCTCTGAGAAATGAGCCAGCATTTCAGAAAAGAGAAGGGCGGGCCCAACTCACCAGATATCTAGGCTTCTCTTCCCAGGGCCAGGCAGAATCCTTGGCAGGCAGAGCTGGGGAAAGAAAGAAGCAACCTTGAGAAGCCAGCCCTACCAGGCCCATCATGAGGATCCCCAAGAGCCCTCTGAGCCTTGGCTGTGGCCACCTGAGCCTTCTCAGCTGACCCAGACCCTGAGCTCCTCTCACCTCCTGCCTTATGCTTGAGTCAACTTCTCTATGCTCTGCACCACTTCCCTATTACATTTTTACAGAAACACTGATCTTAATTAAATGTAGTAAGGTAAACTCTAAGCACTCATCATCTTTCTACCCTAAAAATTAGCAAAACTGTTGAGACAAGGCATCATTTCCCCCCATGTGTTATGTGACTCTAGTTACATGTTTTTTTTTAATTTATGAAAATGGACCGAGCACAGTGGCACACGCCTATAATACCAGAACTTTGGGAGGCCGAGGCAGGCAGATGACTTGAGGTCAGGAGTTTGAGGCCAGTCTGACCAACATGACAAAGAAACCCCAACTCCACTAAAAATAAAAAAATTAGCCAGGCATGGTAGTGCACGCCTATAATCCCAGCTACTCAGGAGGCTGTGGCAGGAGAATCGCTTGAACCCAGGGGGCGAAGGTTGCAGTGAGCAGAGATCACGCCACTGCACTCCAGCTTGGGCAACAGCAAAACTCCATCTCGAAAATAGTTTATGAAAATGTTAGGCCAGGCGCGGTGGCTCACGCCTGTAATCCTAGCACTTTGGGAGGCCGAGGCAGGCCGATCACAAGGTCAGGAGATCGAGACCATCCTGACTAACACAGTGAAACCCCATCTCTACTGAAAATACAAAAAATTAGCTGGGTGTGGTGGCGGGCACCTGTAGTCCCAGCTACTCAGGAGGCTGAGGCAGGAGAATGGCATGAACCCGGGAGGCAGAGCTTGCAGTGTGCCGAGATCGCACCACTGCACTCCGGCCTGGGCGACAGAGCGAGACTCCGTCTCAAGAAAAAAAAAAGAAAATGTTAAACACAGAAACAGAAGTCTGTGATTTAATGAAAATATTTTTTAAAAATGTGTCAGGCCGGTTTCAGTGGCTCACGCCTGTAATCCTAACACTTTGGGAGGCTGAGGTGGGAGGATCACTTGAATCCACGGCTTCAAGACCAGCCTGGGTGACAATGAGACCCACATCTCTAATAATAAAAATAATAATTATTATATTGTTTTAAAAACTTGTCAATGTTATTCCTTATTTTACAAAAGAGCATGAGTAAAAGGAGAAAAAAGTATTAAAGACCATTACAACAGCATTTCTAAAGCGCAGCTTGTCAGACTCTCATTCCTCTTCAAATTATTGTGGAACTGATTGATTGATTGATTGATTGAGATAGGGTCTCACTATTGCCCAGGCTGGAATGCAGTGGCACAATCTCTGCTCATTACAACCTCCACCTCCTGGGCTCAAGTGATCCTCCCACCTCAACTTCCCTGGGATTACAGGCATGCACCACCATGCCCAGCTAATTTTTGTATTTTTTGTAGAGATGGGGGTTTCACCATGCTGGCTAGGCTGGTCTCGAACTCCCGACCTTAAGTGATCTGCCCACATTGGCCTCTCAAAGTGCTGGGATTATAGGCATGACCCACGACGCCTGGCCTATTGTGGAATTTTAAAAGGTAAGATTTTAACATCTCTGGAGGGAAGCTCAAGCTTTCCCTGCCATATCTGTTTTTTTTTTTTTGAGACAGAGTCTCACTCTGTCACCCAGGCTGAAGGTCAATGGCACGATCTCAGCTCACTGCAACCTCCGCCTCCTGGGTTCAAGCAATTCTCCTGCATCAGCCTCCCAAGTAGCTGGGATTACAGGCACCTGCCACCATGCCTGGCTAATTTTCGTATTTTTGGTAGAGACAGGGTTTCACCATGTTGGCCAGGCTGGTCTCGAACTCCTGACCTCAGGTGATCTGCCTGCCTCGGCCTCCCAAATGCTGGGATTACAGGCGTGAGCCACCGCGCCCAGCCTTCTCTTCCATATCTTTGCTGAGGGGAAAGAAGAATGTTTTTCTGATCCTTGGGTGTCACTGATTCTGAAAGTTCAGAAAAGGAACTGGGATGTCATATTTCTAACCTGTGACCTGTGCCTTTGTAGAAGGGACAGAGTCTGGGGAAGGGAGTGCCTCTCAGGGGGACGAGGGTCTTAGCAGCAGTCTGAAGCTTCCTCCTTGACACCCTTTATTCCAGGCATATGTGTTTATAAGATACATAGAAGCTGGCCAGGCTCTGCACGGTGCCTCATGCCTGTAATCCCAGCACGTTAGGTGGCCGAGGTGGGCTGATTGCTTGAGCCCAGAAGTTCAAGATCAACCTGGGCAATGGTGAACCCCATCTCTACAAAAAATAAAAAAATTAGCCGGGCGTGGTGGTGTACACCTGTAGCCCCAGCTACTTGGGAGGCTGAAGTGGCAGGATCATTTGAGCCCCAGAGGCAAAGGTTGCAATGAAGTGAGAGATCACACCATTATACTCCAGCCTCAGTGACAGAGCCGGGGAAACCCTGTCTCTGAAAAGATACATATAAGCTTATAATGGCTGGGCGTGGCTCAAGCCCATAATCCCAGCACTTCGGGAGGCCAAGGTGGGCGGTAAGTAGTTCGAGACCAGCCTGGCCAACATGGTGAAACCCCATCTCTACCAAAAACGCAAAAATTAGCCAGGTGTGGTGGCGCATGCCTGTAATCCCAGCTTCTCGGGAGGCTGAGGCAGGAGAATCACTTGAACCCGGGAGGCGGAGGTTCCAGTGGGCTGAGATGGTGCCACTGCACTCCAGCCTGGGCAACAAGAGTAAAAAACTCCATCTCAAAGAAAAAAAAAAAAAAAGCTTATAATTCGTCCCATCTATTTTTGAGCTCCCCAGAGTAATAGTGCAGTTACTGTGGGGAATTAGGCTAAGGGTAGCCTTGTCCTTGGGTTTGCAAGAAAAAAAAAAAGGCCCTAAATGTGATAATGACATCACCCCTGCTGAAATCATCACCCCTGGAAAACACTCTAAACAGACCCCAGCAACAACTCTGGCTTTTGTACTAAGTGATGAGAATGTGTCAAGTGATTTCATAAAGACATATATACAATTTCTCCTCTTGCATGCCCTAGAAAACCATCATCCTGGCCCCATAATATGTGCCTATACTATGTATCTATCCAGAACTGCACATTTTTGTGTAAATGGAGCAGCATTTTAAAATTAAAAATATATATATAAAATTATAGTCTTGTTTGATAACTGTCTGGGGTAATTTTCCAAGTTACTGTTTTCCTGACTAAACTCAGGAGGAAAACAAAGCAATCTTACTATTTCAAGTTCTAAAGTTTTAGAAGAAGAAAAACTGAGTACCATTATTTGGCCACTCCCAGTGGCTACATCTGAGCAAAGCACAAGGCAAGGAGGCAGCTCCTCAGTCTTTTCAGCAAAAAAGACCATCTAAGCCTCTCCCTTCCAGAGGGACAGGTGGTTCTGATCCCACTGAGCAGGTGGGAAAAAAATGAGGGACACAGAGTAACCTCACACAGCTGAACTAAGGGATCCTACCTCCTGAGTCCTGACTCTGCCCTGACTCCTTAGGTGCCTCTCCCCAGCATGAGACCACTCACAGGCAAATCCTTCAGAGAGGCAAATAAGTCCTCCAAAAAGGGAACAGGTGCTGAATCACAGGCACACTCCAGGACCTCACGATGTGCCTCCGCCCATGTTGGACACATCTGGGAAGCACTTAAGCAAGTCAAAGAACCTTTCTAGCTCTGTGACCACAAAACATCTTCTTTGCCACTCATGACAAGAGGGAAAAGTTATTATCCTTCTAAAGTTCAACTTAGTGTTACTGCCTTTTTTTTTTTTTTTGAGACAGACTTTCACTCTTGGTGCCCAGGCTAGAATACAGTGGCGCGATCTAAGCTCACTGCAACCTCCACCTCCTGCCTCAGCCTTCTGAGTAGCTGGGATTACAAGCGCGCACCACCAAGCCCAGCTATTTTTGTATTTTTAGTAGAGATAGAGGTTCACTATGTTGGCCAGGCTGGTCTCGAACTCCTGACCTCAGGTGATCTACCCGCCTCAGCCTCCCAAAGTGCTGTGATTACAAACGTGAGTCACCGCGCCCGGTCCATTGTCTTTACTTTCTTTAGCTTTGCTATCCAATTGAACTGGTCTTGGCACAGTAGGCAGAGACAAAGCCCACCACCCTCAAAGAGTGGATGGAAGGAGGCACAAGGGCTCCCACACAGGACAAACAGCTACATGCTGAACAATGGCTTGGCAAACTACACACAAGCCAAATCCAGCCTGCCACCTGTTGTTATACCACCCAAAGGCTAAGAATAGTCTTTACTTCAGAAAAAAAAAATTTTAACACAAAGATGAAGTCTCACTATGTTGCCCAGGCTGGTCTCAAACTTCTGGGCTCAAGTGATCCTAGCCTCAGCCTTCCAAAGTGCTGGGATTACAGGCGTGAGCCACCATGCTGGGCCAGTTTTTACATTTTTAATTGGCTGAAAAAAAAATCAGAAACAGAATATTTCATAATAATGAAAATTATATATGAAATTCAAATTTCCTTTTTTTTTTTTAGAGTCTCATTCTGTTACCCAAGCTGGAGTGCAGTCATGCGATCTCGGCTCACTGAAACCTCTGCCTCCAAGGTTCAAGCAATTCTTGCGCCTCAGCCTCAGAGTAGCTGGGATTACAGGTGTACGGCACCACACCCAGCTTATTTTATTTTATTTTATTTTTAAAGTAGAGATGGGGTGTTGCCATGTTGACCAGGCTGGTCTTGAACTCCTGGGCTCAAGAGATCCTCCTGCCTTGGCCTCCCAAAGTGCTGGGATTACAGGCGTGAGCCACTGCACTCAGCCAAAATTCAAATTTCAATGTCTATAAAGAAAGTTTTATTGGAACACGGCAATGCTCATTCGTTTACCTATGGTCTTTGGCTGCTTTCACACAACAGCAGACCACTAGTCGTAACAAAGACCGTGTGGCCTACAAAGCCTGAAACATTTACCACCTGGCCCTTAAAAGAAAACGTTTGCAAGACCAGGTGCAGTGGCTCACGCCTATAATCCTAGCACTTTGGGAGACCGAGGCGGGAGGATCCCTTGAGCCCAGGAGTTGGAGACCAGCCTGGGCAACATAGGGAGACCCTGTTTCTAAAAAAACCAAACAGAAAAAAATTTGCCCAGCCCTGTTCTAGACTGTTCCTGTTGTTACATCCAAAGTCATTTGGGGCCGGGTGTGGTAGCTCCCACCTGTAATCCCAACACTTTGGGAGGCCGAGGCAGGTGGATCATCTGGGGTCAGGAGTTCAAGACCGGCCTGGCCAACATGATGAAACCCCGCCTCTACTAAAAATACAAAAAAATAGCCGGGCGTGGTGGCGTGTCCCTGTAATTCCAGCCGCTTGGTAGGCTGAGGCAGGAGAATCGCTGGAACCTGGGAGAAAGAGGTTGCAGTGAGCAGAGATCGCCCACTGCACTCCAGCCTGGGCTACAGAGCAAGACTCTGTCTCCAAAAAAAAAGTCTTTTGGGCCGGGTGGGGTGGCTAACACCTGTAATCCCAACATTGTGGGAGGCCAAGGTGGGTGGATTGCTTGAGGCCAGGAGTTCGAGACCAGCCTGGCAAATATGGCGAAATCCCCTCTCTACTAAAAATACAACAGCCGGGGTGGTGAGGCGCCGCCTGTAATCCCAGCTACTCCGGAAGCTGAGGCACGAGAATCACTTGAGCCTGGGAAAGCGGAGGCTGCAGTGAGCCTAGATCCCGCCACTGCACTCCGGACCGACTCAAAAAATATAAAAATATAATATACTCCGGGCGCGGTGGCTCACGCCTGTAATCCCAGCACTTTGGGAGGCCGAGGTGGGCGGATCACGAGGTCTGGAGTTCAAAACCAGCCTGGCCAACATGGTGAAATCCCCGTCTCTACTAAAAATACAAAAATTAGCCAGGCGTGGTGGAGGGCGCCTGTAATCCCAGCTGCTCGGCAGGCTGAGGCAGAGAACTGCTTGAACCCGGGAGACGGAGATTGCAGTGAACGGAGATCGCGCCACTGCACTCCAGCCTGGGCGACAGAGCGAGACTCCGTCTCAAAATAAATATGATATAATATAATAATACAAAATGCTGTTCTTCAGTTGCACTCCACACATCTCAAATGCTCAGCAGCCATTTATGGCCAATGACTGCCGGAGTGCACAAGTGCAGGATGCCCGGTGAAGAGTCGTGGAGTGAGCACCGTGGAGACTGTACGGGACACCTAGGGAGGAACCTGGCCCCCCAGGGGAGTAAGAGCCGCTGTAGGGGTAGTCAGCGCCTCACACAGCTCGCACCCCACGCGCATCCCTGGTGGATACGGCCGACGCCTGCGCGGCGCCTGCGGCTGGAGCACCGAATGGGGGAGGCGATCTCGCGGCCCCGACTCACCTTCCGCAGTCCAGCCCAGTAGCTGCTCCCGCGGGGCCCACATCTGCGCGCGCACGCACGCACGAAGCAAACGAGGTAGCAGCACCGTGTGTGAAACGGATTAGAATGCGCACCGCGGGCCACTGGCGGCGCCAGAAGAAAGAAGCAGGACTGGGTGAAGTGCGTCACCGCGCGGCGCGCAGCCTGCCGGGAAGCGTAGTTCTCGGGGCGAAATGCGGCTTGTGCAGGGCGAGAGAAAATGCTGAGGCGCACTTTGACCTTCTAGGTCCCCCTCGGCCGCAATATTTGGGGTTGTGCTTACCACAGGTACCCATAAGCAAAATATAGTGTTGTTTTCCATGGTTGTAAACATTATATAAATACACTTACAATGCCTGCTACTAGCTCTTTTGCGCAGTTCTATAATGACACGTGTTGACCTGTTCATTGTGTGTTCACTGCTGTGTGGTATCTAATGTAGAAATACACCAGGACTCCAATTGGACAGACTCATGCGCATCCATGGAGAGCTTCTCAAGGACAGTGGTTCGCAAACTTGTTGTTGTTAAAATCCTTTTACACTCTTAAAAATTACTGAGGACCCCAAAGAGCTTTTGAAACCGCCTTTGCAAAATTATACCTAAGGAAATTATGATGTTATAGGAGTTATTAAGAAATTATTTTAAGCAGATAGAGAAGGAAAGGGGTCCTTGGGAAGTTTTTGTTTCTTTTAAAGCAGCTCCAGAAAGGTTTCTTGTCTAGCAGGAAAGCCTGGGCTCCTAGAGCAGGATGGCAAGCTTTGATATGGAAATACAGGCCATTAGAAACTGGACGCACCCAAACATGGCGATTCCCGCCGTCCTTTTCTTTGCCCTGACATGTGCCTGGCAACATGGCCACCCCCCACATATTCCCACGTGTGTAGAACTTCATGGAGCCCTACATTTGCATATTAAAAAGCTAGGGTGGGAGGGCCAGGTTTTTGGCTGCCACATAAATGACACATCTGATCAAACTAATCCCCTGAGCCCTATGGAAACCAGACACCGCCTCCTCCAGCATCCTCAGATAAGCAGCCACTTTTCCGCACACGGCGCTTTCTCTTTGTTGGAATCCCCGCTCCCTCTGTCTCTGTATGGGGGAGCTGTTTTCGTCTTCCTTCCTTCTTTCTTGCCTATTAAACTTTTCGCTCCTTAAAACCACTCCACGTGTGTCTGTGTTATTAAGCCTATCAGAGACCAAGGACCCTGGTGTTCCTCCAGTCATCAGAGCCTTATCAATGACAGTAAAAGATATCAGATCTAACCCACCTCATCTTCCTTTCAACCTCTAAACTGTCTTTGTCCACTTCTGGGCATAGGCCAAAGTAGCCTTGGGAAGGAATTCAGTTTATAGCTTAAATAATAGCCCTTCCCAAGGGCTAAACTGTTCTTGTAAAATGAATGAAAGGCCACCAGCCACCAAATTAGGATGAGAAGGGCTGGAATTCTAAATATTACCAGCCATTATTCCAGAGGCCCTAAGACGCACAACTTCCCCAATTACTCTTTTGAAGCACAACTTCCCCAATTACTCTTTTTTTTTTTTTAGGGAAAAGAACACGGAGTCTCACTCTGTCTACCATGCTGGAGTGCAGTGGTGCCATCTCGGCTCACTGCAACCTCCCTCTCCTGGGTTCAAGCGATTCTCCTGCCTCAACCTCCTGAGTAGCCGGGATTACAAGCACGCACCACCATACCCCGCTAATATTTTTGGATTCTTTTTTTTTTTGGTTGGTTTTTTTTTTTTTTTTTTTTTTTTTTTTGAGACGGAGTCTCGCTCTGTCGCCCAGGCCGGACTGCGGACTGCAGTGGCGCAATCTCGGCTCACTGCAAGCTCCGCTTCCCGGGTTCACGCCATTCTCCTGCCTCAGCCTCCCCAGTAGCTGGGACTACAGGCGCCCGCCACCGCGCCCGGCTAATTTTTTGTATTTTTAGTAGAGACGGGGTTTCACCTTGTTAGCCAGGATGGTCTCGATCTCCTGACCTCATGATCCACCCGCCTCGGCCTCCCAAAGTGCTGGGATTACAGGCGTGAGCCACCGCGCCCGGCCAAGGTTGGTTTTTTTTTTTTTTTTTTTTTGAGCCCAGGCTGGAGTGCAATGGTGCGATCTCGGCTCACTGCAACCTCCTCCTCCCGAGTTCAAGCAATTATCCTGCCTCGGCCTCCGGAGTAACTGGAATTACAGGCATGCGCCACCACGCCCGGCTAATTTTGTATTTTTAGTAAGGACGGGGTTTCTCCATGTTGGTCAGGCTGGTCTCAAACTCCTGACCTAGGTGAGCCGCCCACCTTGGCCTCCCAAAGTGGTAGGATTCCAGGCGTGAGCCACCACGCCCAGCCCTCAATTACTCTTAAAGATAACATCACTATTGTGAACCTAAGATTGGCCTTTTGAGATGTCTTTTCAGATTTTTGCATTTCTGACAACTGAACGGCCCCAGCTGGACCTGCCAACCAGTTTTGTGGCCACCACCTAGGAACTGACTCAGCCTAAGAGAACAGCTTCAACTCCTTATGATTTCATCCCGAGCCAACCAATCAGCACCCTGATTCACTGGCCCCCTTCCCACCAAATTATCCTTAAAAATTTTGATCTCTGAGTTTTTGAGGAAACTGATTTGAGTAATAATAAAACTCTGGTCTTCCGCACAGCCGGCTCTGCATGAATTACTCTTTTTTTTTTTTTTTTTTTTGAGACGGAGTCTTGCTCTGTCGCCCAGGCTGGAGTGCAGTGGCACCATCTCAGCTCACTGCAAGCTCCGCTTCCCGGGTTCATGCCATTCTCCTGCCTCAGCCTCCCCATTAGCTGGGACTACAGGCGTCCGCCAACACGCCCGGCTAATTTTTTGTATTTTTAGTAGAGACGGGGTCTCACTGTGTTAGCCAGGATGGTCTCGATCTCATGACCTCGTGATCGGCCTGCCTCGGCCTCCCAAAGTGCTGGGATTACAGGCGTGAGCCACCGCGCCCAGCCGAATTACTCTTTTTCTATTGCAATTTTGCTGTCTTTGATAAACTGGCTCTGTCTAGGCAGCAGGGAAGGTGGACCCATTGGATGGTTATACTTTTGTTTGTGTGAGCTAAATTCATCACTATTTACCAAACTAGATATTTCAATGCAGAAATTTCATATATGTATATATTCATTTTAAAAACAATAATAAACCCATTACTTGTTAACATATTTTTATGAAAATATGATTTCCTTTAAAAAATTTAGTAACAAAAGAGGCATTATTTTACAGTTTTGCAAATTAATACTCAATAGAAGAAGCTAACAGAGTGCAGTGGCTCACGCCTGTAATCCCAGCATTTTGGGAGGCCGAGGCAAGTGGATCACCTGAGGTCCGGGGTTTGAGACCAGCCTGGCCAACATGGTGAAACACCGTCTCTACTAAAAATACAAAAAAATTAGCTGGGCATGGTGGTGTGTGCCTGTAATCCCAGCCACTCGGAAGGCTGAGGCAGGAGAATCGCTTGAATGAGGCGGAGGTTGCAGTGAGCCAAGATTGCACCATTGCACGTCAGCCTGGGCAACAAGAGCTAAAACTCCACCAAAATAAATAAATAAATAAATAAATAAGCTGAATTTTCCATCTGCTTCTGCATCCAATCTGTTGTAATAGCTGTTAAGCTGTTGTAATAGCAGGAGGACCAAGCAAACTCCTGACAGAACTGATGGGTTAAGTAACAGTGAACCTTTCTTCAATTTTAACATTTTATTACACATATAGACAGCAAAAGGAAAAGTGCCAAAGGTGTCAGCTCCTTGCGGCCTTTATACTAAGTGACACCAAAACAAAAGGGACCAGATGACTACATCACGAATAATAGGACAGCCTGTTGCTGAGGAGCCAATTCTAGACTGCAATTGAGCAATTTTATAGCCTACAGCTGTACCCTGGGGAGCCAGCGCAGAAAGCCACATACTTAATCAAAACCCTCATAAGGAGGCTGGGCGCTCTGGCTCGTGCCTGTAATCCCAGCACTTTGGGAGGCGGAGGTGGGCAGATCACCTGAGGTCGGGAGGTCGAGACCAGCTTGACCAACATGGTGAAACCCCGTCTCTACTAAAAATACAAAAATTAGCCAGGCATGGTGGCACGTGACTGTAATCCTAGCTACTCAGGAGGCTGAGGCAGGAGAATCGCTTGAACTAGGGAGGCGGAGGTTGCAGTGAACTCCACTGCACTCCAGCCTAGGCGACAGTGAGACTTATGTCTCAAAAAAACAAACAAACAAACAAACAAACAAACAAAAACTCTCATAAGGGAGACAGGGAGATAAACGGAAGATGGCATTAGAGAGGATCCTCACAAGCCTCCCAGGAGTTTGTGTTCCAGGAGGATTACAAGGTGTTCTGCCAAGACTCAGATTCACTGCAGTTAAAGTCTTGCCTGAGAGGCTGCATGGTTATGTGCAAGGTCACAGGATAGAGCCCTTCCCCTCTTCCCCTACTGAAGTGGCCTTGTTGTCTGGGGTGACATCTGAGGTCCTTGGTCTCATAGTCACAGGGATCAAGGACATGTGACACACACAGAGGGTGAGGTTTAGAGCAGAACTGTAATAGGCAAAAGAAAGAATAACTCTCTGCTACAGAGATGGGTCCTGGAAAAATAGGCTGCTGATGAGCAGTGAAATGCTAGGGTTTTTATAGATGAGTTGGTGGGGAGGTGGTATCTGATCTGCATAGGGCGCAAAAACTGGTTAGGACCAGGTGTACCATCTGCATACAATGTGAATCTCTGGCAGCCTCCACCCCAATCTTTTATTATGCAGGTGGGTCCTCTGCCTAAGCAGAGAGCTACTCCTTGTTGCTTATTTCTTTCTCACTGTGCACATGCTAACAAAAAAGAGAAAGTGGAGCCCCCATGCTAGACATGCCTGGCCCCAGGTAGCCATTTCTATCAGTGCAGCTGCCAGCATCCCCCCGTGCAAGCTTCCAGCTTCCTTATCTATGTTTGCAGCCCAATCTTTCAGGCTGTGCTTTGTTAGAAAAGAAGTTATTTCTTGGGCTGCTTTTTGTTAGAAAGGGAAGTTCTGCCGAGGACTCTTTTGCCCTCACTATCTGCCTAAAATAATGTAGGCCTCAAATGACCTCAAATGATCTGCCCGCCTGGGCCTCCCAAAGTGCTGGGATTACAGGCGTGAGCCACCACGCCCAGCCAGAGTTTTAAACTAGCTTGTGTTTCACAGACAAGTATAGGCCTGACATTCACACATAAAGTAGTAGCAGTCTCAGCAGCAGCATTTTGCTGAAGTGGGATCAGGGTCCAATAATCATTTAAACTTAGGACATTGGGCAATTGCTATAGTCTATGGAAAATCTATAAAAGAGTTCAACAATTATAGATTGAGGCTTAAGAAAATTATATCAGTGCCTAGAAAGTTAATCTTGTTCTGTCATCTCTAGTGGAGGCTGTTCACTCTTGCAGTCAGCAGTTGTCAGAAGATTTCTAAGAGTCCTTAGATTAAGAATCTTTTTTTTTACTTTTTTTTTTGTCTTAGTCCATTTAATGTTGCTATAAATAGATAAGAATCTTTGGCCAGGCACGGTGGCTCACGCCTGTAATCCCAGCACTTTGGGAGGCCAAGACGGGTGGATCACCTGAGGTCAGGAGTTCGAGACCAGCCTGGCCAACATGGTGAAACCTTGTCTCTACAAAAATACAAAAATTACCCGGACGTGGTGGCAGGTGCCTGTAATCCCAGCTACTTAGGAGGCTGTGGCAGAAGAATCGCTTGAACCCAGGAGAAAGAGGTTGCAGTGAGCCAAGATCAAGCCACTGCACTCTAGCCTGGGCGACAAGAGCAAAATTCCATCTCAAAAAAAAAATCTTTATTGGTCATCAAATATTAATCCTGACCCAGCAAGAGCTCAATGACTGCACATACCCTTACCTCAAAAAGCCAGCAAGAAGTCAGGCAATGCAACTTTTTATCACCACTACGGAGAGTTTTTTGTTTTTTTTTTTTTTTTTTTTTTGAGACAGAGTCTCGCTCTGTCACCCAGGCTGGAGTGCAATGGCGCAATCTTGGCTCACTGCAACCTCTGTCTCCTGGATTCAAGTGATTTTCCTGCCTTCACCTCCCAAGTAGCTGGGACTACAAGTGCCCACCACCGCACCCAGCTAATTTTTGTATTTTTAGTAGAGACAGCATTTCGCCACGTTGGTCAGGCTGGTCTCAAACTCCTGATCTTAGGTGTTCCACCCACCTTGGCCTCCCAAAGGGCTGGGATTACAGGCGTGAACCACAGCATCCGGCCTCTGGGGTACTTTTTACTGTAAAAGTAGCCCATTGTTGATTAGACGTGTTCAGGGAATCTAAATATGTAACATAGTCCATCTAAGAATCCTCGAATAGTCTGGCCCATGTCTATTGTGCAGACAGGGATAGCACCCCTGGTTATGCACCCTGGAGTTCCCTTTGTCACCCAACTGTGTAGCTGGCAGTCAGGCACACTTGCCAGACTTCCTTAGCCTCCCGTGCTGGAATCACTATGCCAAATTTGGCGATGCAGTCCTGAGTTGCAGATGGATTACCATGCCTTGTGTGATAGTATGTCCACATGGCCGTGGTCCTTACCTGGCCAGCATGGGTCTGTTTAACTTGTCGATTCCATCGATGTTCATCTTTGAATGGTCGTTTTTCATGGGCAGCCACAAGAGTCATGAACGGGGCTGTGAGTCCAGTGTAGTCTGCTGCCACAGTGTTCATCCCTAAAAAGACCTCAGTCTTTGAGACTTAATCATCAAGATGCCCCACTGCCAGGCACCAGACCACATTGCCAGTCCATCAGCTACTCCCCACCAGTCAGTGAAAATGTTAACAAGATGAATTGTAGGAGATATTTTCCAGAGCAAACACCACAACCCAGAGCTCTGCTCTCTCTCTTACTCTCTCTCCCCTTTTCCATTGCAGTTTAAAACAGATTTCCGGCTGGGTGCGGTGTCTCACGCTTGTAATCCCAGTAATTTCGGAGGCCGAAGTGGGTGGAACACCTGAGGTCGGGATTTTGAGACCAGCCTGACCAACATGGTGAAATCCCGTCTCTACTAAAAATACAAAATTAGCCGAGCGTGGTGGTGGGTGCCTGTAATCCCAGCTACTCAGGAGGCTGAGGCAGGAGAATTGCTTGAACCTGGGAGGCGGAGGTTGCAGTGAGCCGAGATTGTGCCATTGCACTCCAGCCTAGGCAAGAAGAGCAAAACTCCATCCCCCCCAAAAAAAAACAAACCGATTTCCTGGAGGCTGAACAGCTGCAGTGGCCCAATGCACCCCATCAGCCTTTAACAGAGCTGATGTGTCCCTGAATCAGGCCCAGGCATTTTCAGAAACAGTGGTGTACCAAAGCCCCCAGGAAGCTCTGGCACAGAACCCCACATTTGAGACAGCCATATCTAGAAGGTGACTAGCCACTTTTTCCTGCACGTGTTAAACTGTTAAGGGAGGAGACAACCCCTTATACTGTCTTATGCCCAATTTCTGTCTCCAAAGAAAAAAGAAGTGAAAACTAAAAGGCAGAAATGAAATCCACAGGCAGACAGCCTGACACCATGCCCTGGGCCTGGTAGTTAAAAATCAACCCCTGACCTGCTTGTGTTATCTATAGATTCCAGACATTGTATGGAAAAGCATCGTGAAAATCCCTGTCCTGTTCTGTTCGGTTCTGATTACCAGTACATGCAGCCCCCTGTCATGTACCTGCTGCTTGCTCAATCGATCGATCACGACCCTCTCACATGGACCCCCTTAGAGTTGTAAGCCCTTAAAAGGGACAGGAATTGCTCACTTGGGGAGCTCGGTTTTTGGAGACATAAGTCTGCCGACGCTCCCGGCCAAATAAAGCCCTTTCCTTCCTCAACTCTGTGTGTGAGGGGTTTTGTCTGCGGCTCTTCCTGTTACACTCTTAGTTTATTTCTTTTCTGGGAAAAATCCGTTTTGTTGGTGTTTTCATTTTTGACCCTCTCATGGATGTCAGGGCATAATAACACCTGCTGTTGCTTTGTTAGTCTCTCAATGTCCACTAACAGCCAATAACAAGCCAATAATTTCCTCTCAAAAAGGATATACCTGGTAGTGGCATCAGACAAATGCTTTATCCACGTCCACAGGGGGATCATTGCTTAGCGGCTACATCTTTTTGCCACAGGCTCCAGTCTGCATACTTACCAGTCACCCACACTCTTAATGTTAAGGCTCTTTGGGACTAATTGGCTGAGTGGGAGGGCAGTCCACACAGGGTGTCGGGTTTCCTTTAGCACTTCTGCCTCTCCTGGCTCTTTAGTGGGTAGAGTGCCCCCGCACCGTCCCAGCCTTGTATTATATGCTGCTTTACTGCCATCGTGTGGCCTGGTGGGCTCCCAATTGTGCACTTGTCCCACTGCCACTGTCCTAACAGTGGCCTTTCCCCATTGGGAGCATCCCTTGAGGTCAGGACAAATATCACTCATACTGAAAGCATCTATTTCCACGATACATTCGGCAGGATCAGCTACTTGGGTCTGTGAAATGTCCATTGAATAAAACGTAACAGATTAGTTTCAAGGGCCACAGTGGGGCCAGAGTCAACTGAATGGACGGAAACGCTTTAAAACCTGAATAAAGGAAAAACCTGGGAAGAAAAGTACAGCCATTAGCCTGGAGTGGGTGGAGGTCAAAGATCGCTGCAGATGCAGGTGGGGACAGACTCCTGTGTAGTATGACCAGTTTTTTACTAGAAGATAAATGGGCCAGCTTTTGACAGGAGTTACAAGTTTGGCATGCAGCAGTAGTGTTAATACTGGGAACACAGAGTTCTTACTTTGTAAGAGGCAGCAATTGTTCTTTGACTGCCGGAGAGATTAGCCTTGTGAATCCACCCATGTTGTTTCAAGAAATTTTAATTGGCAAGCAGTCCTCTGAGTTTTGTTGGGGTTTACCAGTCACCCATGCTGACTGCTGTTAACACAGAAAGTAGACATTTCTGGCTTGCCAATGAACAGAACATCATTTATAGCATTGGACATCAAAGCAATTTTCTCTAACATTTTATGAGCATTTAAGGTTCAAAGATGTAATACACTGTTAATACCAATTATACATTTTTACACACAATGAATCCACCCAAACCACATAGTTAATTTGACTTTTTTTCTCTGCACTGCAAGTTTTGTCCAAACTCTATCAAGTCCTTTTTTTGCAAAAACACAGTTTTACACAGGCACTCCAGCTGCCAGGAGACCACCTTATCTCCTCAGCTGGGAGTTCAGGGAATGCAGGGCAATGCAGAGGAGGCAGGCCCCCAAGGAGGTTTTTATTCTTTAAAGCAGCTGAGATCTGGAGTGAAAACAATAGAGAGATCAGGGAATATGCATGCACCAGTAGGCATAGTTTTGCACTTACTGTTGGTTTTAAGTGTCTGTGATGGTTATGTGGTTTTATTTTTATTTATTTTATTTACTTTATTTTTTTTTGAGACGGTGTCTTGTTCTGCCACCCAGCCTGGAACATAATGGCATGATCTCGGCTCACTGCAACCTCCACCTCCAGGGTTCAAACGATTCTCCTGCCTCAACCTTTCGAGTAGCTGGTACTACAGGCGCGTGACACCACGCTCGGCTAACTTTTGTATTTTTAGCAGAGACAGGGTTCCACCACGTGGGCCAGGCTGGTCTCGAACTCCTGACCTCAAATGATTCGCCTGCCTCGGCCTCCCAAAGTGCTGGGATTACAGGCATAAGCCATCGTGCCAGGCCATTTTTTTCTAATTAATTAATTTTTTTTTTTTTGAGACAGACTCTTGCTCTGTCTCCCAGGCTGGAGGGCAGTGGCACAATCTCGGCTCACTGCAAACTCTGCCTCCCAGGTTCAAGCAATTCTCCTGCCTCTGCCTCCCGAATAACTGGGATTACAGGTTATTTTTAGTAGTGGGGTTTCGCCATGTTGGCAAGGCTGGTTTAGAACTCCTGACCTCAGGTGATCCACCCACCTCTGCCTCCTAAAGTGCTGGGATTATAGGTGTGAGCCACCATGCCCAGCCGGTTAAGTGGCTTTAGAGTATACAACTAAACCCTTTAGGGCCAAGGCAGAAAGCCACATATCTCACCAGAACCCTCCCAGGAGATATAGGGAGGCAAGTTGGAAGTGGCCTAGGGGAGCAGCTACTCACAAGCTTCTAGGCTCTCATGTCCCAGGAAGGACCACAGGGAATTCTGCCAAGATTCAGATTAACTGTGGTTCAAGCTGGACGTGGTGGCTTACACCTATAATCCCAGCACTTTGAGAGGCTGAGGTGGATGGATCACCTGAGGTCAGGGTTCAAGACCAGCCTGGCTTACATAGTGAAACTCCGTCTCTACTAAAAATACAAAAAATCAGCTGGGCGTGGTGGCAGGCGCCTGTAATCCCAGCTACTTGGGAGGCTGAGGCAGGAGAATCACTTGAACCTGGGAGGCAGAGGTTGCAGTGAGCTGAGACCATGCCACAGCACTCCAACCTGGGCCACAGAGCAAGATTCCATCTCAAAAAGAAAAAAAAAATGTGGTTCAAAACTTGCCTGCATGGCCTATGTGGATATGTGCAAGGTCACCAGGATGTTGTGTTGAAGCTGTTCCCCAAAGATATCAGATACCACATAGTCTCCAAAACTCCACTTAAGAGCTATTTAGAGAGAGAAAAAAATATATCTTACCTCACAGACCCACTGAAAGTCTCACGTTGCCCCCAGGGGTTCCCAGACAATACCTGGAGAACAGCTGCTCTATGCTGTAGACCAAGGGGCAGAATGGCTGGTTCACAGGTGTACATATATTCATATTTATTAGGTACTTCCAAATGGCTCCCCAGGATGGCTCCACCCTCCACAACTTTATCAATGCTCAGGATTGTCAAGGCTTTTTAATGTGTCTTAATTTTTAAAAAAATTTTTTAGAGATGGGGGTCTCGCTATGTTACCCAGGCTGTTCTAAAACTCCCGAGCTCAAGTGATCTTCCTGCCTCAGCCTCCCAAGTAGCTGGGACTACAAACACATATTACCATGCTTGGCATGTGTCTTGATTTTATAATCAGAAAATAGAACAGTATTTAAAAAATATGTCAGGCTGGGCGCGGTGGCTCATGCCTGTAATCCCAGCACTTTGGGAGGCAGAGGCGGGTAGATCACGAGGTCAGGAGATTTCCATCCTGGTTAACACAGTGAAACCTCATCTCTACTAAAAATACAAAAAATCATCTGGGTGTGGTGGCAGGCACCTGTAGTCCCAGCTACTCAGGAGGCTGAGGCAGGAGAAGGGCGTGAACCCAGGAGGCGGAGCTTGCAGTGAGCCGAGATGGCGCCACTGCACTCCAGCCTGGGCGAGAGTGCGAGACTCCATCTCAAAAAAAAAAAAAAATATGTCGGGGTTGGGAAATAATTATTTCAATAAAAGGTGCTGGGTCAATTAGATATCCGTATGAAAAAAGAAAAAAAGAAACTTGATCTCTACCTCACATCATCAACAGAGGTGATCTCACCAACATAATATGAAGAGAGAGAAGCCAGGAAAAAGAATATGTATCATATCATTCCACTTATTTAAAGTTCAAAATCAAGTCTGGGCGTTGTGGCTCACGCTTGTAATCACAGCACTTTGGGAGGCCAAGGCGGGCGGTTCACCCAAAGTCATGAGTTCAAGACCAGCCTGACCAACATGGAGAAACCCCGTCTCCACTAAAAATACAAAATTAGGTCGGGAACGGCGGCTCACACCTGTAATCCCAGCACTTTGAGAGGTCAAGGTGGGTGGATCATGAGGTCAGGAGATCAAGACCATCCTGGCTAATACGATGAAACTCTGTCTCTACTAAAAATGCAAAAAATTAGCCAGGTGTGATGGCACGCGCCTGTAGTCCCAGCTACTTTGGAGACTGAGGCAGGAGAATTGCTTGAACCTGGGAGGCTGAGGTTGCAGTAAGCCCACACTGCACCACTGCACTCCAGCCTGGGCAACAGAGCGAGACTCTGTCTCAAAAAAAAAAAAAAAAATTAGCCAGCGTGGTGGTGCATGCCTGTAATCCTAGCTACTCGGGAGGCTGAGGCGGGAGAATCACTTGAACCCAAGAGGCGGAGGTTGCAGTGAGCCGAGATCGCCCCATTACACTCCAGCATGGGCAACAAGAGTGAAACTCCATCTCAAAAAAAAATAAAAAATAAAAATAAAAAATAAAATAAATAAAGTTCAAAATCAGGTAAAACTAGTCTGCATGCTAAAAATCAAGATACTGGGCCGGGCGTGGTAGCTCACGCCTGTAATCCCAGCACTTTGGGAGGCCGAGGTGGGTAGATCACTTGAACTCAGGAGTTTGAGACCAGCCTGGGCAACATGGTGAAACCTTGTCTCTACTAAAAATACAAAAAATAAGCCGGGCGTGGTAGTGCACACCTGTGGTTCTGGCTACTCGGGAGGCTGAAGTGGGAGGATTGCATGAGCCTGGGAGGTGGAGGTTGCAGTGAGCCAAGATCCTGCCACTGCACTCCAGCCTGGGTAACAGAGTGAGACCCCATCTCAAAAAATAAATAAATAAATAAAATGAAATCAGAAGATTAAAATGACTATAATAGCAATGAATGTATAATATTAAAATCCAAGGCCAGGTGCAGTGGCTCACACCTGTAATCCTAGCACTTTGGGAGGCTGAGGCAGGCGGATCATGAGGTCAGGAGTTCAAGACCAGCCTGCTCAACATGGTGAAACCCCATCTCTACTAAAAATACAAAAATTAGCTGAGTGCGTGGCGGGCACCTGTAATCCCAGCTACTCTGGAGGCTGAGGCAGGAGAACTGCTTGAACCCGGGAGGCAGAGGTTGCAGCGAGCCGAGATCACGCCACTGCACTCCAGCCTGGGTGACAGAGCAAGAGTCCGTCTTGAAAAAAAAAATCCAGCCTGGATTATATCTATCTGGTTCATGACGAGGGCCATCTCATTAACGCCCATGTAGACTATCAAAGAGCAAGGCAGGGCAGGGGTAATAAGAGGGTTGTCACGGTAGCAGGATGGATAATCATGGGAGGAAACTGGAAATAGATGCAGTCGGCACAGGCTCTTGGTATCCTTGTGAGTGACCCCTCCCTCAGTTTGGGCAGTGGTGTGACAGCTGGGGTTGGGGATGCTGCTTTGCAGCATTTGCAGATTTCCATGGTGTAAATACTGCCTCCCACCATGGCCAATTTTAAGCCGCCAAGAATTTAACACCGAGCTCAAAAAAGTCCTGAAAATTTAGGCCGGGCGCAGTCGCTCATGCCTGTAATCCCAGCACTTTGGGAGGTCAAGGCAGGCAGATCACAAGGTCAGGAGATCGAGACCATCCTGGCTAACACAGTGAAACCCCGTCTCTACTAAATATACAAAAAATTAGCCAGGAGTGGTGGCAGGCGCCTGTAGTCCCAGCTACTCGGGAGGCTGAGGCAGGAGAATGGTGTGAACCCGGGAGGCGGAGCTTGCAGTGAGCCGAAATCACGCCACTGCACTCCATCCTGGGTGACAGAGAGAGACTCCGTCTCAAAAAAAAAAATTCCTGAAAATTTAACAATTGGCTCTGACACAGCATATGCCCCTGAGTTTCCTCCCTAGAACTCTCTCTAGCACTCTGTAATGATACAGAGTGAGAAGCATCTACCTCCTCCAACCTGCTTGAAATCAGCCACACCTGCTCGTCATGAAGAAGCAAGCATGGGCAGGGCACAGTGGCTCACGCTTTGGGAATTGAGGCAAGAAGATCGCTTGAGCTCAGGAATTCAAGACCAGCCTGGGTAACATAGTGAGACCCCATCTCAAAAAAGAAAAGAAGAAGCAAGCATAACAGAAAACAAAGCAAGTGTTCTTGTGAGGTTTTGCCTTCTCTTCCTCTCAGAGAGGGATGCCTGTGTCTTAGTTTAGGTTGGCCTGGAAGCAGACCTGAGTTAAGGATTTAAGTGAGAGTAGTGTATTTGGGAAGCAACTACAGAAAGCACCTGCAGGAGTGTAGAGAAGTGAGACAGGGAACGAACAAGTCAGAAGAGGATGTGGTCATGAACAGGTCTTTGTTGAGGGTAGCCCACCTGGGGACCTCTGGGAGATGTGAAACACACCTCTGAGTGTGCCCCCCACGGGTGAGAAGAACAAATATTTTTCCACCAGCTCCCACCTATCATTGGTTGAGGCTGCTCCCTGGCGCATAGACTTCCCAGTACTTCCAGTTGAGCAACCCCATAGCAAAAAGCTGCAGGTGCTTCTAGTGGCTACAGAATGGTGAGTGGGGAGAACACGATCCATGTCTGAAACACCAGCACAACAGAGTCGCGACCTGTGTGTCACACTCTGCATGTCTCTTCTAGCCACAGCACCTCACTCCACTGAGCAGGATTCTCCTTTTTTTGTTTGTTTGCTTGTTTTAGAGACGAGGTCTCACTCCTTTGCCCAGGCTGGAGTGAACTAGCATGATCATAGCTCACTGCAGCCTTGAACTCCTGGGCTCAAGTGACCCTCCCACCTGAGCCTCCCAAGTACCTGGGATTACAGGTGTGCACCACCACACCCAACATATTCTTGGTCTTTGGTTTTTATTTTATTTTATTTTATTTTTTTGAGATGGAGTTTCGCTCTTGTTGCCCAGCTGGAGTGCAGTGGCACGATCTTGGCTCACCACAACCTCCGCCTCCTGTTCAGGCGATTCTCCTGCCTCAGCCTTTCCAAGTAGCTGGGATTACAGGCATGTGCCACCATGCCTGGCTAATTTTTGCCACTTTAGTAGAGACAGGGTTTCTCCATGTTGGTCAGGCTGGTCTCAAACTCCCAACCTCAGGTGATCAACCAGCCTCAGCCTCCTAAAGTGCTGGGATTACAGGCATGAGCCACCACGCCTGGCAGGTTTTTGGTTTTTATGAGCCCAGTCACCTTTGTTTCACCCTGTCACCCAGGCTGGAGTGCAGTGGCGCAATCTCAGCTCACTGCAACCTCTGCCTTCCAGGCTCAAGCAATCCTCCCACCTCAGCCTCCCGAGTAGCTGGGACTACAGGCACGCACCACCATGCCCAGCTCATTTTTGTATTTTTAGTAGAGACAGGGTTTGTTATGTTGCCCAGGCTGGTCTCAAACTCTTGACCTCAAGCAATCCACCCGCCTCGCTTCCCAAAGTCCTGGCATTACAGGTGTGAGCCACCACGTCTGGCCATATTCTTGTTT
The DNA here is from genome assembly GCF_000001405.40 of Homo sapiens. NCBI lineage: Eukaryota > Metazoa > Chordata > Mammalia > Primates > Hominidae > Homo > Homo sapiens. Next base: position 48,226,009 of record NC_000003.12, on the reverse strand, counting down.
TTAACAATCCCTAAACACAAGCTCACAAGTTAAATCTGCTACCCACCTGAAGAAACTGTGATGTGTCCCAATGCCAGAGGAAATGCCAGGAGTTATGGGCTTTCCTGAGTTAAGTCTTTTAGGAAGCATTGGAATTTTATGGGAATTGTACCTGCAGGGAGACCGCACCCAGTTGGCCAGCCACCCATGGGACTGGACCATGCTTCTCTGAGTGTTAACAACACGCTTGGCCCCTCCCTTGAATGTCACCTCCCCATGAGCAGGAACAGCTCCACAGCATTCCCCCACCACCACACACAGAGTAGAGCTCCTTAATTCCCCACTGGGGGTTCCACTGAGAATGGGAATGCCATCTTGGATCTCTTGGCCCTACTGCCTTACCCTGTGTCCTCCTGGATGGAACACTGCCCTCGCCACCTCTGTGTCACACTCACACACACTCACACTCACACGTGGACTCCCTGAGCTAAGGGCTCAGTTGTGGTGAGAGAGAGGAGGCAAAACAAGTGAGACTGAAGCCTGAGGAAATTGCTCTCATAGTTTATTTCTCAGAGCCCAGAAGCCTGAGCCAGGGTAGGGCACACACTAGGACTCTGTCCTGGGTACAAGATTCCGCAAAAAATCCTTGATTCTCTGGACAATTCTTTTAAACTCTTTGCCAATCTTCTCTTTAGATTTCCGGAAGAAATCACCCAGCAGGGCAAATCTCTTGTTATCCTGGGGTTGTGTACAGGAAGAAACAGGTTCCTTGTCGGGGATGTACCCAGGGTCAATCCAAGACCCCTCCCCACCTAGACGCCCCTCTTCGTGGGCCCCCGCAGGAGCTTTGGGGCCCCAGTTCAACCTCTGGCTGTGACCTTTGAAGCATGTGATTGAATCCCTACACCCAATAAAAAGATGAGAAAACAGAGTCCCGGAGATAGTGAGGGGCTCTGCAGGGTCACACAGCCCAGCCCAGCAACACTGAGATGGGAACACAGGGCTGAGAGCTGAGTACTCTTAGACAGTGGCTCTCAAACTTTACAGAAGCCGGAATCTCCTGGAAAGCTTATCAAAATACGAATTTCTGGGCCCTACCCAGAGTCTGTCTGAGTAGGTCTGAGTAGGGCCTGAGAATTTGCATATCTAACGAGTCCCCAGGAAGGGCTACACTTGGAGATCTACCGCTCTAAGGGATTCCAGAGCCGGCCCTGGAGATGGAACTCAGGTTTGGGGAAGAGCCCTGGGTAGGAGGGGCTTTCTCTGTCCTGGGTTGGGGGAGTAGTTAATTGACCCATTGGATGGTCCACACTCTATGCCCCCATCAGCCCCTGCATCCCAGAACAGCCCACTCACCTTATCACAACTGATGTCAAAGGAGCCCCTGGCCTGGTTGAGGGTCACTGTCCCCATACACCGCTTCACCAGCTGGAAAGGAGAAGCTCAAGGTCAAACTTGAAACCATTTGCCATGACCTCCCAGCCACATCCCAGTGGGAAATATTCCCCAGGTGCCCCCTGTTCAGCTCCTTGGGAGGCACCCACCAACACCCCCAGCCCCCAGCCTCACCCCGTCCTTCTTGAAGTCACAATCCTCTGGTGACTGCTGTGTCGTCCTGGGGCACACTGTCTCCTTCACTGTGAAGCTCACAGGCTTTGGCGTGTCTGGGTCCCCATCCTAGTCAGAGGAGGAAATGGGGAGGCCCATTCTTGTATTTTCTGATTTGTGTCCATGACCTCCCCACCAAGAGGGCAGGCTTTCCACAGTACCTGATGTGCGACGGGCACTGGGTGCTGGGCTTGGCACTGGGGCATTGAGGGGAGGAGGACTGAGCCATTCCTACCCTCCTAGGTGAACAGTGAGTAGGAGCAGACCTCAGATGAGCTCTAACAAGGAGCCCCTCCCACTCTGGGGTGGGGGCAAGGGAAGTCAGGGGGCTTCCTGGGGGACAAGACATGCCCACTGGAACCTAAAGTCTGGATAGAGTTCTTCCCTATGTGGGGTAACGTGGTACAGAAGAGACTTAAAGCAGAGGAGGTCACTGCCCAGAGCCAATGACCCCATTCTAGTGCCTGGAGCTCGCAGAAGTCCCAAAACCTGCGTGGGGTCGGGGTGAGGGTATCTCTGCCACAGCAGGAATTATAAGGCAGGAAGCTCTCGAGCTGGGAGGAGACACGAGCTCTAGAAGGTTCCCTGGAAAACACGGGACCACATTTAAAGGGGGAGATGCCCTCCTGGCAGGCAGTGCAGCAGGAGCAGAAGGAACAACACGTGGCCAAGCCCAGCCAGAGCAGAGCAGAATGTCCCCCAAAGCTCACCATCGTGGGCCTGGGGTCCAGGTCCAGGAGGCGGTAGAGGTTAGCATCCGAGGACCGCTGGTTGATGCCATCTATAGCACGAAGCACAGCTTCCTTGTAGCTGAGGACCTGGGCAATGATGGCCAGAGGCATCACCAGGCCCAGCAGCAGGAGCACCAGTGACCACCGCCCCAGGGAGTGGCCATCCCTTTGGGTCTTCATGGTCCCCATGTCTGCCTCCCTCTAGCCCACAGGAGCCTCCTTTATGCCCAGCCTGAGCCTGATGCAAAAGCCCAACCAGGAGCCTTCCTGATCCACCCATCCCTGGCTGCCTGCCAGGGTGTGGGCTGGGGTTTGCTTTAGCCCCTGGCTATTGCTTCACAGGACTTGCTGGGCAGTGAGTGAGGCCTTCCTTGTGTGCAAGATGAGGAAGTGGTTTCTTCATCTCTGACAACCTCCCAGACCTGACCGGAGATTGTCATAGCCAGGGGTGCTCAAGAGCGTTAAATCCCTCCAGAGAGGAAGAGAGCCAGGTGCCTATTCTACATCCTTCTACTCCTCAGGAGTCAGTATGATGGACTGCTAAATCTCCAGCTCTAGGCATTGCCTGGCACCCTGTAGGCATCGATTAAGAATTGATGAATGAGGCAGGGCACGGTGGCTCACGCCTATAATCCCAGCACTTTGGGAGGCCAAGGTGGGCGGATCACCTGAGATAAGGAGTTCGAGACAAGCTTGGCCAACATGGTGAAACCCCATCTCTACTAAAAATATGAAAATTAGCCACGCATGATGGCTCACACCTGTAGTCCCAGCTACAAGCTGAGGCATGAGAATCACTTGAACCCATTGAACCCGGGAAGCAGAAGTTGCAGTTAGCTGAGATCATGCCACTGCACTCCAGCCTGGGTAACAGAGTGAGACTCAGTATGAAAAAAAAAAAAAAGAACTGGTAAATGAAGACAGTAGCCACCCCCAACCTAGAGACTCACTCTTGCAAGGGACAAGTTGCCCTTTCAGTTCAAGGCCATACCACATGCTCTCTGGACCCAGCCGTCAGCCAGACGAAGGCTCTGCTCCATCTATCCCCTTCTGCATCCTTCTTCACTGTTTTTTTCAGTCTCAAAATGTTCCCAAGCCCCTCCAGACATGGCCTTTCACCATGGCTTCTCCCAAGCCAAGTCTTAGGAAAGGTTGTCTACGCTTCTTGACCCCATCTTTTCACTCTTCTTCATGCTGAAGGCCACTGAAGGCTGGCCAACCCACCCTTGGTCCATGGCCACCCTCAAGCCTGGTCTTTGTCTGCACAGGCACTGGTGAGCCTTCCTTCTTGCTGCCCCGGTCTCCCCTGATGCCACTCTCCTGCTGTCCCTCCTGCCTCCCTGGTGGCTCCTTCTTGGTCTCCCCTAAGGGCTGTCTTCTTAATATTGAGAGCGTGTGGGGTCACCTCCTGGGCTGCTTCTCTTCCCTGGCCTCGGGTTTCCCTGGGGACGCCCTCTCCCAGGACACCAGTTATAATAGGCAGACACCACCCAGTCTGTATCTCTGAGTTCGAGACTCCCATGAACGTCCCGGTTGTCCCCACTGGGCCTCCTTGACTGCTCTTCTGCTGAGTGCCCACTGCATGAGCCCTGAAGCACCTTTGGCTCCTTCCTCCCGAAAGCACTCCCCTCTGGCCTCTCCTTCCACCCCTGCCTGGCTCCTGCCGCCATCTTCTCTCCCATGCAATGCTGCCCCAGCCTCCAGACTCCACCTTCTCTAGGTTTCAGGCTCTCCCCAGACCACAGTCCACCCTCCACACCGTTGTCCAGGGGTTCCTTTAAACCACCAATTTGGCCATTTCAACCCTCTACCTTCAGGAGCCCACACACCCCCTAGGCTGGCATCAGGGCCTGTGGCCTTTTGGTTCCCACTGCCCTCACCCCAGCCCTGCACACTGCAAGTGCCAGACTGTCACGTATGCCCCCATCACATAGGCTCATCTGAGCCTCCTGCTCTTTCTCCCAGCTCTGCCCCGATCCTTCTGTTTGGCCTGCCCTTTCACCTCATGAAGCTTTCCCTGACCTCCAACCAGGCACAGCAATCTCCTCTTTGCCCCTACATCTTCCAGGAAGTCTCTCCTGATTCGACCTCAAATTACTCCCTGTTTGGTGCTCTAGCTGAGACACCAAGCTGGGATGGGTGGCTGGTGTTGGGAGAGGGAGAGATCACAGCCAGGAGAGATAAAGGGCCAAAGTGATAGAGGGGTCCAGCGTCCATGAGGCAAATTCCGGTCCCAGCTCCTCTGTGGACTGGCCATGTGGCCCTGAGGCCTGGGGTACCTCTTGACCTCAGTTGGCCTGTGGGACACTTGGGGGCTTGGACAGCAGGGCTCCTGGAAGGTGGAAGCCTGGACGAAGGCCACCGGTTGCACACCTGGCCTTGAGAGAAGGAAGAAGTGGGCTTCTGTGCAACCTGGTTTCACAGTTCAAGTGTTGCCCCAGTGGCCTGTTGGTCAAGCAGGGCTTGCACATCAGGTCTTTTATGGCTGTTGGGAAAAGGGCCATCCAGGGATATCAGACCTCTCAGGGCTCTCCTGCTTCCTCCACCCTTCTGACTGGCTTCAGGATCCCCAAGAAGCCAAACCGGGGAGAAGCAGATGGCAATGTTAGTCCTTAGGCTAGGGCGTGAGAGCTGCATGCTCCTGTGTTCCTCTAGGTCAGATCTGGCATATTCAGAGCCCCTTTCCAACTGCCTCAAGAGGACGTTCCACTTCGGCCAGTGCTGGACACGCCCTCACATGAAATCAGCCAGAGCCCAAGCAGCTTGCATAGGCCCTCTGATACAACTGCAGAAGTCTGGACTCAGGGGCACTTGCTTTCCCTCTCAGGGCCATCGCACAAGGTCCAGGCTTCCCAGGTTCCAGGAGTGAGTCCTGCCCTCGGCACATGCAGGTCGGTGTCCACTACCTGAGGTAGGGCGGCTGACTTCAGACCTTTAGAACCCATGGCTGCCCCTTCCTCCTAGAGAGGGAGAAAGGAGGCTCTCACCAGCTCGCCTTTTTCATAATGGCTCACCCCATTAATAGAGTGATCAGAAGATTCTAGGCAAGGCGGAATGAGAAAAGAAAAGTGAGGCTTAGCCGGGCGCGGTGGCTCACGCCCGTAATCCCAGCACTTTGGAAGGCCGAGGTGGCCTGATCATGAGGTCAGGAGATTGAGACCATCCTGGCTAACACAGTGAAACCCCGTCTCTAGCTGGGTGTGGTGGCATGCGCCTGTAGTCCCAGCTACTTGGGAGGCTGAGGCAGGAGAATGGTGTGAACCCAGGAGGCGGAGCTTGCAGTGAGCTGAGATGGCGCCACTGCACTCCAGCCTGGGCAAGAGTGTAAGACTCCGTCTCAAAAAAAAAAAAAAAGTTAGGCTTTTCCACATCAAGACTTGAGGGCTAGATAAATGTCCCTTCACAAAGGCCTGGGCAGCCCCTGTCCCTCTGTCTCTCTATCTCTCTCTCTTTCCTCTCTCTCTCTGAATCTCCCACCCTGACTTCTCTAAGTGGCCCCTTCCTCTCCTGCAGACCCAGGAGGCTCCAACTCCTACACAATGTGATCAGGGAACCTGGTGCACTGGGACTGCTGAAGGCTCTGAGAGACTTTCCACAGATGAGCAGATGCTGGAGCTACCCTCTCCCACTCCACAATCCCTCCCCCATTGGCGAACAAAGCCCAGCTTAGCCCCCACTCTGCGTTCCCTCTCTGGCTCCGTGTCTGCAGCCCTGGTTGTCCTGGTGGAAGCACCCACCTCCTCAGGCCTGCTTGCCCCTGAGACAGCCTTCATCAGAATGGCCAACTTGTCTGAAAAGTAGAGAACCAAGCAGGCAGTTTGTTCATCCCCTTGGGGAGCACTGGGGAGGGAGTCCTGGGATGGGAATCCCAGGAACCATATTCGTCACCAGCCTCTGTCTCTGTGGGTGAGTCACTGTCCCTGTCCCTCCCTGTGCCCAGAATCTATAGTCAGCACAGAAAGCCCAGGGCTTTGCAGGCAAAGAGCCCAGGTTCCCTCATGAGGCTGACTGGGTTCCTGGCTCAGCCCTGCTGCGACCAGCTGTGTATCTGCATACCGATGTGTCTGCTCTCCTGCCTCCTCATCTGTAGAACAGGGATGATCATCACAATGTCTAGTTTGTAGAATTGTTGTGAGGGTCAAATACAACATGGTCTGTGGCCAGTACATGTGAATTGTTTTTGTTGTTATTAATGTGACCTGTTAGGTTAATGCTTCAGAAGTAAACATAGTGTGCTCCCAGAGATAGTAACTTTGTTGGCCAAGCATGGTGCTTCAGGACAGGAGTTCGAGACCAGCCTGGGCAACAGAGCGAGGCCCTGTCTCTACAAAAAAATTTTAAAATTAGCTGGGCATGGTGGTGTGCACCTGTGGTCCCAGCTACTTGGGAGGCTAAGGTGGGAGGATTGCTTGAGCCCAGAAGATGGAGGCTACCGTGAGCTGTGATCATGCCACTGTATCCAGTCAGGGCAACAGAGCAAGACCCTGACTCAAAAATAGAAAATTGGGGTGACTCAGGCCAAGAGCTAACTTCTGGTAAATTGCCTCCCTCCCTGAACCTTTCTCGTGCAAAAATTGGGACAGTAGCCCCAACCTTGTAGACAGCAATGCATTGGAGCAATGTATTGAATATATACTCAAAGGCAGACGTTTCCTTCCCTAAACCTGGGGCATGGGGCAGGGTATGCTTATACCCTGTGGCAGACAGGGAATGCCAATCACAGGTTCTGCCCAGACTCAGGACAAGTTCCTCCTTCTGCCTTTCTTTCACTTGCAGAATTGTATTGCCAAGAGACCTGGGGTGGAGGGTCTCAAGCACCGTCGATTACTAGCTGTGTGACTTCGAGCAAGTTGCCTTGTTTTCTTGATAATGTTCTCATATTTGTAGGATGGGAATGAGATGCCCTGCAGTGTTTGTTCAAATGCAACAGTGAGTAAGCAAGTGCATGTCCACTGTCAAGTCCTGTACTCCCGGGATGTTTTGGCAAGTGAGGTCAGGGTCAGGTCTCCTTACTTGGCAATGGCCTTAGCCCAACTCTTCCCCAACAAGATACATATGCACGCATGAAACTGTGCATATGTATCTTGTTGGGGAACTGTGCTCCCCTTCTTGCTAATAACATAACCTACTACCCCAGGCCCCTGTCATATTTTGGCTCAGACTCAGCCTCTCCAGGTTGTCCCCTGGATTTCAGCCCCCAGTTGGCATCCTCTGTGATGCGTCCCCCACCAACACCAGGCTAGGAGACAGCTCACCAACCCCACCTTTAGTCTCAGGCTGTGTTTATCCATCAGGCTAGTCCCAGGGGTAAGACCACAGTTGTCCTCAGACAAGAGTCATGAAGCCCTGGGATGCCCCTTAGACAAGGCTTCCCCAAGTTCTCCTTCTGTCCAGGCTCCTGATTATGGGGCTGCATCTCCTTCCCAGGCCAAGGGCTTCCCAAGTGTGACAGTCTTGTCTGTCCCTCAGACAGGGACTCCCAAGGGCAAGCCCCTGCATTCCCTTCAGCCCACAGACTCCCTAAGGTCAGGATTCCTTTCCTCACTGGGCCCCTCTCAGAATCGGCATTGGGCTCTGCCCTCAGAGGGCCCAGATGGGTAAGAGCCGCTCCCAGCAGGTCCAGACCCAAGTTCAGAAATCATTTGTCAAATGAAACACTACACAGCACGGGATAGTGATAGGCAGTTTCCAGTAAATGTGCCTTTGTTTCCTAGACTGATTCATAAGAAGGGCCTGGGACATGGTGTCCGGGGGTGGAGGCTCTGCCCAGCCATAAAGGAAAGACCTGGATATTGGATATACCACTCAGAGGAACCCGCTGTCGTCCTTTGCAGGGGAGAGGGACGGTCAAACCACAGCATGGTTTCTCCTGGGAAAGGCCAAGGCACTTGTAGGTAATCACATGCTGTCTTGTCCAGGAATACCAACCCAGAGCCAGGGGCCCATTGCACAATCCAGTTTTCTCAACCCTACATTGCCACCAATGAGGAAGACAAGGCCTTGAGCTTCTTGCCAGGTGACCGTGTCCTTAGCGCTTCCCCAGCTCCCAGCCTGTCTCCTTGTCAGCAATCCATAAACCCTGTGCAGCTCCAGCACTCCTGTGCCTCCAGTGGCCAGAGACTGTGTGCCAGGCCTCCTGCTGTTCACCCCCTGCTTAGTGACCCTCATATTCACTCCGATGGACTCTTTGCTTCCTCCTTCTTTGGCTCCTCCCTGACCTGAGCCCTGACCAGGTTCCCTCTCACTGCTCCCTGTTCATCAGAACTTGCTCACTTCTACTTGAATGCATTAGCCAGTATGGTAGCCATAAGCACAAGTGGCAATTCAATTTCAATTCAAATTAATTGAACTTAATTAAAATTAAAAAGGCGGCTGGGCACAGTGGCTCACGTCTGTAATCCCAGCAATTTGGGAGGCCGAGGCAGGTGGATCATCTGAGGTCAGGAGTTCAAGACCAGCCTGACCAACATGGTGAAACCCCATCTCTACTAAAAATACAAAAATTAGCTGGGTGTGGTGGTGCATGCCTATAATCCCAGCTACTTGGGAGGCTGAGGCAGGAGAATCTCTTGAACCCAGGAGGCGGAGGTTGCAGTGAGCCGAGATCGTGCCACTGCACTTCAGCCTGGGTGACAGAGAGAGACTCCGTCTCAAAAAATAAGTAAATAAATAACAACAACAAAAAACAATTATTCTGTCACACTACCCCCATTTCAATTGCTCAACAGTCAGTTACAGTGGATGTCTCAGATATAGAACATTTCCTTGATCACAGAAAGTTCTATTGGACAATGCTGAGTTAGACAAAGAAGTGTGGCTGGAGGTGGGGAACTGGAAGGAGAGAAGATCCTGTGACAACCCTGGGTGGGAAGGGCCAGCTTTGTCCCTGTGACATGCTGTCTTTTTCCAAATGTTTCAGAAGCACCTGCTTGACAATGCCTCCAAAGAAAAAGCTCGCTGTATGGGAGACAACAGTGAGAAGTGGGCCATCCTCCAGCAGGGAGCTGACTGGAGAAGGCCTTGGATGCCATGGCTGCAGGGAAGCAGCTCTGCAAGGGTGCATAGTAGGCCCTCCTCGGGTGGCGGTTTTATTATAGGAGCATCACTCAGGCTGCACTGAGAAAGGGGTGCAGTTTCTGGGAGCCCCAGAATCATGGCTTGTGGGGATCCATCCTCCACTATCTCTCAGTTTAGAACCTCTCTTCCCCAAGGTGACTGGGGAACAGATCCTTCCCTTGCCTTGTGGGCGAGGTTAGGAGCCTGTGGCCAAGGATGGTGAGATGCTAAGAGCCGTGGAGGCCAGGTACCAGATGCCAGGTGCTATTTCTGAGCTGAGATGTGCAGCCCAAATTACCTCCTCTCCAACCTGAGGTCACAGAGGGTTTCAGGGGCCACCTCCTGAATACTCCAGTCCTCTCTCTTTCTGGATGCAGATTCTGAGGACTTGAATGGGGAGAGACCTGAGCCAAGGTCTCCAAATGGGTTCTGGGCACATGTCCAGCCATTTCTAATGCTGTTCATAGAGTGTGTAACCTCAGCAGTTGACCTTTCCAGGATCTGAGTGCCTTCGGGGCTGCATATGCGAAAAAGACTTAGGGAGTTAGTCAAGGATTAGGCCAACACAGAGCTGCAGGAACAAGTGACCGCCCAAGAGGCTGCTGCCTCTTTTGTGTGCCTGTACTCTTTTGTGTGCCAATATGAGAACATTTGTTTCCTTTCCCCGAAGAAGGGTTGCAGGAGAGGCAGGCTGGCTTCATCAGAGTGCGGGGAGAGGGTGAGAGCCCCCAGGAGAAACTGGATAAGGCTGATGAGCCAGTTGATGACGAAAATGAGGGCCACAGATAAATCACTTGAACAAGGACCCCTATCCAGAAAACGGCAGAACCAGGACTTGGACTCAATGCCCCCACCCACCAACCTTGCTGTCCTTCTCATGGGGACATGTGGAAGAATTCAAGCCCTGCCTCCTGCCCTCTGCAGCAAACTGGAAATGCAGATGTGGGCTGCCATGAGGGTGGAAATATGGGACAGGGTGAGTGTCAGGACCGTCTGCTAAGGCTCAGTTCCCTCTTTCCCACTTACTACTTCATGTGACACAAGTTGCGTGGAGGAAAGCCAAGAAGTTAAGTAATCATTACAACCCCTTCAGCCAGGCTGGAATTTTCCAGGCACCACACTGGAGCCCCCTGAGTAAATGGCCATGACCTGAACTCGTTCTTTTCCCCAACAGCAAGTGAAGAACTGCCGGGGGTACTTCAGTGCTGCTGAGGACCCCAAGAAGTTGCCCATCTGTGAATCCCAAAACTTTGCTGGGGTGAGCAAATCCCTGGAGAAGGAGTGGAGGGCAGAGGAGTGGGTCCAGAAGCCAGAACTTCAGGCTGGGAGGTTCAGAGCAAAGGGCAAGGGCTGGAGGGCTGGACTGCCACATGCTGGACAGGTCTTTTGGGGACCTCTATACTCATCTCAGCCCTGAGGAGTCTCCTGAGAGACTGACTACATGGCTGCGAGCCAAGCCATTGCTCTACTTAGTGCCGTTTGCAAGCCTCTTTACCACCCTGAGCCTTGATCTCCACAGAGCAGGAGGGTTCCCATCCTTGTTGGTCCACTAGAATCACTTGGGAAAAATGTGTAAGCTCAGGCCACAACCTCACAGTTCAGTTTGTCGTGGCATGGGGTTGGGATTGAGAACTCTCAGGCTAGAAGCTGCAGATGGCCTCCTGTGAATTTAGTGCCTAGGTGATTATACCAACAGCAAGTAGAATTGCAATTGCAAATTTCACACATATACTCACACACAAGTACACACATCCACTTTTACAACTAAAAAAACTAGCACCCAGGACAGGTGCAGTGGCTCACGCCTGTGACCCCAGCAGTTTGGGAGGCCGAGGCAGGTGGATCACCTAAGGTCAGGAGTTCGAGACCAGCCTGGCCAACATGGTGAAACCTCATCTCTACTAAAAATACAAAAATTAGCAGAGATCTTGTTAGAAATGGAAATTCTCAGACCTCACCCTAGACCTATTGAGTCAGAAACTCTGGGGTTAAGGCCCAGCAATCTGTGTTTCAATGAGCCCTGCAGGTGATTCTGATGCACAATGAAGTTTGAGAACCAATGCCTTAGAACAATAGCAGCACCTGAGCTTGAAGAAGGACCAACTTGGAGATGAAACCAAGGCTCTGAGAGGTTGAGTGATATGCCCAGGATCACACAGCAAGCTAAGCACAGGGCTGGACAGTCCCCCAGGCCTCCTGGCCAACCTGGGGCATCTCCTTGCTGCCAGACTCCTCTGGACCCTCCACATTTGTCCCTCCTCTGAGAAGGGAGAGGAAACTCTAGGTCTTGACCTTGGGCAGGAATATGCTACCCCTCCCAGCCCCCACGACCCAGCCCTGGCTAATGCCAACCATGTCTGACCCCTCCTTCCCCAGATCACGCGAGCCCTCAGAGGCTTAAGAAAAAATCTCCTGGCTGGGCGCAGTGGCTTACACCTGCAATCCCAGCACTTTGGGAGGCCGAGGCGGGCAGATCACAAGGTCAGGAGATCAAGACCATCCTGGCTAACGTGGTGAAACCCCGTTTCTACTAAAAATACAAAAAATTAGCTGGGCATGGTGGTGGGCACCTGTAGTCCCAGCTACTCTGGAGGCTGAGGCAGGAGAATGGTGTGAACCCGGGAGGCAGAGCTTGCAGTGAGCCGAGATCGCGCCGCTGCACTCCAGCCTGGGCAACAGAGCAAGACTCCATCTCAAAAAAAAAAAAGAAAAGAAAAATCTCCAAGTGGCCGGGCTTGGTGGCTCATGCCTGTAATCCCAGCACTTTGGGAGGCAGAGGCAGGCAGATCACCTGAGGTCGGGAGTTCAAGACCAGCCTGACCAACATGGAGAAACTCTGTCTCTACTAAAAATACAAAATTAGCCGGGCATGGAGGCTCATGCTTGTATCAACCTACTCGAGAGGTTGAGGCAGGAGAATCGCTTGAACCCGGGAGGTGGAGGTTGCAGTGAGCCGAGATCACGCCATTGCACTCCAGCCTGGGCAACAAGAGCAAAATTCCATCTCAAAAAAAACAAAAAAGAAAAAAAAAGAAAAATATTCAAGAAGCATTTCAAATGGCTGTTTCCAAAGCAGTCAAACCAAAAGCCTGTGCCTAAGACTTTCTTTTTTTTTTTTTTTTTTTTTTTGTAAAGGACATATCATATTTATTCATACACATGCTGGAATTATTGGTGCAGACATTTAAATACATTTTCTTTGAGAAAGTCCTTTTTTTTTTTTTTTTTTTGATGGAGTTTCCCTCTTGTTGCCCAGGCTGGAGTGCAATGGTGCAATCTCAGCTCACAACAACCTCTGCCTCCTGGGTTCAAGCAATTCTCCTGCCACAGCCTCCCAAGTAGCTGGGATTACAGGCATGCACCACCACGCCCAGCTAATTTTTTTTATTTTTAGTAGAGACGGGGTTTCTCCGTGTTGGTCAGGCTGGTCTTGAACTCCTGATCTCAGGTGATCTGCCCGCCTTGGCCTGCCACAGTGCTGGGATTACAGTCGTGAGCCACCACAGCTGGCCTGGGAAAGTCCATTTTTTTTTTTTTTTTTTTTTAAATTTATTTTTTTATTGATAATTCTTGGGTGTTTCTCACAGAGGGGGATTTGGCAGGGTCATGGGACAATAGTGGAGGGAAGGTCAGCAGATAAACAAGTGAACAAAGGTCTCTGGTTTTCCTAGGCAGAGGACCCTGCGGCCTTCCGCAGTGTTTGTGTCCCTGATTACTTGAGATTAGGGATTGGTGATGACTCTTAACGAGCATGCTGCCTTCAAGCATCTGTTTAACAAAGCACATCTTGCACCGCCCTTAATCCATTTAACCCTGAGTGGACACAGCACATGTTTCAGAGAGCACAGGGTTGGGGGTAAGGTCACAGATCAACAGGATCCCAAGGCAGAGGAATTTTTCTTAGTGCAGAACAAAATGAAAAGTCTCCCATGTCTACTTCTTTCTACACAGACACGGCAACCATCCGATTTCTCAATCTTTTCCCCACCTTTCCCGCCTTTCTATTCCACAAAGCCGCCATTGTCATCCTGGCCCGTTCTCAATGAGCTGTTGGGCACACCTCCCAGACGGGGTGGTGGCCGGGCAGAGGGGCTCCTCACTTCCCAGTAGGGGCGGCCGGGCAGAGGCGCCCCTCACCTCCCGGACGGGGCGGCTGGCCGGGCAGGGGGGCTGACCCCCCCACCTCCCTCCTGGACGGGGCGGCTGGCCGGGCGGGGGGCTGACCCCCCAACCTCCCTCCCGGACGGGGCGGCTGGCCGGGCGGGGGGCTGACCCCCCCACCTCCCTCCCGGACGGGGCGGCTGGCCGGGCAGAGGGGCTCCTCACTTCCCAGTAGGGGCGGCCGGGCAGAGGCGCCCCTCACCTCCCGGACGGGGCGGCTGGCCGGACGGGGCGGCTGGCCGGACGGGGGGCCGACCCCCCCACCTCCCTCCCGGACGGGGCGGCTGGCCGGGCGGGGGGCCGACCCCCCCACCTCCCTCCCGGACGGGGCGGCTGGCCGGGCGGGGGGCCGACCCCCCCACCTCCCTCCCGGACGGGGCGGCTGGCCGGGCAGAGGGGCTCCTCACTTCCCAGTAGGGGCGGCCGGGCAGAGGCGCCCCTCACCTCCCAGACGGGGCGGCTGGCCGGGCGGAGGGCTGACCCCCCCACCTCCCTCCCCGACAGGGCGGCTGGCCGGGCGGGGGGCTGACCCCCCCACCTCCCTCCCGGACGGGGCGGCTGGCCGGGCAGAGGGGCTCCTCACTTCCCAGTAGGGGCGGCTGGGCAGAGGCGCCCCTCACCTCCCAGACGGGGCGGCTGGCCGGGCGGAGGGCTGACCCCCCCACCTCCCTCCCGGACGGGGCGGCTGGCCAGGCGGGGGGCTGACCCCCCTACCTCCCTACCGGACGGGGCGGCTGGCCGGGTGGGGGGGCTGACCCCCCCATCTCCCTCCCGGACGGGGTGGCTGGCCGGGCTGAGGGGCTCCTCACTTCCCAGTAGGGGCGGCCGGGCAGAGGCGCCCCTCACCTCCCGGACGGGGCGGCTGGCCGGGCGGGGGGCTGACCCCCCCACCTCCCTCCCGGATGGCACGGCTGGCCAGGCGGGGGGCTGACCCCCCCACCTCCCTCCCGGATGGCACGGCTGGCCGGGCGGGGGGGCTGACCCCCACCTCCCTCCCGGATGGGGCGGCTGGCCGGGCGGGGGCTGACCCCCCCCCCCACCTCCCTCCTGGACGGGGTGGCTGCCGGGCGGAGACGCTCCTCACTTCCCAGATGGGGTGGCTGCCGGGCGGAGAGGCTCCTCACTTCTCAGACGGGGCAGCTGCCGGGCGGAGGGGCTCCTCACTTCTCAGACGGGGTGGTTGCCAGGCAGAGGGTCTCCTCACTTCTCAGACGGGGCGGCCGGGCAGAGACGCTCCTCACCTCCCAGACGGGGTCTCGGCCGGGCAGAGGCGCTCCTCACATCCCAGATGGGGCGGCGGGGCAGAGGCGCTCCCCACATCTCAGACGATGGGCGGCCGGGCAGAGACGCTCCTCACTTCCTAGATGTGATGGCGGCTGGGAAGAGGCGCTCCTCACTTCCTAGATGGGATGGCGGCCGGGCGGAGACGCTCCTCACTTTCCAGACTGGGCAGCCAGGCAGAGGGGCTCCTCACATCCCAGACGATGGGCGGCCAGGCAGAGACACTCCTCACTTCCCAGACGGGGTGGCAGCCGGGCAGAGGCTGCAATCTCGGCACTTTGGGAGGCCAAGGCAGGCGGCTGCTCCTTGCCCTCGGGCCCCGCGGGGCCCGTCCGCTCCTCCAGCCGCTGCCTCCCGGGCGGCGCTCGCCGGCGCGGCGGCAAAGACTGAGACAGCTCCGCTGCCCGCTGAACTCCATCCTCCTGGCGGTCGGGCGGCGGCGGCTGCGGTCGGTCGCGGCAGCGGCTCCGCTTCATATCTGCAGCTGGGGCCCGCGGGCGTCAGCGCCGCCGCGCCAACCACCAGCCGCGGCCACCATGGCCAGACGGGCTCCCTAAGCCACCGACCCCAGCCCGCGGCGCCTTCGACCCTTCTGGGGCCTCCGGCGCCGCGACCTCCTCTGCCTGAAATTTCTTTTTTCTTTTCCTTTTATTTTATTTTATTTTTTGAGACGGAGTCTTGCTCTGTTGTCTGGGTGGAGTGCAGTGGTGCAATCTCGGCTCACTGCAACCTCTGCCTCCCAGGTTGAAGCGATTTTCCTGCCTCAGCCTCAGCCTCCTGAGTAGCTGGGCGTGCCTAAGACTTTCTAAGACGGCTCCAACTACTCCAAGCTCTCATGACCACCCCTCTCCTGCAGTCCCCCATCTCAGCCTTTTCCAAACTATCCACTGTGGACATCTCTGCCCAGCCCAGTAAAAATTCCAGCTCAGAATCTGGTCAGTTTCCTTCTTTCCCTTGTGCTCCCCAGTGGCAGAACCCCTGCAGGAGGCCAGAACTGCATGCTGCCTCTCCTGGCACCTTGCCTGTACCCCAGACCAGCCTTCCCCATCTCCCTTTATGTCCCAGGTCCCCACTCTCCAGCCATCCTTTTTGTTACTGCCAGGGTAAGATGCCAACCAACAGCCAGGTCACATCACTCAGGTCACAAGTGGACTTAGAATTGGTGCTCTCGGCCGGGCACGGTGGCTCACACCTGTAATCCCTACACTTTGAGAGGCCGAGGTGAGTGAATCACCTGAGGTCAGGAGTTTGAGACCAGCCTGGCCAACATGATGAAACCCTGTCTCTACTAAAAATACAAAAAGTTAGCTGGGCATGGTGGTGGGCACCTGTAATCCCATCTACTCAGGAGGCTGAGGCAGGAGAATCGCTTGAACCCAGAAGGCGGAGGTTGCAGTGAGCTGAGATCGCTCCACTGCACTCCAGCCTGGGCAACAGGAGCAAAACTCCATCTCAAAAAAAAAAAAAAAATAAATAAATAAATAAAAGAATTGGAGCTCTCAGGGCTGCTCATGCAGATACTCAGCCCTGAGGTCATGGTGCAGCTGTGGTGGCAACACCAATCTAGTTCAGGCAAGACTGCTGCTGCCCCTACTGCAGGAGAAGGCATAAGGGGAGGTGGCAGAGGCCACAGTGTCAGGGGAGGAATCTGGGAAGAAGGCAGACTTGAGATGGAAGGGAGAGTAACAGGGCCAGGGGAACGGCCTGAGCAAAGGCATGGTGGCCAGCAGGAGCTGGATGAGGAGACAGGAGGGGAGCAGAGTGTTGGAAACCGTGACAGAGGGAAGGGGACAGTGGTCCACAAGAGACTCAGTGGGGGCCCCAAGTGGGAAACTGGGGCTTGTTCTGAGTCCAAGTAGACCACCGGAGGTGGGTAAGTGAGGAGGTTGCAGAGGGCAGGAATCCTAAACTCCAGGAGCCTGAGACAGAAGCAAGCCCAGCCAGGCCATCACCCAGCACAAGGGGTGCCAGGGTCACTTTAACAAAAAAATAACTGGACAAAAAACTCCCCCAAGCCAATAGCCATGCATCAATTTAATTTTCTCTCTTTTCTTTTTGAGACGGAGTCTCGCGCTGTCGCCCAGGCTGGAGTGCAGTGACATGATCTCAGCTCACTGCAAGCTCTGCCTCCCTGGTTCACGCCATTCTCCTGCCTCAGCCTCCTGAGTAGCTGGGACTACAGGGGCCCACCACCACGCCCGGCTAATTCTTTGTATTTTTAATAGAGACGGGGTTTCACCGTGTTAGCCAGGGTGGTCTCGATCTCCTGACCTTGTGATCTGCCCGCCTCAGCCTCCCAAAGTGCTGGGATTACAGGCGTGAGCCACTGCGCCTGGCCCAAACATCAATTTTCTAAGTGACCCATTTAGGCTCACTGCAACCTCTGCCTCCTGGGTTCAAGTGATTCTCCTGTCTCAGCCTCCCAAGTAGCTGGGACTACAGGCACACGCCACCATGGCCGGCTAATTTTTTGTATTTTTAGTAGAGATGGAGTTTCACCATGTTGGCCAGGCTGGTTTCGAACTCCTGACCTCATTATCTGCCCATTTCAGCCTCCCAAAGTGCTAGAATTACAAATATGAGCCACCGTGCCCAGCCTACTCTCACTTATCTCTGACCGGTTGTTCTGAGGAATTGTTCTGCTTCTGGGGGCCTGAGACTTCCAGGAGCCTGCCCCCTCCCCTCTTGCCATACCCCTCACTGCTTGCTCCACTCCAAAGGGCAATGAACAGTTCCTGTTGGTCAAACAAGGAATGAGAGGGAAGGACCAGGCCTGTGGTTTGTACCGTGCTGGCTCCTCATACATGCCAAAAGATCTCTTAAAGGCCCCATTGCAGGCAGCACACAGGGTGCAGGACCAGAGACATGGTGACCACATAAGCTGGGCTGCTAATGCTAGGGCTGGAAACCTTGGAGCCTATCCCAGTCCAGGCCTGATCTGCAACAAGATGTCCTGGCTTCAGTGACAGAACTTCTTCCAGCTTCTCTCAGCAGAGTCTGGGGTTGAACGATAAGTTGGGCTGGGCACGGGTGGAGGCCAAGGCTGAGTTGGAGGATGCACAAGCTTTCCAGAAGAGGACCAGGCTCAAGCCAGCTCAGTTGTGGGGCAGCCTGGTGGGTTTGGGTTCCAGTTCCTGTAGGTAGGCCTTTACTCTGGACATGAATATGGAGAGGGCAGCTGGGACTCCTCAGGCAAGGCCTGCCCTTGGACATGGGACTGCTTTGGGAAGCATCTCTCCATTCCTCTGCCAGGACAAAGACTTGCAACCCCCCGGGATCTCAGGGTCAGCCTCCAGGAGATCATGTGCTTCAAGCAAGAGACCCTCCGGAGTGCAACTTCCAAGAGGAGAGAGTAAGGCAGGGCACTCCATGTTAGGCCCCACACATCCCCACGCCTTTCCTGGGGGGCCCATGTGATTCCTCCCACAGCCCGGCTTGTCCCCAGTGGAGGTCAGTCCATCTGCTCATGGATGCCCTGGAAGGGTGGAAACTGCCCCATCCAGAGGCTCCCCAGGCCCCTGCCCACCTGTATGCCTTTTGAGAGGTGAAGACGGAAGAGACTAACTCCCTGAGAGGAAGAAAGGAGGAGACATCAGAATACAATTTCCACTGACTCTATTTCCCCAGCCCCACCCCTCTCAGGGATCTCAACTTGAACTCAGATCCGAGTGACACCTAGCTTTTGCTTATTTCCAAAAAGCAATTCAGATTTTAAAGGCCGCCTTCCTGCCCGCTTACCACCAGTTGAGAACCACTGATCCTGTCTCCAGCGACAACTTCCCTCCCTAGGGTTTTCTTTCTTTCCTGAAATAGAACTAATAAGCCAAGAGCATAAGAGAAGAGCCCCCAGGAGCTGAGATTGCAGGTTGGAGGGAGATGGATACCCAGGAGGGGTGATGGGTGATGGAGACTGCTGGGGATGGGTAGAGCTGGGACTAGTGGCAGTCGTGTAGATCAATGTCAAACCCTGGCTGTGAGTGGAAAACACTTGCTGTCCCTACAGCTGGTGAAGCAGGGGGCTCTCTCCATTGGGCAAGGAGCCCCTGCCACGGTGGTCACCTATATGGGCAAGGGCAGCCCCACTGAAATGAGTTATCTCCCAGCAAACTTGCCTACAGCAACAGTATTGTGTAGGGCCTCTGGGACCCATCCTGTCACCAAAGGAAAAGCCCCAACACTAATTTCTGGGGTTGTCGTGGTAACAATACCATGCAGGGAGCCTTGGGCCAGGTGCCACCTGGATCTGAGTTCAAACTGGGACCCCTGAGAGGGGTGTGGCTGGGGAAATGGAGCCAATGGAAATTATGTTGTGTGCCTCCTCCCAGCCGCACCGTGGCCATAGTGTCTATGGAGTCTGGCCACTTGAGTCCAGGGATGTGACCTGTGTGTGTGGTCCTCTAAGATACAAAGGGCTCCTGTGTGTCCACCTCCTTTGAGCTCACAGCACTCCTGGAAGGACAGGGCAGGGGTAACCATCAGCCCCATTTGGCAAGGGAAGAAACTGAGGTCCAGAGCCAGGTGGGAGAGTTGCCTTGAGAGGCAGGTCTTGGCTAAGTCATGGCTGGTGGCAGGACTCAGACCTCTGGCTCCAGTTCACAGTTTCTCTTGGTCTGATCTGGGGCCTCCTATTTCTCTCAACTGTGCTCCCTGTCCCCTTCTGTCTTGAGCCCACCAAACACCACCCTGACCAGCCCTGTGTCTCTCCTATAGTCTAGTGCGGCAAGAGGTGCTGGGGATTCAGCTTTTCAATCTGCTGAACTCTGGGCATTGACAGGCTGGACTAGGGGTGCCCTTCTGCCCTGTGCTACCTCCAACTCTCTTCCTTCCCCTCCAGGCTGTACCCCTGCTCCTCTGGCTGCTTAAGACCAGGAACAAAGACTCCAAGGAGACTCTGGGCAAGTATGGAGGGAAATACGTTCCTCATAGAATGGCCTCCAGGAGCCCCTTCCTGTGTTGTTGGGAGTGTGGAGCCACTATTGCCAGGACTGGCTACATAATTTGCAGCACCCAATGCAAAATGAAAATGTGGGGCCCTTTGTTCAAAAATCATAAAGAATTTCAAGACCTCAGAAACAGAGCATTGAACTAAGTACAGGGCCCTTCTGAGTGCAGGGGCCCTGTATGACCGCACAGGTCACATGGCCATAGCTCTGCCACCAGCACCAGAAAACAGTCATAGCAGGAAGGAGTTCAAGAAGTGGCTTCAGGAATTCCTCAAATCACAGAGATTTAAATCATCTGGGAAACATAACAACATGCACTTAAGACTTTATTTATTGGTTTGGTAAAGTCTTCTTTAAGAAATTAAGGGCTGGGCGCAGTGGCTCACGCCTTCAATCCCAGCACTTTGGGAGGCCGAGGTGGGCAGATCACAAGGTCAGGAGATCGAGACCATCCTAGCTAAGACGATGAAACCCCATCTCTACTAAAAAATAAAAAAACTTAGCCAGGCATGGTGGCAGGAGCCTGTAGTCCCAGCTACTTGGGAGGCTGAGGCAGGAGAATGGTGTGAACCCGGGAGGTGGAGCTTGCAGTGAGCCGAGATCGCGCCACTGCACTTCAGCCTGGGCGACACAGCGAGACTCTGTCTCAAAAAAAAAAAAAAAAGAAATTAAGAAAGAGCTCTAAACCCATACATTCAAGCGTGTGACCAACAACACTGACTATTGCAACTTTCCATTGTCCAGAAGGGGTAACTGAGGCCCTCAGAGAACAAGGAGAAAAGGGCTTGGCAAAGCCCCAGGTGGGGCGTGGCCATGCTGGGGTTCAACCCCATGCCAGTGCTCCTTCTGCCTGCTGCAGAATTAGGAGCACCCCCAGCTACCCGAACCTAGCGGGCAACTGGGAACTTGGAGAGCTGGCCTGTGCCCTCCTCTCCAGCCCAGTGCCCTTGGAACCCATGCAGGCATAGAATCAGTGAGCTGAGATCGTGTCACGCCTGGGCAACAGGGAGAGACTCCATCTCAAAACAACAACAACAACAAAACAAAACAAAAAAACACAACTGACAGGCAGGGCTTAGTGGCTCATGCCTGTAATCCCAGCACTTTGGGAGGCCAAGTTGGGTGGACCATGAGGTCAGGAGATCGAGACCATCCGGCCAACATGGTGAAACCCCATCTCTACTAAAAATACAAAAATTAGTTGGGCGTGGTGGTAGGTACCTGTAGTCCCAGCTACTCGGGAGGCTGAGGCAGGAGAATCACTGGAACCTGTGGGGAGGTTGCAGTGAGCCAAGATCACACCACTGCACTCCAGCCAGGGGACAGAGCGAGACTCCGTCTCAAAAAAAAAAGAAATTTGGTTACCTCTGTGGCATATAATGATTTTATGTAACAATTATAATTATTAATAACAAACACTAAGCCATATCAGAATTATAGGAGTATTCCATAATTTGGGAACACATACCAATAACATATTTATACAAATACAGCCCAAAGAAAACCAAACGCCATTTTATATTTGACAATGCTTTTGTATGACTTTTTTTTTTGAGACGGAGTTTCGCTCTTGTTGCCCAGGCTGGAGTGCAATGGTATGATCTCAGCTCACCACAACCTCCACCTCCTGGGTTCAAGCAATTCTCCTGCCTCAGCCTCCTGAGTAGCTGGGATTAGAGGCATGCGGCACCACGCCCAGCTCATTTTTGTATTTTTAGTAGAGATGGGGTTTCTCCATGTTGGCCAGGCTGGTCTCAAACGTCCAACCTTAGGTGATCTGCCTGCTTCGGCCTCCCAAAGTGTTGGGATTACAGGTGTGAGCCACTGCGCCCGGCCTTGTATGACTTTTAAACCAAATAAGCCAAATGTTACTGTTGCATTAATGCATTATTGATGTCAAACCCAATTTTTCTTTCTTTTTTTTTTTTGAGACGGAGTCTTGCTCTGTCACCAGGCTGGAGTGCAGTGGCGCAATCTCGGCTCACTGCAACCTCTGCCTCCCGGGTTCAAGCGATTCTCCTGCCTCACCCTCCCAAGTAGCTGGGATTATAGGTGCCTGCCACCATGCCTGGCTAATTTTTGTATTTTTAGTAGAAATGGGGTTTCACCATATTGGCCACGCTGGTCTTGAACTCCTGACCTCGTGATCTGCCCGCCTTGGCCTCCCAAAGTGCTGGAATTACAGACCATGAGCCACCACACCCAGCAAACCCAATTCTTAATAAAACCTTATAGACAAATATATTTTAATCTTAGTCAGTTTGACCATAAGGTAAGATTTTCATAAACCTTTTATAGCCCTTTACAAATTTTTGTTAAAGAGCAGATCATCATGGCCAGGACCAGTGGCTCACACTTGTAATCCCAGCACTTTGGGAGGCTGAGTCGGGCAGATCACCTGAGGTCGGGAGTTCAAGACCAGCCTGACCAACAGCAAAGAGTGCAAGGCAGATCAATCCAAAGAGAATAGCAGTTAACATCCTGTAATGCTAAACCTGTTCTTAGCTGAAAGGGAGTTTACTGAGAGTAGCCTCCAACTCCCTAAATCTTAAAGGGACTCTAACCCTTCTAAGTTGGGCCTCTAACCCAAGGTCAGTCAAGCATTCTTGCCTTTTATTTTTATTTATTTATTTATTTTTGAGACGGAGTCTCACTTTGTTGCCCAGGCTGGAGTACAGTGGCATGATCTCGGCTCCCTGCAACCTCCACCTCCTGGGTTCAAGTGATTCTCTTGCCTCAGGCTCTTGAGTAGCTGAGATTACAGCCTTGCACCACCACACCCAGTTACTTGTATTTTTAGTAGAGATGGGGTTTTGCCATGTTGGTCAGGCTGGTCTTGAACTCCTGACCTCAGGTGATCCACCCACCTCAGCCTCCCAAAGTACTGGGATTATAGCCATAAGCCACCGCACCTGGCCTCCTGCCTTTTATTAAGAAAGGGGCCTCTAACCCACTCTGACTTAGGAGAGACTCTAAGTCCCCTAAATTGGGCCTCTAACCCAATCCCATTCTTTACCCGGATATAGGCATCCCACTTACCCAAAGTCCACCAATTAGTCCTGCAGTCCATTTCCTTTGGGGCAGGTGGTTTCTTCAATATTGTCCTTTCAGGATTCATCAGAAAGATGTTACCAGACCCCACCACTTACACAGTTAGCCTTTGGGTTGGGGATTTCCACACTATAGTCCCTTCATAGTCGCCAGAAAGATGCTACAGGAAAGGGGTCCCGATTCAGATCCCAAAAGAGGGTTCTTGGATATCGCACAAGAAAGAATTCAGGACAAGTCCACAGAGCAAAGCAAAGGCAAGTTCATTAGGAAAGTAAAGGAGTAAAAGAATGGCTACTCCGTTGACAGAGCAGTCCTGAGGGTTGCTGGTTGCCCATTGTTATGGTTATTTCTTGATGATATACTAAGTGAGGGGTGGATTATTTATGCCTCCCCTTTTTAGACCATATAGGGTAACTTCCTGACAATGCCATGGCATTTGTAAACTGTCATGGAGCTGGTGGGAGTGTAGCAGTGAAAATGACCAGAGGTCACTCTCGTGGCCATCTTGGTTTTGGTGGAATTTAGCCGGCTTCTTTACTGCAACCCGTTTTATCAACAAGGTTTTTTTTTTGTTTTTTTTGTTTTTTTTTTTTTTTTTTTTTTTTTTTTTTTTTTTGAGACGGAGTCTGGCTCTGTCGCCCAGGCTGGAGTGCAGTGGTGCGATCTCGGCTCACTGCAAGCTCCGTCTCCCGAGTTCACACCATTCTCCTGCCTCAGCCTCCCGAGTAGCTGGGACTACAGGCACCCGCCACTGCGCCCGGCTAATTTTTTGTACATTTAGTAGAGACGCGGTTTCACCATGTTAGCCAGGATGGTCTCGATCTCCTGACCTCGTGATCCACCCGCCTCGGCCTCCCAAAGTGCTGGGATTACAGGCGTGAGCCACCGCGCCCGGCCTTTTGTTTTTTTTTTTTTGAGACGGAGTTTCATGCTTGTTGCCCAGGCTTGAGTGCAATGGCGCGATCTCGGTTCACTGCAACCTCTGCCTCCCGGGTTCAAGCGATTCTCCTGCGTCAGCCTCCCAAGTAGCTGGGATTACAGGCATGCGCCACCACGCCCGGCTAATTTTTTTTTTTTTTTTTTTTTTTTTTTTGAGACGGAGTCTCACTCTGTTGCCCAGGCTGGAGTGCAGTGGTGCGATCTCAGCTCACTGCAAGCTCCGCCTCCCGGGTTCATGCACGCCATTCTCCTGCCTCAGCCTTGAACCAAGTAGCTGGGTCTACAGGCGCCTGCCACCACGCCCGGCTAATTTTTTGTATTTTTAGTAGAGATGGGGTTTCACCGTGTTAGCCAGGATGGTCTCGATCTCCTGACCTCGTGATCTGCCCGCCTCGGCCTCCCAAAGGGCTGGGATTACAGGCGTGAGCCACCGTGCCCAGTCTAATTTTGTATTTTTAGTAGAGATGGGGTTTCTCCATGTTGGTCAGGCTGGCCTCAAACTCCCGACCTCAGGTGATCTGCCCACCTCTACCTCCCAAAGTGCTGGGATTACAGACATGAGCCACCGCGCCCAGCCCCAGTAAGGTCTTTATGACCTGTATCTTGTGTCAATCTCCTATCTCATTCTGTGACTTAGAATGCCTTAACCGTCTGGGAACGCAGCTCAGTAGGTCTTAGCCTTATTTTACCCAGCTCCGATTCAAGATGGAGTTGCTTTGGTTTAAATGCCTCTGACAGTCCCAGCAACTAGGGACTGAGGTACGAGGATCAATTGAGCCCAGGAAGTTGAGGCTACCAAAGTGCTAGGATTACAGGCATGAACTGCCACACCTGGCTCAATCAAAAGTTTGTTGTGTTTTTTTTTTGCTGGGCACGGTGGCTCACGCCTATAATCCCAGCACTTTGGGAGGCCAAGGCGGACAGATCACCTGAGATTGGGAGTTTGAGACCAGCCTGACCAACATAGAGAAACCCCATCTCTACTAAAAATACAAAATTAGCCGGGCATGGTGGCGCACGCCTGTAATCCCAGCTACTTGGGAGGTTGACACAGGAGAATCGCTTGAACCAAGTAGCTGGGATTACAGGCATGCGCCACCACACCCAGCTAATTTTGTATTTTTAGTAGAGATGGGGTTTCTCCATGTTGGTCAGGCTGGTCTCGAACTCTCGACCTCAGGTGATCTACCCACCTAGGCCTCCCAAACCGCTGGGATTACAGGCGTGAGCCACTGTGCCAGGACTGTTTGGATTTTTTTTATAAGAAGACTATGTCCTTTAATAACAGTTATAATAATTTTAAAGAAGGAAGGGGAGAATAAGAAAGAGGAATAGAGTGGAGAGGAGGGGAAGGATGCGTGGAGAAGGAAGAAGAGGAGGAGAAGCAGAAGCAGCAGATTCAGGGTGACAAAATCCAGGACTTGCCTGTGGGGAGAGGCAGTGAGGGGCCTGGAGGGGCAAGATTCCCTGAAAGGCCAGGTACTGCCTGCGGAAGGGTGATGGGGCAGAGACAAGTGGATTGCACAATTGGCAAAGCTGGGGCCACCACAGGTGAGGGTCCCCTGTGTTTCCTGAGAGAAGCCCCATCCCACTTTACTATGAGAGTCTTTCTTCCTTTCCTATTATGAAAAGCAATATACAAGAAACTTAGTGAAAACCCCAAATAATAAGAAAGGGTACACAATGAAAAGTGAGTCTAAGCCCAGACCCACTCCTCAGAGACAGCCACCATCAAGCTGGCTCTGTGTGTGTTTCCAATATGTCTCAAGGTCTTTTGATTCTTAGGCCTTGGGCCACGTGTATTATGGTGGCCATAGAGGCGATTCCGAAGTACTCACTGCCCTGGGGAGCTCACCATTCGGCTAGATGATCAAGAACACAATGTTGCTATTAGACAGGGAGGGCTGCTGTGTGAGAGACCGTGAAAGGTAGTACTGCTGCCCCCAGGGACAGGTAGGACATCGTGTGGGTGAAAGCACAGCAGGTGGGGACGGTGTGAGCCAAGGTATGATGGTGAGAAGATCACCACAGATTCCATGAGCAGCAACTAATTCAGTGTAGAGTGCAGCATGTGCACAGGTGGGAGCGAGCTGGCCAGCCTGGGGACCTGGAGGCCATGCCATCGCCATGAGGGTGTTGAGCTTTCATGGACATTCAGCAGCCGCTAGCCCTGGCCAAGTCAGAGTCAACCTCTTGATTTTTCTTTTTTTTTCTTTTCTTTTTTTTTTTTTAAGACAGGGCCTTGCTCTGTTGCCAGGCTGGAGTGCAGTGGTGTGGTCACAGCTCATTGCAGCCTCTAACTCCTGGGCTCAAGCGATCCTCCTGCCTCAGTCTCTCTAGGGGGTGAGACCACAGGTGCACTCCACCACACCCAGCTATTTTTATTTTTATTTTTTTCGTAGAGAGGGAGTCTCGCTATTGCCCAGACTGGTCTTGAATTCCAGGGCTCACGTGATTTGCCTGCCTCAGCCTCCCAAAGTGCTGAGATTACAGGTGTGAGCCACTGTGTCCAGCCTTGATTTCTAATACATCCATGAAAGCTGAATCTCAATCTCTTGACCAGAGGAGCTATGGAAGAGAAAATTGGAAAGAGGTTAAAGATGAAGAGGGTTGTGGTAGGGGTTGTGGTGCTGAAGGATGGGGTGCAGGGGGACAGTTTCCACCTCAGGGAGACAGGGCAGCCAGAGCACAGACTCAGCTGAAAGAGATCTGACCCAATACGATGTCCTTTTGTGGCCTTGGACAACCCCCTCTCTACCTCAGTTTCCTCCTCCACCAAATGGGAACAGTGGTGACCCCTGCCTTGAACTCACAGGAGTGCCCTGAGCAGGGATGAGGGAGATTATAGAGGAACCCCATGCACACATCATGTCCTGGCACAGGTGGCCAGAGTCCATGTGCAACATGTCCATGAACAGAACATGGGTGCCCTCTCAAGGTGTTGTTACCATGACAACCCCCAAGGACTTGGGTTTTTGCCTTAGTGATGGGAAGGGCCCCAGTGCTGCCTTGAGGGTTATTTTCAAGCTCACTGATAGGGCTACAGAGTGGAGAGTACTTCCTCCTCCCCTTCATGGGAAATCTCTCCCCAGTACTGTAGAGGTGGCCTCCAAGGTAGGGTCTTGCTCAGCAGAAACAGTCACCCACCAAACAGTTCTTTTCTTTTTTTTTTTTTTTTCTGAGGCAGAGTCTCGCTCTGTCACCCAGGGTGGAGTGCAGTGGCATGATCTCAGCTTACTGCAACCTCTGCCTCCTGGGTTCAAGCGATTCTCCTGCCTCAGCTAAAAATACAAAAAAGTAGCTGGACATGGTGGCACACGCCCTGTAGTCCCAGCTACTCAGGAGGCTGAGGCAGGAGAATCTCACCACTGCACTCCAGCCTGGGCAACAGAGTGAGACTCTGTCTCCAAAAAAAAAAAAGAAAAGAAAAAAAGAAAGTACGGGCCAGGTGTGGTGGCTCACGCCTGTAATCCCAGCACTTCGGGAGGCCGAAGCGGGTGGATCACCTGAGGTCAGGAGTTTAAGACCAGCCTGGCCAACATAGTGAAACCCCATCTCTACTAAAAATACAAAAATTAGCTGGGCGTGGTGGCATGCTCCTGTAGTCCCAGCTACTTGGGAGGCTGAGGCAGGAGAATCGCTTAAACCTGGGAGGCAGAGGTTGCAGTGAGCCAAGATAGCACCACTGCTGCACTCTGGCCTGGGCGACAAAGCGAGACTCTGTCTTAAAAAAAAAAAAAAATTGTACATAGCAACTTTTTCTTTTCTTTTTTTTTTTTTTTGAGACAGAGTCTTGCTGTGTCACCCAAGCTGGAGTGCAGTGGCGCGATCTTGGCTCACTGCAAGCTCCGCCTCCCAGGTTCACGCCATTCTCCTGCCTCAGCCTCCCGAGTAGCTGGGACCACAGGCACCCGCCACTACACCCGGCTAATTTTTTTGTATTTTTTAGTAGAGACAGGGGTCTCACCATGTTAGCCGGGATGATCTTGATCTCCTGACCTTGTGATCCACCCGCCTCGGCCTCCGAAAGTGCTGGGATTACAGGCGTGAGCCACCGCGCCCAGCCCATAGCAACTTTTTCACAACAGTCAAAAGGCAAGAACATCCAAAGTGTTCATCAACATGTCCATGAAACTGTGGTACATCCATTCAATGGAATGCTGCTTGTCAATAAAGAGGAATGAACTAACCATACTTGCAGAAACACAAATAAGCCTCATAAACATTGCACTAAGTGAAATAAGCCAGATGCAAAGGTCACATATGGGATGATTCTATTTATACAAAATGTCCAGAAAGGACAAAACTATAGAGATAGAAAGTAGGGGCTGGGCGCAGTGGCTCACACCTATAATCCCAGCACTTTGGGAAGCCCAGGTGGGCAGATCACCTGAGGTCGGGAGTTCAAGATCAGCCTGACCAACATGGAGAAACCCTGTCTCCACTAAAAATACAAAATTAGCCGGACGTGGTGGTGCATGCCTGTAATCCCAGCTACTCGGGAGGCTGAGGCAGGAGAATTGCTTGAACTCGGGAGGTGGAGGTTGCAGTGAGCCGAGATCGCGCCATTGGACTCCAGCCTGGGCAATAAGAGTGAAACTCTGTCTCAAAAAAAAAAAAAAAAAAATTAGCCTGGTGTTGTGGCACAAGCCTGTAGTCCCAGCTACTCAGGAGGCTGAAGCAGGAGAATCACTTAAACCCAGGAGGCAGAGGTTGCGATGAGTCAAGATCGAGCCACTGCACTCCAGTCTGGGCGACAGAGCGAGACTCTACCTAAAAAAAAACAAAAAAACAAAAAGTAGGTCAGTGGTTACCAGGGGCCTGGGTTAGGAAGAGGAGACTAACTGCAAAGGGGAGTGAGGGAGCATATTTGGGACAATGAAAATGCTCTGTGTCTGGATTGCAGTGGTGGTTACACCATTTAGAACATTTGTCAATGATCATAGAGGTAGGTAATTTACATCTCAATTTAAAAAGTTGCGAGGTAGGGAGGTAAGTGTTGGTAATGTGTGGGGATGTCTTCCCAGGAAAGAGCATTGCTTCCTGTACTCACTGTCTTCCACGGCCAAGCCTGAGCTCACATGAGTGGGGTCTTGATCCCCCTGAAGATGACAGAAAGGTATGAAGGTGAGGAAGAGGAGTAGCCCTGCAGCACCTACCTCGCTGCTCACTCCCGGAGGCTCTGAGTGTACACAAGGGAGGGAGGCCCAGGCTGCACTCAGGAGACCACCAACCCAGCCTGAGACAAGGGGCAAGATCCTTCCCATCTATGCATTCCTGTTTCCTCCTCTGTGAAATGAACACGGGGGCTGCATTGGATGAAATGGAAACTTCTTACAGTGTGTTCTATGGAACAGTGGTCTGCAAAATTCTCTGTGAAAAGGGTTCCTCATGCAAGGAAGTATGTGAAACCTCCCTCCTGCTGTTTCTTGAAGACTCACAATACACCACTTGCTAAAGGCACTGAGTAATGCCACAGAAAAGGAACCTGTTTCACTCTGATTAACCCTGATTTCTTCAAATCTGTTCCCATTTTCACAGAACATACAAACATCCCAGGAGGCCTGGGGCATGCCTTGGAGTCTGGATCTTAGGCTGGAAGGATTGGAATGGGCCTAGCCCCAACTCCTTCTGGGGCAAGCATTGCTCAGGGCTAGAAAGGGATAGGTTCTAAAACCCACGCCTCCAACCCCCACCATGCCATCCCTTTATCCTTCCCCATACTGCACTTTGCTTAATATCAACCAGCCATCAGCAGGATGGTGCAAGAGGCTCTAACTCAACCAGGACAGGAAGGAATCCAGGAACAATTCACCTACCAGAGGCCCAAGGATTGAGAAAGGCCGGGACTGAGCAAAGACAGCACAGGTCCAGCTTGCGCAGGTCTCCAGCCCCCTCCCAGCCCCCAGCACAGGGTGTTTCCTCTCCTCTGAGTCTGTTCTGTGCAGGGGCACAGCACCCAGGTATAAGCTGTAAGGAGGGCTCAGATGCTGCCTAGGAACTCTGCCTTCCAGAAGGAGGGCCCCAGGAAACCTCACAAGAAAACTTAGCCCTTTGAAATGAAATCCTCACCCGATTCCAGAACCTATTATGGCTCCCTACCACCCCAGTGGCCTCCGTTCACTGCCCACTGGCTCTGACCTAACTCATCATCTCCATCTACCGGGGAATCACCTTCCACAGAACGTTAAGGTTGGACACCACTCAAAGCAGTGTTCAGGGCCGAGCACGGTGGCTCACGCCTATAATCCCAGCACTTTGGGAGGCCGAGGTGGGCGGATCACGAGGTCAGGAGATCGAGACCATCCTGGCTAACACGGCGAAACCCTGGCTCTACTAAAATTACAAAAAATTAGCCGGGTGTGGTGGCGGGCGCCTGTAGTCCCAGCTACTCGGGAGACTGAGGCAGGAGAATGGCGTGAACCCGGGAGGCGGAGCTTACGGTGAGCCGAGATCGCGCCACTGCACTCCAGCCTGGGCGACAGAGCGAGACTCCGTCTCAAAAAAAAAAAAAAAAAAGCAGTGTTCATGTGTGTAGCGTCATACACTCAGTAGTGTGTGTCAGTAAAGAGGAATGAACTAACCATAGATGCAGAAACACAATTAGCACAGGGGTGGGGTGAGGGGGACAGTGAGGATTAGCAACACCTCGAATTTCTTTCTTTTTTTTTTTTAAATATTGAGACGGAGTCTCGCTGTTACGAAGGCTGGTCCGGAACTCCTAGGCTCAAGTGATCCTCCTGCTTCAGCCTCCTAAAGTGCTGGGATTAGAGGCATAAGCCACCACACCTGGCCAACCCCAGGAATTTCTCCGGTACATTTTATTTCAACCACTATCTCTACTACTTACTCTGTTTTCTCTTGCTGATGCCTCTGTGTGGGAGACCTGCCAGGGGCCATTACTCCCATTTTCTTTTCTTTTCTTTTTTTTCTGAGATGGAGTCTCACTCTGTCGCCCAGGCTGGAGTGCAGTGGCGCGATCTCCGCTCACTGCAAGCTCCGCCTCCCGGGTTCACGCCATTCTCCTGCTTCAGCCTCCCGAGTAGCTGGGACTACAGGCACCTGCCACCACGCCCAGCTCATTTTTTTGTATTTTTAGTAGAGACGGGGTTTCACCGTGTTAGCCAGGACGGTCTCGATCTCCTGACCTCGTGATCCGCCTGTCTCGGCCTCCCTAAGTGCTGGGATTACAGGCGTGAGCCACCGCGCCCGGCCATTACTCCCATTTTCTAGAGGGGTACAACTGAGACCAAGAGTCGTCAAGAGGCTGCCACAGGCCAGGCTGGCTCACACCTGTAATCCCAGCACTTTGGGAAGGACAGGGGGGTGGATCACTTAAGCTCAGGAGGTTGAGGCTTCAGTGAGCCAAGAGATTGCACCACTGCACTCCAGCCTCAGGTGACAGAGTGAGATCCTGTCTCAAAAAAAAAAAAAAAAAGAGTCTGCAACATAAGATAAAGGGCCAGCTGAGACCAACAACACAGGTGTAAGGCTCCTGGCCCTGAGCATGTCCCACCTTGCAGAAGGCTCTGGAAACATCCCAGAAAGAGGGGTGTATTTGGTTTCTCACACGTGTGCTAAGCTTTATTCTTTTCTACCAGCAACTCTCAATTCGTTCCCAAATAATGGTCTCCTGGGAATATAGTGCCCTCCGGTGGCCTTCCTGGGTGCTACATCAATGCCCTCCGATGGGAAGAGTGGGATGAAAAGTCCTTCCTCAACCTTCTGGGAAGAGAAAAGAACCCTAGGAACCCACCTCACCACCCCAAGCCATAATCCAGTCTATCTTCCATGGGGAAAAGGAGGGGAGGAATGATGGCTTCTCAGAGACTCTTTCTAAATCCACTGCCTTCAGGATAACATTCAAAGTCTTATTCTTTATTCACTCCACAAACATTTCTCCTTGTCGCCATGAGCCAGGCTTTATGCTGCTGCTGGGAACAAGGGACCATAGTGCCCCGAAGGAGCTCCCAGCTCCTGCAGGAAGTCCAGGGCCGGCCTCTCCTGCTATGCCTGGATGCCTGCTTCCCACCTTCAGAGGCCAATAGCTTCCCTCCATCATGACCTCTCCACGGCATCATTTTTTTTTACTTTTTTAGGAGCAACTGGAGAGAGGAGGAAAATCTGAGAGTGGTGCTCTGAAAACCTAGCAAAGCGAATGTTTCTAGGAGTGGCCAAGCATGCAGTGAGGATGATGGGTGGCTGCTGGGTGGAGTAAAGCTAGGACTGCAAATTGGTCACTGTATTCAGCAAAATGAAGGTTCCCGGAGAATTTGACAAAAGCCGTTTCCACCCTGGCACAGTGGCTCATGCCTGTAATCCCAGCACCTTGGGAGGCCAAGGCGGGCAGATCACTTGAGGTCAGGAGTTCGAGACCAGCCAGTGAAACCCCATCTCTACTAAAAATACAAAATTAGCCAGGCGTGGTGGCGGACACCTGTAATCCCAGCTACTCGGGAGGCTGAGGCAGGAGAATCACTTGAACCTGGGAGGTGGGAGGCGGAGGTTGCAGTGAATTAAGATTGCCACACTCCAGCCCGGGCGACAGAGTGAGACTCCATCTCAAAAAAAAAAAAAAGCCACTTCCATGGAGTGGGGAAAATCAATGTCTGATGACAGTGGGTCCAAGAGAAAATGTGAGGAGAGAAATTAGAGACAACTTTTTTGAGGAGTTTTACTGTGTTTTGTTTTTTGGGTTTTTTTTTTTTTTGAGAGGGAGTCTTGCTCTGTCTTTCAGGCTGGAGTGCAGTGTCCTGATCTCTGCTCACTGCAATCTCTGCCTCCCGGCTCAAGCAATTCTCCTGCCTCAGCCTCCTGAGTAGCTGGGATTACAGGCGCCCACCACCATGCCTGGCTAATTTTTGTATTTTTAGTAGAGATGGGGCTTTCTTTTCTTTTTTTTTTTTTTTTTTGAGAGGGAGTCTCGCACTGTCACCCAGGCTGGAGTGCAGTAGTGCCATCTCCACTCACTTCAACCACCGCTTCCCAGGTTCAAGCAATTCTCTTGCCTCAGCCTCCCAAGTAGCTGGGATTACAGGTGCCCACCACCACGCACCACTAATTTTTTGTATTTTTAGTAGAGATGGGGTTTCACTATGTTAGCCAGGCTGGTCTTGAACTCCTGACCTCATGATCCACCCATCTCGGTTTCCCAAAGTGCTGGGATTACAGGCGTGAGCCACCATGCCCGGCCAAGATGGTGTTTCACCGTGTTGGCCAGGCTGGTTTTGAACTCCTGACCTCGGCCTCCCAAAGTGCCGGGATTACAGGTGTGAGTCACTGTGCCCGGCCAGGAGTTTTACTGTGAAGGGAAGGAATGAATATAGTTGGAGGGGAAAGTGGCATCAAGGAAAGGCTTTTTATCACTAATAATAAACATTTCATTGAAATACACCATTCATACAGAACAGCTAACAAATCTTGAGTGTGTAGCTCAATGAATTTCCACAAGGTGAACACACTCAGGTAACCAGCACCCAGATCAAGAAATGGAAAGTGGCCAGGTGCAGTGGCTCATGCATATAATGCTAACACTTTGGGAGTCCAAGACGGGAGGATCGCTTGAGCTCGAGAGTTTGAGACCAGCCTGGGCATCATAGTTAGACTCCCGTCTCTAAAATTATACATATATTTTTTTCTGAGACAGAGTCTTGCTCTGTTGCCCAGGCTGGAGTGCAATGGCATGATCTCAGTTCACTGTAACCTCCGCCTCCTGGGTTCAAGTGATTCTACTGCCTCAGTCTCCCAAGTAGCTGGGATTACAGGCGTGTGCCACCACACCCGGCTAATTTTTTGTATTTTTAGTAGAGACGGAGTTTTGCCATGTTGGCCACACTGGTCTCGAACTCCTGACCTCATGATCCACCCACCTCGGTTTCCCAAGGTGCTGGGATTACAGGCGTGAGCCACCATGCCCAGCCAAAATAAAAAATAAAATTTTTAATTAGCTAGGTTTATGGGTGCATGCCTGTAGTTCAGGCTACTCAGGAAGCTGAGGTGGGAGGATCACTTGAACCCAGAAGTTCGAGGCTATAGTGAGCCATGATCATGTCACTGCACTCCAACCTGGGCCACAGAGCAAGACTCTGTCTCAAAAAGTGAAAAATAAATAAGAAACAGAATATGACCAGTTGCCAATATCCCCTTCATGGCCCCTTGCAGTCACCACCATCTTTCTGAAAGGTAACTAGTACCATAACTAACTTTTTTTTTTTTTGAGACGGAGTCTCGCCCTGTCACCCAGGCTGGAGTGCAGTGGCTCAATCTCGGTTCACTGCAACCTCCACCTCCTGGGTTCAAGCAATTCTCATGCCTCAGCCTCCATAGTAGCTGGGATTACAGTTGTGCACCACCATACATGGCTAATTTTTGTGTATGTATATATGTGTGTATATATATGTTTGTGTATATTACATGTGTGTATATATGTATATTACATATGT